>NC_000012.12:98975279-99278309 GCF_000001405.40 Homo sapiens | reverse complement strand
AGTCAGCCTCAGTGTTGATATCTAGCCAGCAGATGGGAAAGACAGTGGAAGACTGCATGAAAGTTTCCCCTGGGCCAGGCCTGTATGTGGTGTGCATCACTTCTGCCTGCATTCTCTTGGCCAGCTCTCTGTCACATGGTCCCACTTAAATGAAGGGAGCTAGAGAAATGTAATTCCTGATGGGCAGCTGCTTCCCAGCAACACAGCGGCTCCATTCTGTGGAAGGGAATATTAATCTTTGGCAGACAGCTTGATTTCTAATATCCTCGCTTGAAGAGTTTTATCTTTTATCTCTTAAAATGTAGAATTAGGTCTGTGGATTATCACTTTCATCAGTTTGCTCACAAATCAAGTGAATCTGCTGAGAATGATCACAAAGCATGTTCAAATTATCTCCTGAATAGGAAAGACAAATATCTATTGTTCAGGCTACCAGATGAGACCTATTCAGGAATAGTCTATGGGGCAATACTTCACAATGGTCTGGTCTGTTCCACCCCATAAATGTGTATTCAACCTTACAGTGATCAAGAACTTACCTTTTTCTCTGAGTTCCCTTAAGACTCAGCACCAGTTAGTGACTCATACCAGTTCAAAAGCACATACTATCTTGAACCAGATCTTGACTGCATAGGGTTCAGTTTTGCTTCCCAAACTACTGAACAGTACCGAGGACTCAAGGACTTCTGTAGAACTGGGCGAGCCTCAGAAGTAAAGGGAAGAACTCTTTACTAACCCACAAGTGCATCTTTGGTTCTATCTTCAACATTTCATGTGTACACATAGCTTTAGAGCCTCCTATTTTATTATTTTATATTTCTCTCCAATAAACAATATTCTTTTTAATTTTCACAGACCCTTTTCTGCTGGTAAAATCAATATTTCCTTGGATTCTCAGCTGCCATTTTTCGATGTGGCACCAAAGTAGCTTTGATAACATGATTCTTACATGGCCTGTGGAGGAATCCAGTGATTTTGTTTTTGCTTTTAATTCATGGTAAGGGTAAATAGGGGTGATCTTCCTTTCATTGGGTACTCAGTGGGAAATAAACACAGTCACATTTTAAAATAAGACTTTGTCATTTACTAAGAACTACATGGCAGATAGGAATGGATGAGGGGGAGTGCTTATCAGATGGCACCTGGAGACTATCACGTCTCAGTTTTTTAATACATCAAAATAACAAGTTCTCTTTTGTACTTGAAGGTATCTCAAGACTCCTTTCAAGAACTGCTCTGTGATCATCAGGTTAGGAAGTAAGCCCTCATGACAGGTAGGGGAGAAGGGACCTAGTGATATTCGGCAAGAAAGGGGAATGTAGACGTAAGTTAGGTGACTTCAAAAAGGGGTCACAGTGTTTATCTAATAAAATATTAAGGAACTATACAGAGATCATGTAACATCCAGAGAAGTAAAATATTACAAGACTATTAAAGGGCCTCCATATTTGTTGAGCCTTCACCTTTCTCTACTGACTGATATGTAGCACAATCTTATTACAGAAAGGGTGATTTCTTCATCTGCTACCTATAAAATGGCAGGCACAGTGTGATGTTTTTTAAATGTCTGATTCCATCGTCAGAAGAAGGTTTTATTATCCTTACTTTAAAAATGGTGTATACTTTTACTAGGGCTGCCATAACAAAATATCACAGACTGGGTGGCTTAAACAGTAGAAATGTATTTTCTCACAGTTCTGGAGGCTGGAAGTCCAAAATCAAGGTTGCAGCAGGGTTGGCTTCTTTTGAAGTCTCTCTCCTTATAGGTGAGAGAGATGCTCACCCTCTTGCTTCCTCCTCACATGGTGGCCCTCCACTCTGTGTAAACACATCTCAAGTGTCTCTCAGCATGTCCAAATTTCCTATTTTTATAAGGACATCAGTAATACTGAATTGGGGCCCATCATAACAGCATCATTTTACTTTAATCATCACTTTAAAGGGCCTATATCCAAATACATCACTTTAAAGGGCCTATATCCAAATACAGTCACTAAGCTACTAGGAGTTAGAGCTTCAGCATTTGAATTTCGGGAGGAGATGGGGACATAATTTAATGCCCAAAATTTAATGTCCCAAACCGTCTAGTGAGATGAAATATTCACCCAGAGCTTCTCTAACTCAACTCTCATTCATCAAAAAGTAATAAACCTCATCCTTTGTCTGCTAAGTAAGGACTCAGTAAAATCTAACAGAGTAAGCATGCTAAATTATTCTGGCATAGGGAGTATTGTTGTCTGTATTCCTACTCTTTTAGATCCAGGACAGTTTTTTCTCTTGAAAAGTTTACTTCTTAATTTACTACTTCTGGCATTCTCAGGGAAGCATCATCAAGTTCATTTTAATTTTTAAATTGCTGACACTGGGAGCTAGTGTCACTCAAAATCATTTCTTTTCTTTTAATGGAAAATTGAGACTGAAGATGAATTTAGCAGGTTAGCTATCACAGACTGTGACAGATTGTATTTTGGATGACCACAATAACATCTTTCCATCTATACATTTTCCTTACAAAATGATAATGACATTTTTCCATCAAGAGGTGAGATTTATATTTATGTTTGAATATGGTATAGCCAGTGACTATGGCACAAGTGACACTAAGTGGCCAGGTATATACCCCAAAAGAAGTATACTGAAGAGATAAATGCACTCCCATGTTCGTTGCAGCACTATTCACAATAGCCAAGATTTGGAAACAACCTAAGTGTCCATCAACAAACAAATGAATAAACAAAATGTGGTGCATATGCACAATAGAGTACTATTAAGCCATAAAAAGGAATGAGATCCTGTCATTTGCAACAACACAGATGGAACTGGAGGATGTTATGTTAAGTGAAATAAGACAGGCATAGAAAGACAAACTTTGCATGTTCTCACTTATTTGTAGAGCTAAACATCAAAACAATTGAACTCATGAAGATAGAGAGTAAAATGAAGGTTATCAGAGGCTGGGAAGGATAGTGGGGACAGGGGGTGGTTAATAGGTACAAAAAGTAGTTAGATGCAATGAATAGAATCTAGTATTTGATAGCACAACAGGGTGACGATAGTCAACATTAATTTATCGTACATTTTAAAATAACTAAAAAGGTAGAATTAAATTGTTTATAAAACAAAGAATGGATAAATACTTGATATGATGGATACACCATTTATCCTTCTGGGATTATTATGCATTATATGGCTGTATCACAATGTTTCATTTACTCCATTAATACATACACCTACTATCTACCCACAAAAATTTTAAAATAAAAACAATTATTAAAAAGTGACCTTCAAGACTAGGGTCATAGGAGGCAATGTAGATTTTGCCTGGTCCTTTGGAAATCTCACTCTTAGAACCCAGCCACCATGCTTTAAGGAAGCACAATAGCCATGTGGAGAAGTCCTGTGTACTGTTCTGGCTAACAACCCAAGTAAAGTCTCATTTGAAAGCCAGCATTAACCACCAAACATGTGAGTGAGAAAACCTTTGCATTGACCCCAGTCCCATCCACTGTCTTACTGAAACTGCATTTTTAAGATACTATTTTATGTAACAATAGAGGACTAGAACAAATTTTAATACCTGGAAATATGATGCTATTATCATGTCATATTATAGTATCCTATAACATATGGTGTAGGTTTTGAACCAAGTAGCAGGCAGAAACTAAAAGGGCATTGAAAAAGTGTTAGTGAAAGTGCTTCATGAAGAATGTTGGGGAAAGACTAAAAAGGCAGGTGTTAGCAGAAGCGCTGGGTAGATCGTCCCTGGGAGCTTAAAGGAAAGTATGGAAAATGTGATTGGAAGCTGGAGGAAAGGAGACTTTTGTAATATGGTGGCAGAATGTCTGGCAATTCTGTTGGTTGCAATAACATGGAAAATAGTAAAAGTATCTAATGACAATCTAAGATTTCCAGGCAGATTATTGAAAGTGCCACCTGTCTTCTTCTTGTTAGATGACAAAATGTGAGAAAACAGAGATAAGTAAAAGAACAGACTGTTCATTACAAAGGGGGCAAGATTATTTGTACAAAAAAAAAGTGGTTTTTGTTCTTAGTCTCTCCAGATGTCAAATGAAACTAAAATTAATAAATAGCTCTGGGTCAGAGTTCAAATCCAGAGCGCTATCAGGGAAGTAAAGTCTAAGGTGTAATCCCTGGGTATGCTTACAAAACTCCTTATTAAGCCCTCAAAAGATCAAATATAGTGACTCATAGAAACTTTCAGATGACAGAAGACCTAAGACCTTAAGGGCATGCCTTGAGTCTCCTCCGCCCTAAAAAATAAGGGTTCTGAGAATCTAAGGGCATTGCAGAGCAGCAATGTCCAATCTTTTGGCTTCCCTGGGACACATTGGACAAAGAATTGTCTCAGGCCATGCATAAAATACACTAACAATAGCTGATTAGCTTTAAAAAAATCACAAAAAAGGCCGGGTGCCGTGGCTTACACCTGTAATCCCAGCACTTTGGGAGGCCGAGGCAGGTGGATTATGAGGTCAGGAGTTCAAGACCAGCCTGGCCAAGATGGTGAAACTCCGTCTCTACTAAAAATACAAAAAATACAAAAAATTAGCCGGGTGTGGTGGCACGCGCCTGTAATCCCAGCTACTCCGGAGGCTCAGGCAGAGAATTGCTTAAACCTGGAGGGGTGGAGGTTCCAGTGAGCCGAGATTGTGCCACTGCACTCCAGCCTGGGTGTCAGAGCAAGACTCCGTCTCAAAAAAAAAAAAAAAAAAAATCGCAAAAAAAAAAAAAGAATCTGATAATGTTTTAAGAACGTTTGCAAATTTGTGTTGGGTCACATTCAAAGCATGCAGCCCATGGGCCGTGGGTTGGACAGGATTGTAGAGAGTCATACAACAGTCTTACAGGGAACTCAAGGTAGACAAAGACTTATGTCAGAAAGATTTGTGGATATGACATTTATCTAATTGTGCGAATTGTCAATTAGTAAACACAAATCCCACAATGTTTTTAGATAATTATTCTGGTGGAAGCATCCCTAGCTTGGAATAGAAGGGACAGAGAAAGTACAATATATTAAGAGACCTTTGGGCCCCTGAGCTTTTATGAACAGAAAGCAGGCATAAGAATGTTTCTTATATGAAAAGTAGGATCATTCAGAGGGAGGAAACAAAAACCCAGAAAGTAGAACTAAGAACAATAGTGAACAACTCCAATAAGATGGAGCCCTACTCAAGAAATGCAATCTGCACCCAACTGGATTTCAGAATGTCTACAGACCAGTAACTTGCTCAACTTCCATTTTCCCTCCTTTTGATTGCAACTATCTGTAGAGGTTATCCTATGCCTGTCCCACCACTGCATGTTGGATATATGGGAGAATATTATTCTCCAAATGTAGCATGATCCAGAGATATTGGTAGGGTCAGTAATAGCACTGCACAATAATCAGTGGAATAGCAAATGCATTGTAGAAGTGTATGAACAACTTCAAGAGATTATTGAAGCTTTATAAGAAAAAAATAAAAGCATATCTTCAAATGATGCTTTTTATAAAAAGTCTCTCAAATGGTCTAGAGAAGAAAGGGATTTATAGGTTTTATCCTTAAAAATGATTATAATCCAAACTCCCAAAATGTATGTTATGTTCAAATTTTCTGCTAATTAGTGAAGCAAAGGAAATTACTTAATTCTTTACTTCAAATTTTATTTTTAACATTTTTAATGGATATATAATAGCTGTACATATTTTGGGGCTACATGTAATATTTTGATACCTGTGTACAGTGTGTATTGGTCAAATCAGGATAAATGTTTAACATGATGGATATCCCAATTATCCTTCTCCTGGACGCTTCAAGTCTTCATTATACTCCAGAGTTCCAAAATAGTTATAGTAGACAGATTCTGCTAGAGCAATTATTGTCTAAGCAGGGAGATAGATTTCTGGTGCTTCCTACTTCATCATTTTCCCAGAATTGTCTTTTGCTTGGATTTTAATGTTATTTCTCAAGCACTAACAAAGTTTTCTGAAAAGAGTGTTCTAGTCACATGGCCTTAATCTATTATGTCTAACAAAGATGTAATCCCTGGGTTAGCTCTGAAGCTCGACAACAGTTCCCTTCTTTTATAGCAATCACTTATGGTCATTATAAACCATAATAATATCATACTGGAATCATCTCTATATCCACAGTGTTTGGTCCATAGAAGACACTGTTTATTGAATAAATTTTTTCATACTAGGGTCTCTGCACAGTTCCTACTAGCAGTTTGCCCTGGCCCCTTTTGCGGTGTTATCAGGTGAACATTGATAATCACTGATTCCATCTCCCAACTGAAAGACAAAAAACAGAACATCTGATATCTGAAAGTTTCACTGACATGTATTCTATTAGCACCACCAATTCTCATTCCCACATGCACCTTTGATTTGGTAAGTATGGACTGTGGTACCATCTCTGATGAGATGTAACATTTATAATCAATAAAATCAACTGTTACCTCCAGCTATTACCCAATCCTTCCTTCACTCCAGTCTTGGTTCATCCTTCTTCCCCACCAACAGGTCCTACTATGCCATGTTGCTAAGACCTTTTCATTTATCTCTTCGACAAACTAGTTTTAAGTGCCCATACTTTTTAACATTTAGTAAATATATATATATATATATATATATATATATAGTTTATTGACTGACTACTGACTGAATAAATATATGATGTGTCTCATACTGTGGGTGAACAACTTTTTAATTTAACTTTTTAATTATTGATGTTATGGCCCCTTCTCTTAACTAATTATTTTAACTGAGCACCTATTCAGAATAGGTCCTATAATAGAAGCTAGGGATACTAATGTAAAGAAAACATTATCCCTAATCTTAGGAATATTTCACTTGAAGGATAGATATGCACAAATAGTTATTTTTCAATGCAGTAGGTATAAACAAAACGTTTTTACAGAATGTTAAGGGAGAACAAAGAAGTAGTACCTAACCAAACCTGAGGAAAGAGAAACAAACAAACAACAAAGGCTTCATGAAGTTGGTGATTCATGAGCTGAGTCACAGAATGAGAAGAGCTAACCATGTGACAGTAAACAGGGAGAAAGCAGCCAACCAAAGGCATTCTAGGCACAGGAGATAACTGAACTAAAAAGAGAGAGGCCATAAAGAATGTGATGAATTGGCGGAGCTGCAAATAATTTGAATTTGCCAAGATATAAAGCGCAAGGCAAGAAGTAGTGAATGTTATGCCAGAGAGATAGGCAGGGACTCTGTGAAACTGAAGAGAAGGCATTGGGCTTTATCCTTTAGATTAGTCTCTGATCACATTCAAAACTCTTTTAAAGACACATTCATTAATTTTTCCATGTCTGTAAATGGATTATAACTTTTATTTTTTCTCATCTTCAGTAATAAGATCTGTGAAATCGTTAATGTGCTAATTGATGGTTTGTTTTAACGCATATTAAAATAAATTTTAAAAACTATTAAATTAAAATATTCTTTTTTGAACTACTTAAAGTGATACTGCACACCACTCTGTATGGTTCGACAATATTCATTTGGAAAGTGAAGAACCAATGAAGAGCTTTGTGTAATGGAGTGACATCATTAGATTTGAATTACAGAGAACAATCCAGCTCTAGTGCAAAAAATGGGTTGAGGAAGATGAGGCTGATATTAAGGAAACCATCCAGGGAACTCTTACAGGTACCCAGACAGGATATTATAAGGACCTGAATTAGGACACTGTGGATAGGTGTTATTTCAAATACTTGCCACAGAGTTTGGGCACTAGGGATTCAACAGTTAACATGGAATGTCCTTACCTCCATAAATCTTACATTCTAGTGGGAGGGACAGAAAATAAGCAAGAAAACAAATATAAGTAACCTCAGGTAAATAAAATAGGAAGATGATACATTAGATAGGAATGACTGGAGGAGGTAGGAGGCAGTGAGTAGTAGGTGGGGTGAGGGCTAAGAGGATGATTACTTTAAATTAGGGATCAGAATAGGCCTCTCTGAGGAGGTGATATTTGAGCTGAGCTCTCATAATGAGAAAAGGAAAAGTCTGAGTAAGAAAGAGCAAAGCATTTCAATTTTAGAAAAGGAGATAAAATCCGATGGGCTGAGATACTGACTAGGTAAGAGAGAAGGAAGAGTCAAGGATTGCCTAATTTCAAAGTTATGTCTTGGAACCCCACTGATCAACCTAACTGGGGCCTTTTGTGAGTTTCACACAGTCTCACCTCACTTTCACTCCAGTCTCTGTTAATCAAGGGACTCTGTTTGTTAAATTTTTTAATATTGTTGCTATCTTTTTTGAAAAATGTACTATTCATCATTCTTTGGTTTAATGCCAAAAATTCTCACCTGAAATGTCTCCATATTTTTATTTCAAATGGAACAATGGCTCAGTCAGTTATCAAGTACCCCGGTATCACTCATGTAAAATATGCTTTTAAAAATAATGAGCAAGTCGGCCGGGTGCAGTGGCTCACGCCTGTAATCCCAGCACTTTGGAAGGTGGAGGCGGGCAGATCACGAGGTCAGGAGATCGAGACCATCCTGGCTAACAAGGTGAAACCCTGTCTCTACTAAAAAATACAAAAAATTAGCCGGGCGTGGTGGCGGGCGCCTGTGGTCCCAGCTACTCTGGAGGCTGAGGCAGGAGAATGGCGTGAACCCGGGACGCGGAGCTTGCAGTGAGCCGAGATTGCGCTACTGCACTCCAGCCTGAGCAACAGAGTGAGACTCCGTCTCAAATAAGAATAATAAGCAAGTCTTTTGAATTGGTGAATTTACATGAAAACGTGTGACCAAAAAAAAAAAAAATCTGCTTATTTCATCCCAAATAAATTAATAAGAATTCTGAGGGTCTGTTTAATGCAATTTTATGCTAAACATATTCAATATTTTGTTAGAGTGATGGCTTCCTTTAGCAGTGTTGGAGACTGCATACAAGAAGCATTTAATTATAAATGCCATAATTTGCTCAATTGATGCTTGTCTTTTATGTGTAAACCATAGATAATTTTCTCTAAATAAATGTAACCATGAAAATAATATTTAAAACAGGAAAATAAAAAAATGTATTTGCTTGATATAAAACGAAAACTGCATAGTCAAAACTAACTGCCTTAGTGACAAATAAGCAGCTCTTAACTTCAAATTGCAAAGGTATCATCTGTTCATTTAGGAGCCATTTCCCAGATAAGAATTAGAGAATGTATTTTTATAAAAAATATCCGGATTTTGTTTTCAAGGGGAAGCTGATTTTAAAGTAATACTAGAATTGTGCTGTGTGTATTTGTAATGATTTTCAGCAAGCCGTTACACAATACAACCAATGACACCTGATTTTATGCACAATGAATTAATAAGGAGTATAAATTTCATTTTGCTTTCCATGTTAGATTTTATTCCAGAGACAGAACTTATTGTCTCAAATGGCGTTCCCTAATAAAAAGATAACAGAAGTGGAGAATATTTGGAAATGTAAACCCTCCTTTCTTTTTATCATCAGTGAGTCCATGCCCTTGACTGTCATATTGTTGCAGTTTGTGCTTCCAAATTTTTCTACTACTTGTGTCAGCTATAGCATAAAACAGGAAAGTGATTGTTTTTTAATTTAGAATAAAAAAGGAAATTATGCTTTCCTATTACATTTCTTTATATCACTACCAGCATGTGTATGTGTTGGAGTTGGGGGTCATTTTATGCCCATTACCTTTGTCTCCAACTTTTCAAAGTTCTGAGTCAGGCAGTGAATACCCACTGGGGACAAAAATTACAAGGGGTGAACTCTGTGTTGTGGCCCTCATAGAAGAGGCCAAGGTGACATAGGCATAACAGCCAAACCACTTGCATGCCTTAAACATTGATGGAACTGAGAACTTAGCCGGTCTGATTTTCACTCAACCAAGATTCCCACTTCCATTTACAATAAAGTGAACAAGATCTATCCAGGTATAAGCAACTGCTTAACAACTTAGGGCTTCCTGTCCCCTTTTTCAAGGGGACTCATATTTCTGCTCTGAATTCTAGTAGTGTTCAGAAAAACACAGTTACTTTTAATATGACAGATACTGAGATCGCTGTCTATAGAGTTTGTGCATCAGTTGCCTTAAAATATACATCTCCCAGTTCTTAAATGAAAGAATGATATAGATGGCTTTCAAAAACGAGTTGAGTTCTCTTGATAGTCCTGTATCTATTTTTTCAAGTTGATTGAGCTATATACTGTGTTAAGAAGTTTGGAATATAGCACTAGCAAGGTAAGAGCTCCAACTGCAGAGTAAAATTTGGGTTTGAGTCCCACTTATGCTGATTACTTTGGTTAGATTACTTATATCCCTCAAACATTATAACCTACCTTTGCAACCTTATTTTTCACCATTCTCCCTTCATGTCTTCTTTCAGCAATCATACATACAAAACAACTCAGTTTTCTTGTGCCGTCTGTACTTTCCGAGCTCCATATCTTTGCTTGTGCATGCTTCCTGTGCTTGGAATGCACCTCACTCATTTCTGCATATCTAAGTCCTACCTGTCCTCCAAGGCTCCATCTTTTTCTGGAAAGATTTTATTTTGTCTTCCTCTGAAGCTCACAAAACTTCTTTAAAAACACATGTTATAATATGTCTGGTTGTATGTTTTATAACTATAAGCTGTTCAAGATAATGGACCTTGTTTGATTAATTTTTGTCACTCTAGTGCCTCAGTGTGATACATGTTTGTTGGAAGATTGAATAAATGAATGAATGAATGAATGAATGTACAGCCAAATAATCTTTATTTTCTTATTGGCAAACTGGGGGAAATAGTACCTGCCTCACAGATTATCCTATTATATTTAATTACACCTTGGAAATGTATATATTTTATAAACAATAACAGGCTCCAAAAATGTAAGATATTTTAATTCTATTTTATAAGAGGAACTAAATTAGTACTGACATATCTGTAGCAAGAGAGAGAGAGAGAGAGTCAGGAGAGAAAAAAAATTAGGCATAAAATTATTTCCCTGTGTTGTGAGTCAGGCTTCAGCAAGGATTCCTTTGATCATGACTCTGGAAAGGTGCATTGTATGGAAAATTCATTGCTTGAGCAATTGAAAGCAGCTCTTTCATCTCTGAATTGTTCCTGTCAAACTAGTCTGGATGGTGAGTTGACCCTTGTCCTTTATAGTGATGCACATGTCTGAATGTCACTGATTTGGAGATGGAGTTCTCTCTTTTAAATTTGCAGCAAGGAAGCCACAGAACTCCTTGGAGTTGCAATCAAGGTGCCTATTTGTTCCAAATACTCTTATGATACTTAAAGTTCAAGTGAAGTTTTCAGTGAATCCATAATCATATTCATAACAAAGGCAGACTGGGAGGAGAGTTTAACAGTAAACCAGGCAATTCACCAAACGTTTTGACAGGGACTATTGCTCAGCTACCTAGCAAACATCAAGAACACAGCACCTCGCTTAGTGTCTGGCATGCAGTAGTTGTGCAGTAAATATTTAGAATGAATGGAGATAAAAGTTAGGACTCATATGGTTTTAGGGATTCCATTCAGAGTAAGAAAAAATAAGCAAAATATTAAAATTACCAGAGATTAATGGGTTTCTATTAACCCTTAAACCCGTGACTGTAGACTTGGTAGTGGTATGGAAAATAAATTAAATAACCCACTGTGTGATAAATGATGAGATGTAAGGACACCCTCCGAAATGTTATACTCTTTACTCTGCCCATGCCATTTGATTACTTTCCAGGCCAAGAAACCAATACAGCATAGCCGGTAAGAGCACAACCTCTAGAGTCAGACAAACCAGGGCATGGAAATGGGCAGTTTTACTAACCAGTTGTGTAATTAGACAAGTTATTTAACCTTTCTAGTGTTGCTCATTATCTGTAAAATGGAAATTTTTATAAGCCTTAAATAAGATAATGGATAAAAAACACTTATCACAATGCTTGGTCCGTAATAAAGATCCAATAAATGTTAGCCATCATTTTCTGCATATCAGAGACCCTTACAAAGCAGATGCTCTACCCATTCCTCTTATATAGCTCACTTAAACCATGTAAGCCTCAGTCTCCTTGTCTGGAAAATGACAGTAATAAAACCTATGTCACTGGAATGTTTTGGTAATTAGATGAAATGATACATATAAAACACTATAGAATTATATGAAAAACTTTTAATATTTCATATAAGGTAAGGCATTAAGAGAAAGATGGAAGATTTCTTGGAAAAGCAGAAGACTGAAAGCATTTTTCTAGTTCACTCCTTTCTGTATTACCTTGGAAATGACCAACAGATATAAAAGTAAGGAAGAAAAATATCTGTATTAGTATGGGAAGTTAATAATGGGTGACATCTACATGCTGATTATTTCAAGAGTTCTTGCAAGATAGAAGGCAAAGTGAAGTGGATTGAAGACTGAACTGGACTGAAGATATATAATTCCCCGTATGTGAAGAACTCTCCATGGTAGTAACTGGAGAAGACTTTAGAAGGTTAAAGCACGAAGTAAAGAAATACATGGGGGCAGTGAGGAGGTACCATTGGATCCTGCCAGTCCCACTGGAAAGCAAGGATCATGACTTGCTTACTCTTCACTTACACTGAGGGGAACATTGTCACAGTTGGTTCTTAATGAGGACAACTGTGAGAAGCGAAGAATGAGGACACTGCCCCAGTTAACTCCTAGCAGCTCACCTCAAATATAGAAAAGAAACACTGGAATAGAGAAAAAAGTCCCTTTTGTGACTGCTGTTAGTTCTGATCCTCTCCTAACTCGTGATCAGTAGAGCAGTGGTTCTCATCTCTTAATGTGCATCAGAATCACATGGAGGATCTGCTAAAACAGAGATTGCTGGGCCCACCCCAAGATGTTCTAGAGCAGGGCCTAAGAATGTGCATTAATGGTAAGAATCAAGTGGAGAGTTTGTAAAAATATAGATTGCTGGGCCCATCCCCAGGTATTCTGAAGTGAGGCCTAAGAATATGCATTTCTAGTGAGAATCAAGTGGACAGTTTGTAAAAGTATAGGTTTCTGGGGCCCACCCCCAGATATTCTAGAGCAAGGCCTAAGAATTTTCATTTCTAATAAGTGTTCAGGAGATGCTAATGCTGCTGTTCTGGGGTCCACACTATGAGAACCACTGCTATAGACCTGTACTGTCCTTTACAGTAGCCACTACTACATGTGACTATTTAAAGTAAAATTTAAGTTAATAAAATTAAATGAATTTAAAATTAAATTATTGATTTGGACCAGCTACATGTCAAGTGCACAGTAATCATGTGTGGTTAGTGGTTACCATATTGGCCAGCACAGATATAGAACATTTCCCTCATCATAGAAAATTCTACTGAACAGCCCTACACTAGGCCAATGAAGTAAAACTGCGGTGAACATGGCCACCACCAGCCACAATTGCAGGAGGCACATTTGTACTATGTGAATGAAGGACCCTAGAGTTGTGCAATATGGCAGAACTGGCAGTTAACCTAAGCTTTTCCTTTCTTCTCTCTTTTGAATCCTAAAGGTGAAAAGGAGAATTTCCTAAGTCCCTGACAGAACTCATCCCAGGTCCCCAAAAGAGACAAGCTAAGACCACCCTTTGCAACAGTGAGCAAATAGAGAAAGAGCTGGAGACATTAAATGATACCTCAAAAGAGAAGGCTCGTTTTGAGGAATGAAAACAGTGGCATCCTTTGACGTAAAATTTTTCTTAAGAAAAGAGCATTTTCCAAAATGCTAACGTCAAATGGATCTCAATGATATTCAGTAGACTAACGCTGCATGAAACCAGACTAAGCAGTCATGAAGGGTTAAAACTGTAAGATCATAAACGCTTCATGTGGTTGAATAATATTCATATCAAATTCAAAACTGTAAAGAAGGCAAAAAATACACTGGATCATGAGAAACCCAAGTCAGTAAAGTAGAATATTAAGACATTTAATAGACAGAAGAAATGTATAAATAAAAATTACAAGAGAAAAGATAAAACACAGGGGAAAGATCCATGAGATCCAATATGCATATGATAGGAATTTTAGAACGAAAAGTGTAGCAGTGAAGTAAAGCATCAATAAAAGAAAACTCTCATTGTTTGTTTATGAGCTAAAGAATGCCTAGAATAATAAATTACAGATTTACTGAATTTAGCAAAATTTCTGAAATAAATAATTTTAGAAGGGAATTTTAAATTTTTATAATTTCAAGGATAAGGAAAAAGTCATATAAGAATCTAGATAGATATTAAGGTAATAAAACAGATTACTTACAGAAGACAATGGGGAATTGTATATAGAATTTTTAGGGCAATGGATTTGAACTTGAGATTCAAGAATTGTATGCCCAGCCAAGGTGTGCAAGACCATAGTAAGTCATTTTCAGATATGTAATTGTATTAGTCCATTCTCACACTGATATAAAGATACTACCCAAGACTGGGTAACTTATAAAGAAAAGAGGTTTAGTTGACTCACGTTTCACGTGACTAGGGAGGCCTCAGGAAACTTAATCACCATAACAGAAGGGGAAGCAAGCATGTCTTTCATGGCGGCAGGCAAGAGAGAGTGAGTGTGTGTGTAGGAGGAACTGTCAAGCACTTATAAAACCGTCATATCTCATGAGAACTCACTCACTGTCATGAGAACAGCATGGGGGAAACCACCCCCATGATCCAATCAAGTGGGGATTACAATTCGAGATAAGATTTGGGTAGGGACACAGAGCCAAACCATATCAGTAATTTAGAAAACAACCTATCTCTTTGAAGTAATTGCTCAAAGATATACTTCAGTTGATCAAGTGATAAATAAATTCTCAAGAATGGGCAAGGGAAATAGTAGCATAAAGGATTCTAGAATGTAAAATAAAGCTTGTAAGACATAAAATGTTTTCAACTAATTGTTCTCAATATTGTTGTAACACTATAAATCTAAAAGAAATTGAAAAGAGAAGGTATAAAATATACAGTAATATAGTATCAGCACTTTACAACCCAGACTATTTTAATATAAATTGGAAAACGGGGCGTGGGCATGAGTGGGGAGTCAGGGGAACAGAGATAACAAGTCTGCTAATTCCCTCATTTTAGAACTGCAAATGATTTAACAGTAAGGAGCATGGGTACCTTGTTCATGTGCTTCTCCACTACTTAGTAACCCTGTAACCCTGATTGGTTACTTAACATCTAAGCATTCAACTCCTCACCTACGAAATGGGAATACCATAATACCCCAGAGTATTATGGGGTATTATGTGAGGGAACATTGTGTGGGAATGAAATCAGATAATGCATCTGAAGTACTTAACACCTATAAGCACTCAGTAATATTAGCTATTAACTTATAAAGAGAGAAACAAAAATTTACTGATGAAAACAGAGAAAACAGGTCCGAAGATGATTTCGGTAACATAAAAGTAATGACTAACAAAAACTCACACACACACACACATTCCCCTAGTCACTATAAAAGACCAAATGTACTTTATAAAAAGAGAGAAACAAAATCAAATGTATCAGTTATTTGAATATTTCAAGGATTGATATGATACAAATAAACATGTCTCAATTTTTTAGACAATAAATTTTTAGACAAATAAAATAAACATGTCTCAATTTTTTAGGTGAGATTTAAATTTTTTTTAATTACATAAACAGAGTGATCTTATTTTCATTGGGGGAAAATAATGTCCATAAAAAACAAAAGAAAAAATATAAAAATGTTAATAGTAACTTTTGTTAGGTGTTGGAATTATGAGTGTCTTTCTTCTCTCTTTACTTTTACTAATAACTAGAATGAACAGATATTATTTTATAAACAGAATAAAAGGTTATTTTATTTTAAAGTCACTTATTGTTAATCACTGTTAACATTTAGCTATGTTGATATCACTCTTGAATTTTTCTTCACATGCAAATATCTATATATTTATTTCACCCCATCAGTCAAAGAATGTTTATTGATTATCCACTATGTTCCAGCCTTTGTTCTAATTTCTGGATATAGCAATGAAATGATAGGGACAAAAATGTCTCTCCTCCTAAGATAGCATAAGTAAGTAAAATATATATTTTTTTATATTTATAGGTGTCGTGGAGAAACTATAAAGCAGGGAAGGGAATAAGAATTAGTGGTTGCCATTTAAAATGGTGTGATCCATGGAGGCCTTATTGAAAAAATTATGAAGTAAGGTTTCGTTAGGAATAGATATTTGAAGAAGGTGTTGGAGGAGGGGCTACTTCCTAAGGGAAGAAAATCCCAGGCAGAAAAAACAAGTACAAAGGTCATGACCCAGAAGAATGCCTAATGCATTGGAGTAACAGCAAGAGGCAATATAGCTGGATGTCAGTTAAGGGAAAAGGAGTGTAGTAGGAGCTTATGTTATTTAAGAGAATTGGGGCAGAGTATCCACAGGTCTGAGATCACGTATGGCCTCACAGGTTATTGTAAGGATCCTGGCTTTTACTCAGAGTGGATCAAGGTGCCATTGAAGAGTTTTGAGCAGAGGAGTGACATGATTTGCCTTAGTTTTACTAAGATAACTCTGACTTCTATGTTGAGAATTGCCTGTGAGGTGCAAAAATGAAAGCTAGGAGATGGTTAGGAGGCTGCTACAATAATCCAGGGAGAAAAGGACAAGTGAGGCATAGGCAGGTTGCAGTTATATTTTAAAGGTAGAGCCACCAGGATTCGCTGTGTGATTGGCTGTGGGGTGTGAGAGAAAAGGAGGCATAAGGATAACTAAGACAGTAGGATATACAAGTCTGGAGTGTGGGGGAGAAGTCAGGTTGAAAACAGAAACTTGGGTGTTGCAGTTGTTTCAGTAATATGTTAAACCCTGGGGCCAGCAAAGGAATTAATGTAAACAGAAAATGTAAACAGGAAAGAGGTCCCAGTATGCCAAGCCCTGGAGCACTTGAATGCTTCCACATTTGGAAACAGAAGGAATGAGCAGAGAATGAGAAGGAACAGCCTAGGAGGTAGGATGAAAACCAGAAGAGTGTGGTACCTTGGGAGTTAATGAAAGTGTTTCATCCAAGAGGTGATAATCTGTATCAATTGTATAGCTGGTAGGTCAAGTAAGATGAGAGTTATGAATGTTCATTTCAGGAAGGTAGAGATTTTGCTGATATTGTTAAGGGCTATTCGGTGGAGGTAGGTGGAATAAAAGCCTATTTGGAGTAGATTTAAGAGACTAGCATTTAAGAGACTTTTCTTTTGCAGAGCTAGAACACCACTTTCCATATTTTCTTACTTTAGGTTAATATTTCTCTTCCTGTGTTAAAGAGGTAGAAATTGTCATTTGATTGCATTTAGTTTTTTCCTATGCATGGAAAATTACATGAGGCCCCAACCTGAAAATTTCTGTGAGATAGTTGCTAAATGAATATGTCATTTACCAACACCTCAGCTAAAGTGGATCTTTCCAGCTTCTGTGATCATGAAAAACCCAAGCAAATCTATGAGCCTTTTGTTTAGGCTCTCTGGCTGCTATCTTTACAATGTCTTCTTTAATTGGTTGAAGGGTCATGTGAAAGATAACCATAAATGATCGATTTTCTAAGCCATTTTACATACATTTAAAGCATATTTTTTTCTTCTCTCTGAATCAGATGGAAACACTCGCAGAGTTGAACATCATTGTTGCCATGGCTATAGCACCAAAGCCTTATAGAGGATTTTTGTTTTACATTGGATATCTCTTACCATAGCAACAGCAAAGTTGATTTAAAACATACTCCCTAGATATAATTTATCTTTAACGTTTCTGTATATTTTCTATGGTGTATCTTGTTAATAGTATTACACTTTTGATAACTCTCCTGCTCTTTTGAAATGAAGTATCTCTTGAGATACGTATGAGAAAAATCTAGGCTGTTCATTGCTTACAGGAATAGAAAACTCACAGGATACATTTGAATGCACTGCATTCTCAGAGCTTTTACTGAGGACATTTGGGTGACTTTGAATTCAAATTCAAGGTATAACTTTTGAAAATTGAATCGGAGTGGTTATTCATTTTAGAGTAATTAAAAATAGTTTCTGTCCCTTTTATATTACAAAATCACTTTCTTTTTTATTTAAAGATCGTAGATCTTTTTTTGTTTTATTTCTTCAGAATAGTTCTTTTTTCACATTCATAATCCATTGGGATAGTATATAAATGGGAAGTTATTAAAATAAGTTAAACCAAAGGACCAACACTCTTGAAAACAACCGACTTGAGTTAAAGAGGCTATTTCCTCTCTTCCCCCAATACAGTCTCTTCTGATGAGGAAAATACATGGTTACAGTGACTGTGGTATTACAAAGAAATACATTTTGGTAAGAGAGAAACAAAACCTCTTGGTTCTGATGTAGTTATTCACTAGACGCCATTTATTCATCTGGCTCTAGGCTATGGGAAATACTCCTAGCACAGAACTCTCTTTGAAATCCTTAACTCCCTAGGGAGGCAGAGATAGCTGAGAAACTGCCCCTGTGAACTTGGCTTATACATGGGAAACAAAGAAGTTAGTGGTTGAGGGTAACAGAGGAAAGACGTGTGGGAAGGGTGAATGTCGCTGGCTTCCTTTGCTTGCAACAGGAGCTTCTTTCAATGCAAAGCGCATGCCAAGACAGATCAGGCACTCTACCAAAAAGATACAATAATTTAGTAA
Organism: Homo sapiens; assembly: GCF_000001405.40. Classification (NCBI taxonomy): domain Eukaryota; kingdom Metazoa; phylum Chordata; class Mammalia; order Primates; family Hominidae; genus Homo; species Homo sapiens. The sequence goes on along the minus strand of NC_000012.12, from coordinate 99,259,656 downwards.
TACAGTCTGCCCAGGCAGCTTAGCAGCTGGAAATGAGGGAGCCTTGGGATTTGCTATAAACGGTGGGGAAATTGGCTGATAGCCTCTCTCCTGTATTGAGCAAAGGGAACAAGAGAAAAGATTATAAATGTTTGAAATCAGAGTCAAACAGCATGGTCTGCTGTCCAAGAGCTGTCAGAATGTCAGCATTCTCTGGCTTCCGCAGTAAATGCTGAGTTTGGCAGAGTGTAGGGCTAATAGACCAGGAAACAACAGAGCTTACCTGGGTGGCTTTTCAGAAAGGCAGCTGCCGGTCTTAAGTTGCTTAGAAGAGGGAATTTTATTACATGCTCTATCTAACACCATTCAGCATCTAAACATACCAGCAATCTTTGGGCTAATTGTGCAATCAGAATAAATACCCAAAGATCACTACTGATACCTGGAAAGAGGCCCACTGGGTGGTTTTCAAGCTCCAGTGCTACTTGGATAGGACACTCCAGTGGATGGTGCATTGTACTGATGCCATAGGAGGTTCTAGGGTAATCCGACACAAAGCGTCGTGATGTATCGGAAAAAAGCCGGCTTTGCATTAGCCAGATTTATATCTCATACGGGCTCCTCTGTTCACTAGCTATCTAATTCTTCATCAGTGCAAATGCCATAATACCTACTTCAGAGACTTTTGTGAGGATTAAATGAGATAGAATGACCTTGGACATAGAAGGCACACAATATCTATTGGTGGTTCCCCTTACCTAGTATGGAATCTTGGTCTTTGTAATTTTTGAAATAAATTCCTTTCCAGAAAATTGGAGTTTGCTTAAATTAATTTCTTGTATGTTTGGAAACTATAATTGATTTTTTTACATTGGGGAATTAAGGGAATGTCAGTTCTACATAGTTTCCTCTGTGGCTCATTGTTACTTGTTTGACTCACACTTCTATCTCAATGTGAAGGTGACCTGGAAAGTGAACTGGAAAATATTTTCTCAATATTTGGAAAAAAATGAATGTACTAGCTCATCACATAAGTTTACATTATAAGTAAAAAAAAAAAAAAAAAACAAGTGGATAATATTTCTCCCTAATATTTCTAAAACCCAGCACTCCTTTAAAAGCTTGTTGAGACAAGTTGACAGTATATATTATTAAAGTTTAGCTCCTTGCTATCTTTAGTCAAATCAAGTTGATCCAGGATTTATGTACAAAACACACTCTATGATTATTTTGCATGCTTTTTTTTTTAAATGAAGATCATAGACTACTTGGAATTCTTTCAAAATACCAAACCTCCCTTAGTTTCTTTTGTGTTCTTTATAAATATACTTTTTAGGGGGATCTTATTTTAAAAGGATTTGCTTTATTTGAGGCCATAATTAATTAAAATAAGCTTGTTCTTCGTTTATACAATTCTCAGGATAATTTATTGATTATATATTACATCATACATTACAAGACAAAAACATGCAGAGCAAGGCAATTTATTATTAACCCTACCTATGTAGTAGGGTACAAATCATTTAAAGAGTCACGTTAAAAACTTTTGATTCCTAATAAACTGTGGTTTTTTTGAAGTGAAATTGTCACAAATGTACATTTTTAAATAAAAATATTATGCTTCAAAGTATTATGTCAGTCTAGGTACTCTGAGAGATCTTTCTGCAGCAGAACAAATATATTCTGAATAAGACATGTTCTTGAGACATTGCCTGCTCCAGTCACTCTTGCTCTCTAAAAACATCTGATAGAAGAGAGGAGGGCTGTTGTTGTTCTGAGTGCAGATGGGAATAATAGTGTTGCTATTTGGGACACTGTTCCCTGGCTCAGCTGGAAGGCTGGAAGGCTGAGTCAACACAGCTCAGGGAAGCACAAGGTTTTCTCTCTGCAGAAAACCTTCCCTGATGAGATTGACAAGCTTCCATAGATTAAAATCAAGTAATAAAGTTAATAATAAATTATTTCTAAATACCTTGAAAAGCAAACCACTATAAGTAGATATCAACAAAAATAACACAGACATATTTAGCGCTCAATGACTATAGATATTATTACTGGAAATAGGAAACAAGAAATAGAACCACTATATATAAACAAAATATTTAAATAAATAATATGCCTTATCATTAAAATGAGTAAAAAATGGTGACTATAATAGTAGGAAAATTTGAAAAATAAATGGCATTTTCAGATATGAAAAATTTAATACTTGAGATTACTTTTAAAATCCTAAATGAATAGGCTAAATAGCAGATTATGCACAGAAGAAGAGAAAATTGATGAACTGAAGGATACATTTGAAAAAAATTCCCCAAAATGTATCACAGAGGGGCAAAGAGGCAGAAAATTTGGAAGGTATGAAGAGATATGAAGTATGGAATCAGAAGATTAACTTTGAATCAGAGACTCGGGATGAAATAATTTTTTTTTTTTTGAGACGGAGTCTCGCTGTGTTGCCCCGGCTGGAGTGCAGTGGCACCATCTCGGCTCACTGCAAGCTCCGCCTCCCGGGTTCACGCCATTCTCCTGCCTCAGCCTCCGGAGTAGCTGGGACTACAGGCGCCCGCCACAATGCCAGGCTAATTTTTTGTATTTTTAGTAGAGACCGGGTTTCACAGTGTTAGCCAGGATGGTCTCGATCTCCTGACCTCGTGATCCACCCGTCTCAGCCTCCCAAAGTGCTGGGATTACGGCATGAGCCACTGCACCCGGCCGGGATGAAATAATTTTTTTAAAAAATGTAGGAGAGGACATTTTTTGATGGATAATGGCTGATTTTTTTCCAAACTGATAAAAATATGGATTCACAGGTCCAGAAAGCACACTGTATTCCAAGCAGGATAAATAAACAGAAATCCATAGTGAGACACATTATTGTGAAATTGAAAAATACAGAGATTTTCAAACCAGGTGGAGAGAAAGGATGGATCACCCACAAGAAAGACAGGTATCATTATAGCAGAATTAACAAGGAAAGATGAAAGCCACAAAAAAGTGGAATAATTTCTTCAAACTGTGAGAGAAAATAACTATCAACCTAAAATTATGAATTTTAAATAAATGAGAGTAAAATAGAAAGATATTCACAGTTGAAAACTAGAGCATTGACCACCAGAGACCTGTATAAAAGGAAATTCTAAAGAATAACTTTAAGAAGGAAAATGATCTCAGGCCATTCTGAGGAACGAATTGTGAGTAAATAAAATGGCAAACATGTAAACCAATTGAAATTTAAAAATGGTCTGAATAAAATAATAACACCTGATTTGTAAAGCTAACAAAATAATTAAAACACTGACAACAATATTTATTATAGAAGAAGTAATTGAATGTAAAATGCTCTAAAGTTTTTAAATTGTTTAGGAAGGAAGTGGATAAGGTATTATTTAACTTTAGACTTTTTTCTTTTTTTTTTCTTTTTTTTTTTTGAGATGGAGTTTCACTCCGTCACCCAGGCTGGAGTGCAGTGACACGAACTCGGCACACTGCAACCTCCAACTCCCTGGTTCAAGCGATTCTCCTGCTTCAACCTCTCGAGTAGCTAGGATTATAGGCACGCACCACCACAGCCAGTTGATTTTTGTATTTTTAGTATAGACAGGGTTTCACCATGTTGGCCAGATATAATATACATATATTTCATAGGAAAAAACATAAGTCTGCTAAAATTAGGTTTCAACACACCTCACTCAATGGAAGAGTTTAAGAGTTCCATTAATAAATTTAATCTGACATAATGCAAAGAGCTTTGTATTCAACAATTGGAGAATACATGTAATTCTCATGAAACAGTCACAAAAAGTGATCTTGACTATAAGCAAGTTTCAACATGTCAAAGACTCATATTCATACACACTATATTTTCTAAAAATAATTCAATTAAGTTAAATTAAGATTCCCATATATATCCCCATATATTTATGAATTTAAATACACGTTTCTAAATAAGTCATGAGAAATGAGTTAAAGGAGATGCCATAATACTAACTTAAAAACCTTTAAAGTTAAACAAAAATATAAATGCTAAATATCAAATGTGATGAATGCAGCATAAAGTGGAACTTAGAAATTTTAAATGCATATATTAGAAAAGAAGAAACGCTGAAGACTAATGAGGTAAATGCCAGCTTAAGAAATTTTATAAGAAATAATAGAATAAATCCAGAAAAGGCATAGAAAGAAAATAGTAAAGGACAGAAATGAATGAAATAGAAAACAAATATGTAATATTAATTCACAAAGCCAGAAATGGAATCATTGGTGACACTAAAAAAATGGATGCACTTTCCAGTCAAAATGATCAAGATAAAAAGGCACAAATAAACCTATTAGGAAAGAAAAGGGGGTAAATCTACAGATACAAAAAACCATTCAAAGTTAAGAAAGAAGAATGAATAATTTTGTACCAGTGAATTTTAATACTGAGAAAAATTAGACAAATTCTAGATAATTAAAACTTTAAAAAACTTCAAAAAGGTATAGAGACTCCAGATAGTTCTATACTAAATAAATTTAATGAATAATTTGAAATCTTTCCACAAAGAATATGTTGAGTCTAGATGATTTTAAAGGTAAAGTAAATATAAAGGCTTTCAAGAAACATATCGTTCCAATCTTATATAAACTCTTCTAGGGAAATGGAAATTTTCCCCAACTATTTCTGTGAGGTGAGTAATCATGTAAAAACTAGACAGAATAAAAAAGGTAAAACCAAAGGCCTATTTCTTTCATGAACATAGATGGAAAGATCCCAAAGTACTAACAAACCAAATCTAGCAGGATGCCAAAAAGAAAGTTCATTATGACCACACTGAGTTTATCCTGTTGGTATCCCATTAATATCTAATGTTTAACATTAGAGAATGTACAAATGTCATTCACACTAACAGAGTAAAGGAGAAAAATTACATAACTGAACAGATGCAGAAAAACATTCTTTATAAACTCAATATCTAGTCACAATTAAAATTCTCAGCAACCTTAGAAGATAAGACATTTAACTTAATAAAGGGCATCTACCCAAAACTTAGAGCAAACATTATTTTTAAGATGAGATTACTGTTCTCAGTTCTTTACTCTCTCTTCTGCCATGGTACATTGCAGTGCAGTAGCATAGGTGGCCATTTACATCCTCACTCCATTTACTTTAGGTTTAGACATATGACTTTCTTCTGTCAAGAAGTAATAGCGTGCCAGTTCCTACAGCTGAGATAGAAAGAGGCATCACATATTTCCACTGTGAAAAGACACATCATGTAGCCTCTGAACAACTCTACTGTACACTCATGAGATAATGAAAGTGAAATGGGCAAATAATGTCTTAGTGTTAGTCTGAAAATTGTTTTGACTTCATGAAACTTCTGAAATAATCTTGGAGACCCCAAGCATCCCTGGACTACACTTTGATAACTACTAATTTAGTGTATATGTTCTACAGGCAAGTACATTCTTACACAACCACAGAACCACCGTGCAACCAAATCAGAAAGTTAATACATCACTAGCATCTATTCCTCAGACCTCCTTCAAGATGTGCTGGTTTACCCAATAATATTGTTTATGATCAAAGGATCTAGTTCAGGATCACACGTTGCATTTAGTTGTAATGTCTCCTTAGTTTTCTTCAGCCTGGAAGGGTTCATTTGACTTTCTTTGACTTTCATGACCTTGACACTTCTGAAGATTACAGGCCAATTATTTTGTAGAATGGCCCACAAATTGGATTTCTCTGATATTTCTGATATTCCTATATAATTAGATTTAGGTTGTACATCTTTGGCAGGAAAATCCAAAAGTGATTCTGCATTTTTCTCATTGCATCTTTACCACACTGGATATGATTTTGATTTGTTCCATTACTGATATTGTTCACTTTGATCATTTGATTAAGATAGGGCCTCCCAGATTTCTTCACTGTAGCGTGTCTCTTTTTCCTCTTTCTAATTAATAAGTATTTTGTGGGGAGGCAATTTGAAATTATTTAGGATTCCCATTCCTAGTCAAACTTTTAAATCATTTGTTTATTTATGGGCTCGTGTCTTTCTGTTTTATTCAGTGGGTTATAATCCATTACTGTCATTATTTATTTTATTCCTAAAATTGCCCTCTATCTAAATCCTTTTTTGTTTCCCACGTTTAATGAGAAGGGATGTCATGGATTAGGAAGAGATTCCTGTATGGGAGCAGGGATGAGCCACAGTAGCCATGAGCCCTTCACATCTCAAGGGCCTTCTCCTTTGCAGTTACGATGAAGTATTAAGAAATACAGGTTTTTCTCTGCTTGATTCAGGAAGGCTTCCTGCTACTACCTCAGTGTTCTTGAGTTCCATGCGCCTGCCTTCCAAAGTGGTGCTCTCACATCTGAACACTGTGCTTTGCTATTCTATTACATTCAAAGTCTCCCTCTACTGGACATCTGCCTGATGCCACCCCCACTGCCTTTTTTTTTTTTCTAGAGAAGGTCTCACTCTGTTGCCCAGACTAAGTGCAGTGGCATGATCAAAGCTCACCGCAGACTTGAACTCCTGGGCTCAAGCAATCCTCCCATCTCAGTCTCCTGAGTAGCTGGAACTCACAGGCACTCATTATCATGCTTAAATTTCTTTTAAACACTTTTTGTACAGATGAGGTCTTGCTATGTTGCCCAGGCTGGTCTCAAACTCCTGGGCTTAAGTGATCCTCTCGCCTTGGCCTCCCAAACTGTTGGGGTTACAGGTGTGAGCCACTGCACCTGGCCCCTACTGCCCCATTATATGAAATGTTTTTCTCCCTCACATCTTTGGTGTTTTCACCCTGTGCAATTTGTATTCTTCTCCCAGAAGTTTTTCTTCAGAGTGGATCTGTAGCCTACTACAAGTATGCATTTATTGGAGATTTCTGATATTCTCAAGGGAGTAAGCTACTTCCTGTGGTCTTGTTACAAGATGTGTACAAGTTCTGCTAGTTGTTCTCAAATTTTACTGCACACTCCTGCTTAGCACAAGACCCTCTCCTTTGGGAAATCAGTATCTGATGGCAATTTCTGGGTTCCATGGCTTGTAGGTGCCATTGAATTTCCCTTTCTCTTCACCACTATAGCTGCATCACTGCTGATTCAGTTCCGGATCCTACTGCTGTCATGTGATTTGGCTACACCCCTCTGTGTTTCGGGGCCATGGGGACTTCTTAATACTTAGCTTTACTGGAGATATCACCTGTAGTGTTTTTCCTTTATTTTGCTATCATGTGCTCATTTTATTCTTTTACTATCCCCGTGTCTTGTTTTTATGAGAATTGAGGTGAATAATTTAAAAAGAACACTATGCTGTTGTCATGTTCAGAAATACCAATTATCTTCTAAAAGTATAAGTCATATCACCCCAACCCTATTCCTACCTGCATCTCTGATTCAATCGTCAGCCATTCTACTAATCCCCTACCACTCTATTATAGCCACACTGGCCTTCTTACTGTTCTTACCAGCCTTAGGGACTTTTCATATCTTCTTTCCTATGCCTTGAAATAATCCTCCCCCAAAACATTGAATGATTTACACTTTCACAGTCATTTCTATGTCTGCTCAATGTCAGCTCCTGAGAAAGACATTTCCTAATTGCCTTATAGCATCTTCCTTTCGTTTCTATCTCATTACTTTGCTTTATTTTTTTCACAGCACATACCATCATCAGAAATTATAGCATTTCTTGATTTGCCTGTAGTCATCTTTTCTGCTGGAATGTAGGCACCATGAAGGCAGGACATTGCCTTTGACACTGCTGAAACTTTGCCACCTGATATACAGGAAACGTTTTATACATATTTGTGAAATAAATTCACAGTTTCTACTAATATCAACATCAGCCCCGGTATCCTTAAAAATAGGAAAAATTTTTATTTTCTAAATCAGATGCAATGACCCAATAGACAAAAGTTATACTCTATAATAGAAAAAAGTAACTTGTTTTCTATAATTTTTCCATAGCATGAAATTTTGGATTTTATTGTTAATCAGGTGATATATAGGTGATAAAAATCATAGCAAAGGTGGATAAAAAGAGATTGAACTGCTTCCTATTGGACATTTACTCTGACATTTCTTTGAAATGCTAATGATGCCTTGAATAACTATCAGATTGGAATTCACACATATTTAGTTCTGTACCTTGGCATGAAATATCCACTTATCAAAAGAGAAGTGTAAAATTAAATGAGACAAGTTATGACAACAGTTTAATCTGTATATTTTCCTCCGTTTTGTCTGAAGAAAGGGTAAGAAAACACAAAAAATTCTTTCCAAAGTATACTTTTTAAAATATACAAACAGAAACAAAGGAGTAAATCCCACATGATTATTATGTCAAAATAATCTTTATTGAGTGTCTAATACAGTTATTACTGTATTTCTTTATAAAAATGAAACCCTATAGATTAAAAATTATTGTTATAATAGTAGAAACATATTCTTAGTGTTCTATGCAGCATATATTGTTCTAACTGTTTTACTTCTTGCCATGGTCCAAATATTTGTGTTCTACCAAAATTCATATGTTGAAATCCCAGCCCCCAAAGTGATGGTAATAGGAGGTGGGCCTTTTGGTAGGTGATTAAGTCATGAGGACAGAGACCTTATAAGAGAGACTCCAGAGAGCTCCTTTGCTCCCTCCACCATGTGAGGACCCAGGCAAGATGGTGCCCTCTATGAACCAGAAAATTAACCCTCTCCTGACACCAAATCTGCAGGTGTCTTGATCTTGGACTACTCAGCCTCTAGGCCTGTGAGAAATAAATATCTGTTGTTTGTAAGCTACCTGGTTTATGAAATTTTGTTATATCAGCCCAAATGGACTAACACATTTATTATTCTATGATTTCATTCAATCTTCACAGCACTTTTAGGTATGTTCTATTACTATCATCATTTTCCAGATGTGGAAATATAAACATTGCCAGAATTTATTTTGAAGAATATATTAATTCTTTAAAACTTGGGATATAGTTTATATTTTCATATATCAAACCCTCCCAAACTTAATGGCCATTAATATTGCTCATGATCCTGGTGGGTGTCTTCTTCTGGCCTGGGAAAACCTCAGCTCCTCTTAGCTGTGCTTGCTGATGCATCGGTGGTATTGGCAGAATGGCCTGAATTTGGTAGGTCCTAGATGCCCTCACTCACATAGGTGGAAGTTGGCTGGCTTTTGGTTGGGGTGACAGGACTGGCGGATGTATTAACCATGTCTTTTTATTTTCTATTTTATTTGTGTATTTTTATTTTTATGCTTTGGTCTCTTGAGCTCTTGCTGTGGAGGGACGGCCCCTCCTGGGGCTAGCTAATTCCTAGAGATAGTAAACAGCTCACCAGAGAGCATGCTTTTCTTATGCAAACTAACAATCGTAGAGCCCATAGTCCCAATTACCTCCTTCATCTGGCTCTCACTCTCTAGGCCACTATTCATTCACCTGCTCTAATGACCAGACAACTAGGTACAGTTCTTATGCCCCAGAGTCTGCTGAAACTATTCAAACTAGCCATTCCTAAACCTGCTTATACCTGCTTTGTGTGTTTCTTTTCATGGAAACCATAGTAAAGGCTCTTGCCCACAATCTCCCCTCACTTTGTCAGCCTCCTCCTGATGGACCCTGGTAGTTCCCTGTGTGGCCCCTATAATGTGGCATGCCTCTCGGATCAATGAGTAGAGCGTCTATCTTTCAATGGCAATTGTCTCCTGATCTGTTGGTTTCAACATACCTGAAAAATATAATAAAACCTACATTTTGAAACAGCTGGGTAATGTGTCACCTCATCATCCAGCAGGCCAGCCTGGCTTGTTCACATGGTGTCAGGGTTCCAAGAGCAACAAGGGAACAAGTCTAATGCACACATGCTTTTCAGAGGTCTCTGCTTATATCACATTTGCTGCAGTCTGATTGAGCGGTACAAGGCACATGGCCACGCTGTGAGGGAGTCAGCGTGAGAGGACTAGATACGGGGAGGGCTGTGTCTGCAGGGAGCTGTGAGCAGACTGGGGCCATAACTGCAATCAATCCACCACACAGGCTTTCCAGGAGGCTTCATATCAACTTCTCCTTTTCTTTGACTTGAATAATCTTTAGGATTTGGCCACTGGAAAAAGCAAGTAATATTTGTCTTTTCACCACTCTTGGCAGAAATGTTACCATCACAATGCTAAGAACTGCTATTCAAAAAACTAAGCTTTATAAGCTAACAATGAAATTATCTTTTACTTTGAGAAGTGACTGCTTGTGATTGGAGGACTTGGACAGTGTAAAGCATTGTGGGGTGGTAATTATAGTCATTGTAGTCAAACTACAGAGGGGATGGTAACCTAATAATAATATTTGCAGAAAACTTTAAATAATATTACGCCCCTAAAATTCTCATTTTTCTAGATAATGAACATCGTCGGAAACTCTTTTGGCTGAGATTTACAGAATCTTTTTCCCACAATAGGCAAGCTCTTTTCAATTTTCCTTTCAAATTCAGACCTTTTATCCTTCTTCAGCAACTTTCAAAATGAAATTCTAAAACTTCCTTATTTCAGAATTCCTCCTTCCTACCACCTTAATCCCCATTATTGTCACCCATACCAACCTGCTTATGTTGTAAAGCACTCTGTGAGATCCAAGTAGCCTAAGAAAAAAAATGCATTGGAACAAGATGCCAGGTCTTATTTTCTTCTTAGTATTAGCTTATCTCCAAGAAGAAAACAAAACAAAACAAAGAAAAAGCTCTGATGCTTTTAGTCCACTTTTCCCAAATTCCAGATACAGTCATGAACAGGAGAAGCATGTCTCTTTACAAAGAGCCTACTTGCTTGTCCTATGGATAAACCAACCCTAGATTTTTTTAAAGCTTATCTTTAATAGCAATATATTTGCAAGGCCAATGGATGTCAGAATCTGATAGACCTTAATTTGAATCTCAGCTTAATTGCTTACTAGGTGGGGAAATGTCTGTGTCTTAAGTTGTCTAAGTGTTAGTTTTGACTTCTTAAAAATGCACATACTCAGTGATAAACTCTAGTCTTTGGAGAGAATTGAAAGCTGCCTTATCCCACTATCCACTCACTATTCTACCCCTAGAATGGTCTCTGTTGTGAAAGGAAAATAAAATAGAGAGTTATCAAGACAGTGTGGCTATTTTAGAAAGTGATGAGGTTTTATCGTTCTGTTTTGTTTTTGTGAGAAGACAGTGAGTATAATAGTAGTAGATGGATGCAGATTGTTGCATTTGTAGATTCATGTGTCTTGGATCTCTCTTCCTGTCACTCTTCTTTCTTCAATCTCAGGATGCTGGTATGATAGCTGGGCAGGCAAACATCTTCTCTTTGGAAAAATCAAGCAGGAACCAGGGTGAAGTCTAGAGATACATAGCTAGGAATATACCTGCTTTCACCAGTTCCCAGGCGGAGAGCAGTATAGACACCTGGGGCCAATCTTCACTATAAAGAGCAGATGTGCCTGTAGCATCTTCTGAGCCAATGTCTAATAAGATTTATTATGGTTGCCAATTTCTTAAAAATGTGAGAATTCGATATTTTGGCCATCTCGTTCCATCACAAAATCATAATTATTATTAATAATCACTTCATAGGATTGTTATGGGTGTCAAATGAGATGATATAATTCCTCATTCAGTGCCTAGTAAATAACACTTACCCATTAAATGTTACTTGTTAATTTATAAAAATGTTAGTGTTTGGGGTTTATGGTAATAATTAACTTACTGAAAGTACGAATCAGCACATCAACTTTGGATTTGTTGTCATTATGTACCACATTTACTATACTTTAGTTCTTTGCAACAGTGAGTTATGGGCTTATCAGGTAATTTAAATTTTCATCTTGGCAATATTTAGCTATTGATATGAATTAAAATGAACACTGAAAAAAAGGACACTTCCTTTCTTTGCTAAATTCTTTGGCCAGGTTTTTACACAGTATGTCTTTGAAAGACAAATTAAGTCGCAAAAAGCATGGTGTATTTTAAATCTCAGAGAAAATGTGTGTTTTATCTTAGAAAAAAATCCAAAGGAATAAAAATTATCATTCATCATTGGTTTCTTTTCTGCATTACATCTTCAAAGATCTGAAGAAATTAGAAAATAGCTAATGCCGTTTCAGAGAAGAAAGAAAAAGCTACCTTTGTGTTCATAGCTAAACATTAGTTTCTTATATTGGAGTCTCTCTTTTTCTGATACTGCGTTGTTTGCCTTTGTTAAGTCTGAACAAATTTTTTTTGTCTAAATTATGTAATCTGCATAGAATTATTTTAAATTTATATTTAAGGTAATATCAGGATTATTAAACTTCAATTACTTTTAATAATACCTTTTTTCAAAATTTGGTTTTTGAATTTATTTGCTGGGAGGAGGGCAGAGGGTTGTCATTATATATGACCTTGACTTACCTGCCTAGTGTTCTACTTCACGATGATTCATTTACTGTGAGAGTTTAGATGTGTGTGTTCTACTTTAAGAAAACCCAATTTTGTTCATTGGCTATAAAACATACACCCTGGGTTCAAGGGAGAAGTGAATGAAGTCATTCAATTAATACACAATTCATACTTTTGAAATGAACTCTAAGGTATATCAGAAAGAATGATTCACACATGCATACACACGCACACACACTCATACATTCATTCTATACATGGCACTGTGGGGTCAGGGGTATTTCATAAAGTGAAGGTATTGCTATGTAGCAGTAAATGAAATGTTTGGATAGCCCACATGTTCATAAGGGCACTGCTATTATATCGTGGCTTTCAGAACCTTTATAAACCCTGATATCCCTTCCTTCCTTTTGCAGATGACCTCTCCCGACAGGATGACAATGATCCCCCAAAAGAATATGATCCTGGGCAATTTGCAGGCCTGCTCCATGGATCCTCTCCAGCCTGTGAGTCCCCTGAAAATCCATTTCATCTCTATGGGAAAAGAGAACAATGTGAAAAAGGACAAGATGAAGTCAGTTTGGCAAACAGTCCTTTGCCTTTCAAGCAGTCTCCAATAGAAAATAACTCAGAACCTTTGGTAAAGAAAATTAAACCCAAAGTGGTCAGTAGAACAATTTTTCACAAAAAAAGCAACCAACTCGAAAACCATACCATTGTTGGCACAAGATCAACCAGGAGTGGATCTCGGAATGGGGACCAGTGGGTTATGAACGCAGGGGGATTTGTGGAGAGAGCCTGTACTCTGGGGAGAATAAGGTCATTGCCTAAAGCCTTGATCGACATGCATTTGTCAAAAAGTGTCTCTAAATCTGATTCTGATCTCATTGCCTATCCTTCCAATGAGAAAACATCAAGAGTTAACTGGAGTGAATCTTCCACTGCTGAACACAGTTCTAAAGGGAATTCTGAAAGAACACCATCCTTCACATCGGAATGGGAAGAAGTAAGCTTTGTTCTTCTTGCTGTTCATCCTATAAGGCTTTGCAGTTGAGGGAGGTTTGGGGGAAGGATTTTCAGCTTTTTAGCTCTTTCAAAAGCAAGAAAAAAAAAAGCATACGGCTCCAACTGGAATGAAATGGTTCTGTGGGTAATGCATGGTAATTTCACAGCAAGTATAAAAACAAACACTGTTCCACACATGTGGGTTAATCTATTGTTTCCATAGAAATTGATATCAAGCAGAAGTAATAACTAGCTATGAGGTACAAGAGAATATTCACATCTCGTCCTACCAAGCACTGCAGCTGACAAATCGAGAAAAAGCTCAGTATTTTGCTCTGTGTTGTTTTGCTACTTGCCAAACTCTTTGTTAGTTTGTCTCCCTTCTTTAAAGTATCTTATATTTTCAGAAGAGCTCCTTAGAATCTTCATAGTAAATAAAGTTTCCTAGCTCTTCTCCAGCCACCATACAATAAACACACATCATTTGATATTTCCCTTTTGCAGCTATCAGGGAAATAAAGAAAAAAATGTTTGAGGTTCAAATATCACCAATTTCAGTTCTACTTAAAGTGTTTAATTTCATACAGTCTCTCTTGGTATTTCATTCTAACACATCACATATTGTCTCTGAAAAGACTGTACCAGTTGGATTAGGTTTAGAAGCACAATAGATCATTATAGTATTTGGAGAACTAGAAATGGATATGGTCTGATAGTGATATTCTGAACTGAGCTGTTTGGGAAAATCACTTAATATCTCTGCATCTGTTTCAGGGTGAACAAACTGGGACATTTAAGTAATGCCCATTGTCCTTTCTGAAACCTGCTATCTTATTCAGGTTGCTAACATCAAGAGAGTCATTAAGCCATAAATTGCTATAGCTTAGACCATCATATCTTCCTTTAAATTCCATACTAGTAGATGGTTAGTTTTTCAAGTATAGCCATTTCTTATATTTATTAATTTAGTGAATAACATCTGAGATCCTTTTGTAGAGGCAGGATTAATTAACATTTAACTTAGATCTTATAATTAAGTTGTTTTCATGACTAGATGCTGGTGATTGGATGTCAGTAATCAGCTTGTGGTTGGTCAAACCATTTGGTTAGAACTTGCTCCAGGCCGGGAATGGTGGCTCATGCCTGTAATCCTAGCACTTTGGGACGCCGAGGCAGGTAGATCACTTGAGGCCAGGAGTTCAGAAACATCCTGGCCAACATGGCAAAATCACATCTCTACTAAAAACACAAAAATTAGCCAGGTGTGGTGGCATATGCCTGTAATCCCAGCTACTTGGGAGGCTGAGGCACGAGACTCATTTGGACCTGGGCGGCGGAGGTTGCAGTGAGCTGAGATGGTGCCACAGCACTGTAGCCTGGGCAACACAGTGAGATTCTGTCGAAACAAAAAACAGAAAACTTTGCTCCTGTGGCCGTGCTCTCCACACCCTGAAACCTGCTCCTTTACCAGTTAGATGGGATGCATGTTCTTAGGCAGAAGAAGAAGGGTGCCAGAGAGCAGAGACTTTGTCACATGAATTTATCTACAGTCCTTCTGAGTTTGAAGAATACACAGTTCCTAAATGACCAATCTATCCAAGTACAAAGTTTATTTCAAGAAACACAAAGAAAAGGCAAACTAATTTTGAAAGTTTAAGAAAGGGGAACATACTTTACATTTTAATAAAACAATCCGAAAGATGTTTGCTTTCCTTTAAATATTTCGCTATGCATCTCTTAACTGTGGAACACTGTGGTAATAACATCAAAAATATTTGCTCCCTTCATTTGAAACTTATTTTAAAATACAATGTTAAAAGTGAATGTAACAATCCATTTAAATGGTTTTTGTTTCTTACAGATTGACAAAATAATGAGTTCCATAGATGTTGGAATCAACAACGAACTTAAAGAGATGAATGGTGAGACCACAAGTAAGGCAACCTTCCTCTACATTATAATGAATAAATGTGCTTAAGGAGTAGTGAGAAAATGATAGGAATCTTTAGATAATTGCATTTTTTTCATTATAACAATAACTACAAATTATTTCCTTCCACTCTCAGATCTAACAACAATGACATATAAGCAACATCAGTTATAAGAATATTGACTTAGCAAATTGAGAGGATTTTTTCCCATGTGCTATTTTACTATGCCAGTGAAGTTTTTCTTTTTTTTTTTTAGAATTTTTTAATAATACTTTTAATTTAAATATATTTCAAACTCTCTGTTGGTTGTAAGTCTTTTTTTTATTATTATACTTTAAGTGCTAGGGTACATGTGCACAATGTGCAGGTTTGTTACATAGGTATACATGTGCCATGTTGGTTTGCTGCACCCATCAACTCGTCATTTACATTAGGTATTTCTCCTAATGCTATCCCTCCCCCAGCTCCCCACCCCGCAAGAGGCCCTTGCATGTGATGTTCCCCACCCTGTGTCCATGTGTTCTCATTGTTCACTTATGAGTGAGAACATGTGGTGTTTGGTTTTCTGTCCTTGTGACAGTTTGCTGAGAATGATGGTTTCCTGCTTCATCCATGTCCCTGCAAAGGACATGAGCTCATCCTTTTAATGGCTGCATAGTATTCCATGGTGTATATGTGCCACATTTTCTTAATCCAGTCTATCACTGGTGGACATTTGGGTTGGTTCCAAGTCTTTGCTATTGTGAATAGTGCCACAATAAACATACGTGTGCATGTGTCTTCATAGTAACATGATTTATGATCCTTTAGGTATATACCCAGTAATGGGATGGCTGGGTCAAATGGTATTTCTAGTTCTAGATCCTTGAGGAATCGCCACACTGTCTTCCACAATGGTTGAACTAATTTATGCTCCCACAAACAGTGTAAAAGCATTCCTATTTCTCCACGTCCTCTCCAGCATCTGTTGTTTCCTGACTTTTTAATGATCGCCATTCTAACTGGCTTGAGATGGTATCTCACTGTGGTTTTGATTTGCATTTCTCTGATGACCAGTGAGGATGAGCATTTTTTCATGTGTCTGTTGGCTAGATAGATGTCTTCTTTTGAGAAGTGTCTGTTCATAACCTTTGCCCACTTTTTGATGGGATTATTTGTTTTTCTCTTGTAAATTTGTTTAAGTTCTTTGTAGATTTTGGATATTAACCCTTTGTCAGATGGGTAGATTGCAAAAATTTTCTCGCATTCTGTAGGTTGCCTTTTCTTTTGCTGTGTGGAATCTCTTTAGTTTAATTAGATCCCATTTGTCTATTCTGGCTTTTGTTGCCATTGCTTTTGGTGTTTTAGTCATGAAGTCTTTGCCCATGCCTATGTCCTGAATGGTATTGCCTAGGTTTTCTTCTAGGATTTTTATGGTGTTAGGTCTTACATTAAAGTCATTAAGCCATCTTGAGTTAATTTTTGTATATGGTGTGAGGAAGGGATCCAGTTTCAGCTTTCTACATATGGCTAGCCAGTTTTCCCAGCACCATTTATTAAATAGGGAATCCTTTCCCCATTGCTTGTTTTTGTCAGGTTTGTTGAAGATCAGATGGTTGTAGATGTGTGTTGTTATATCTGAGGCCTCTGTTCTGTTCCATTGGTCTATATATCTGTTTTGGTACCAGAATCATGCTGTTTTGTTTACTGTAGCCTTGTAGAATAATTTGAAGTCAGATAGCATGATGCCTCCTGGTTTGTTCTTTTTGCTTAGGATTGTCTTGGCTCCACAGGCTCTTTTTTGGTTCCATATGAATTGTAAAGTAGTTTTTCCAATTCTGTGAAGAAAGTCAGTGGCAACTTGATGGGGATAGCATTGAATCTATAAATTACCTTGGGTGGTGTGGCCATTTTCACGATATTGATTCTTCTTATCCATGAGCATGGAATGTTCTTCCATTTGTTTGTGTCCTCTTTTATTTCATTGAGCAGTGGTTTGTAGTTCTGGTTAAAGAGGTCCTTCACATCCCTTGTAAATTGGATTCCTAGGTATTTTATTCTCTTTGTAGTAATTGTGAATGGGAGTTCACTCATGTTTTGACTTTCTGTTTGTCTATTATTGGTGTATAGGAATGCTTGTGATTTTTGCAGATTGATTTTGTATCCTGAGATTTTGCTGAAGTTGCTTATCAGCTTAAGGAGATTTTGGGCTAAAATGATTGGGTTTTCTAAATATACAATCATATCATCTGCAAACAGAGACAATTTGACTTCCTCTTTTTCTAATTGATTTATGTCATTCTCTTGCCTGATTGCTCTGGCCAGAACTTCCAACACTATTTTGAATAGGAGTGGTGAGAGAGGGCATCCCTGTCTTTCGCCGGTTTTCAAAGGGAATGCTTCCAGTTTTTGCCCGTTCAGTATGATATTGGCTGTGGGTTTGTCATAAATAGCTCTTATTATTTTGAGATACATTCCATCAATACCTAGTTTATTGAGAGTTTTTAGCATGAAGGGCTGTTGAATTTTGTCAAAGGCCTTTTCTGCATCTACTGAGATAATCATGTCCTTTTTGTTGTTGGTTCTGTTTATGTGATGGATTACATTTATTGATTTGTGTATGTTGAACCAACCTGGCCTCCCAGGGATGAAGCCAATCTGATCGTGGTGGATAAGCTTCTTGATGTGCTGCTGGATTCAGTTTGCTAGTATTTTACTGAGGATTTTCACATCAATGTTCATCAGGGATATTGGCATAAAATTCTCTTTTGTTGTTGTGTCTCTGCCAGGCTTTGGTATCAAGATGATGCTGGCCTCATAAAATGAGTTAGGGAGGATTCCCTCTTTTTCTATTGATTGGAAAAGTTTCAGAAGGAATGGTACCAGTTCCTCTTTGTACCTCTGGTAGAACTCGGCTGTGAATTTGTCTTGTCCTGGACTTTTTTTAGTTGGTAGGCTATTTATTATTGCCTCAATTTCAGAACCTGTTATTGGTCTATTCAGAGATTCAACTTCTTCCTGGTTTAGTCTTGGGAAGGTGTATGTGTCCAGGAATTTACCCATTTCTTCTAGATTTTCTACTTCATTTGCGTAGAGGTGTTTATAGTATTCTCTGATGGTAGTTTGTATTTCTGTGGGATTGGTGGTGATATCCCCTTTATCATTTTTTATTGCATCTGTTTGATTCTTCTCTCTTTTCTTCTTTATTAGTCTTGCTAGTGGTATATCAATTTTGTTGATCTTTTCAAAAAACCAGCTCCTGGATTCATTGATTTTGTGAAGGATTTTTTGTGTCTCTATCTCCTTCAATTCTGCTCTGATCTTAATTATTTCTTGTCTTCTGCTAGCTTTTGAATTTGTTTGCTCTTGTTTCTCTAGTTCTTTTAATTGTGATGTTAGCGTGTCAATTTTAGATCTTTCCTGCTTTCTCTTGTGGGCATTTAGTGCTATAAGTTTCCCTCTACACGCTGCTTTAAATGTATCCCAGAGATTCTGGTACAATGTGTCTTTGTTCTCATTGGTTTCAAAGAACATCTTTATTTCTGCCTTCATTTTGTTATTTACCCAGTAGTCACTCAGGAGCAGGTTGTTCAGTTTCCACGTAGTTGAGCAGTTTTGAGTGAATTTCTTAATCCTGAGTTCTAATTTGATTGCACTGTGGTTTTAGAGACGGTTTGTTATGATTTCTGCTCTTTTACATTTGCTGAGGAGTGTTTTACTTCTAACTATGTGGTCAATTTTAGAATAAGTGGGATGTGGTGCTGAGAAGATTTGGGGTATGCAGTTCTGTAGATGTCTATTATGTCCGCTTGGTCCAGAGCTGAGTTCAAGTCCTGGATATCCTTGTTAACTTTCTCTCTTATTGATCTGTCTAATATTGGCAGTGGGGTGTTAAAGTCTATCATTATTATTGTATGGGAGTCTATGTCTCTTTGTCGGTCTCTAAGGACTTGCTTTATGATTCTGGTTACTCCTGTATTGGGTGCCTATATATTTAGGATAGTTAGCTCTTCTTGTTGAATTGATCCGTTTACCATTATATAGTGGCCTTCTTTGTCTCTTTTGATCTTGTTGGTTTAAAATCTGTTTTATCAGAGACTAGGATTGCAATCCGTGCTTTTTTTTGTTTTCCATTTGCTTGGTAGATCTTCCTCCATCCCTTTATTTTGAGCCTATGTGTGTCTCTGCATGTGAGATGTGTCTCCTGAATACAGCACACTGATGGGTCTTGGCTCTTTATCCAATTTTCCAGTCTGTGTCTTTTAATAGGGACATTTAGCCTATTTACATTTAAGGTTAATATTGTTATCTTTGAATTTGACCCTATCATTATGTTAGCTGGTTATTTTGCCTGTTAATTCCACAGTTTCCTCATAGCGTTGATGGTCTTTACAATTTGGCATGTTTTTGCAGTGGCTGGTACCGGTTGTTCCTTTCCATGTTTAGTGCTTTCTTCAGGAGCTCTTGTAAGGTAGGCCTGGTGGTGACAAAATCTCTCAGCATTTGCTTGTCTGTAAAGGATTTTATTTCTCCTTCATTTATGAAGCATAATTTGGCTGGATATGAGATTCTGGGTTGAAAATTCTTTTCTTTAAGAATGTTGAATATCGGCCCCCACTCTCTTCTTGCTTGTAATGTTTCTGCCAAGAGATCCACTGTTAGTCTAATGGGCTTCCCTTTGTGGGTAACCCAACCTTTCTCTCTGGCTGCCCTTAACATTTTTTCCTTCATTTCAACCTTGTTGAATCTGATGATTATGTGTCTTGGGGTTGCTCTTCTTGAGGAGTATCTTTGTGGTGTTCTCTGTATTTCCTGAATTTGAATGTTGGCCTGCCTTGCTAGATTCGGGAAGTTCTCCTAGATAATATCCTGAAGAGTGTTTTCTAACTTGGTTCATTCTCCCTGTCACTTTCTGGTACACCAATCAAATGTATATTTGGTCTTTTCACATAGTCCCATATTTCTTGGAGGCTTTGTTCATTTCTTTTCACTCTTTTTTCTCTAATCTTGTCTTCTTGCTTTATTTCATTTATTTGATCTTCCATCACTGTTATCCTTTCTTCCACTTGATCAAATCAGCTATTGATGCTTGTGCATGCATCATGAGGTTCTTGTGCTTTGGTTTTCAGTTCCATCAGGTCATTTAAAGTCTTCTTTACACCGTTTATTCTAGTTAGCCATTTGTCTAACCTTTTTTCAGGGTTTTTAGCTTCCTTGAGATGGGTTAGAATATGATCCTTTAGCTCAGAGGAGTTTGTTATTCCAACCTTCTGAAGGCTACTTCTGTCAACTCATCAAACTCATTCTCTGTCTAGTTTTGTTCACTTGCTGGCGAGGAGCTGCAATCCTTTGGAGGAGAAGAGGCATTCTGGTTTTTGGAATTTTCAGCTTTTCTGCAGTGGTTTCTCCCATTTTTTTGGTTTTATCTACCTTTGGTCTTTGATGTTGGTGACCTATACAGATGGGGTTTTGGTGTGGATGTCCTTTTCGTTGCTGTAGATGCTATTCCTTTCTGTTTATTAGTTTTCCTTCTAACAGTCAAGCCCCTCAGCTGCAGGTCTGCTGGAGTTTGCTGGAGGCCCACTCCAGACCCTGTTTGCCTGGGTATCACTAGTAGAGGCTGCAGAACAGCAAATATTGCTGCCTGATCCTTCCTCTGGAAGCTTTGTCCCAGAGGAGCACCCACCTCTTTGAGGTGTCTGTTGGCCCCTACTGGGAGATGTCTCCCAGTCAGGCTACACAGGGGTCAGGGACCTGCTTGAGGAGGCAGTCTGTCTGTTCTTGGAGCTCAAACGCTGTGCTGAGAGAACCACTGCTTTCTTCCGAGCTGTCAGACAGGGACATTTAAATCTGCAGAAACTGTCTGCTGCCTTTTGTTCTGCTATGCCCTTCCCCCAGAGGTGGAATCTAGAGAGGCAGTAGGCCTTGCTAAGCTGCAGTGGGCTCCACCCATTTGGAGCTTCCCGGCTGCTTTGTTCACACTGTGAGCTACTCAAGCCTCAACAGTGACGGATGCCCCTCCCCCCGTCAAGCTGCAGCATTGCATGTTGATCTCAGACTGCTGCACTAGCAGTGAGCAAGGATCCGTGGGTGTGGGACCCACCAAGCCAGGCAAGGGAAGGTATCTCCTGGTCTGCCAGTTGCTAAGACTGTGGGAAAAGTGCAGTATTTGATCAGGAGTGTACCATTTCTCCAGGTACAGTCTGTCACAGTTTCCCTTGGCTAGGAAGGGGAAATCCCCCAACCCCTTGCACTTCCTGGGTGAGGCAACACCCCGCCCTGCTTCAGCTCGCCCTCTGTGGGCTGCACCCACTGTCCAACCAGTCTCAATGAGATGAACCAGGTACCTCAGTTGGAAATGCAGAAATCACCCATCTTCTGCATCGATCTCACTGGGAACTGCAGACCAGAGCTCTTCCTATTCAGCCACCTTGGACACCAGTGAAGTTTTTCTATGTGCTAGGCATGTGCCTGTAGTCCCAGGTACTCGGGAGGCTGAGGCCAAAGGATTGCTAGAGCCTAGGTGTTTGAGACCAGCCTTGGCAAGATAGTGAGACCCTGTCTTCAAATATGTATATATATAGACACACATGCACACACACGAAGTTTCTATTTTATGTAGAGCTCAGTATGAAGCACTTCAAAGCATTAAAGAATCTGATGACTTAATACACTAATATTTCTTATTCAGTGAAACATTCACCTGACCAAAGTGATTAACAACTTCTGCTAAGTTGTGGGCTCCAATTTTGCAAGAACTGTGTGTTAATCATCTTTATGTATCCCATAATACTTGGCAGACTATTTCACAAATAGTTGGTTTTACAATCACTATTTTATATATTACTCTTACTAAGTATTATTTTCTTCCTTACAACTAAAGTTCAGAGCCAAAGTGGAAGGCCATATCAGATCCAAATCTATTCATTTTTCTTGTTTGAGTTTTGTAGCCAATACAGAGATATTTGCATTACTTCAGTATTGACACCAAATGTGTGTGGAGCCCCCAGACACACACAAACACATACACACACATATATATACATATATATGTATATAGCTGGGCCTATACAGCTGGGTATAATGACTATTTTAGTGTAAGGCAGGCACAGTTGAAAAGTATGTGAATTTTGTGACAAACACACAGGAACACACCCCAAACAAAAAAGGCTGGTGATTCATTTTGATATTCTCAGTTGACATATTTGAAAAGTTATGAAAGAGCCCCAAATCTTACCATCCTTGCAATTTTCTTCTTTTTTAACTTTTATTTTATGTTCAGGGATACAAGTATGTTTGCTGCATAGGTAAACTTGTATCATGGAGGTTTGTTGTCCAGATTATTTCATCACCCAGGTATTAAGCCTAGTACCCATTATTTTTCCTGACTCTCTCCCTCCTCCCACCCTCCATCCTCCAAAAGATATCAGCGTGTGTTGTTCCCCTCTGTGTGTCCATGTGTTCTCGTCATTTAGCTCCCACTTATAAGTGAGAACATGCAGAATTTGGTTTTCTGTTCCTGTGTTAGTTTGCTAAGGATAATGGTCTCCAGCTCCATCCATGTCCCTGCAAAGGATATAATCTCATTCTTTTTAATGGTCAAAGCTGGAAGCATTCTCCTTGAAAATCAGCACAAGACAAGCATGCCCTCCTTATTCCTATTCAACATAGTATCAGAAGTTCTGGCCAGTGCAGTCAGGCAAGAGAAAGAAAGAAAGGGCATCTGCTATGGTTTGGCTGTGTTCCCACCCAAATCTCATCTTGAATTGTAATCCTGATATGTCAAGGGAGGGACCTAGTGGGAGGTGATTGGATCATGGGGTTGGTTCCCAGCATGCTGTTTTCATGATAGTGGGTGAGTTCTCACGAGACCTGATGGTCTTAGAGTGTGGCAATTCCCCCTTTACTGTGTCTCTCTCCTGCTGCCATGTAAGATGTGCCTTGCTTCCCCTTTGCCTTCCACCATGATTGTAAGTTTCCTGAGGCCTCCTCAGCCATGCGAAACTGCGAGTCAGTTAAACCTCTTTTCTTTATAAATAACCCAGTCTCAGGTAGTATCTTTACAGCAGTGTGAAAAACAGCATCCAAATAGGAAGAGAGGAAGTCAAACTATCCCTGTTTGCAGATGGCATGATCCTATATCTAGAAAACCCAATAGTATTATCCTTGCAGTTTTGTACTGAAGCAAAACTGAATGAACTACCTGCATCATTACAACTGCTAACATTAGGGAATTTTTCTCAAAATGTGGTCTACAAATCACTTGCATCAGAATCACTTCCAGCGCTGGTGAAAAATGAAGATTCCTCGGCTCCATGCTACTAAATCAGTATTTCTGGAGGCAGAGCTCAACAAATATGCCTTTTAAACAAGCAATCCAAGTGACTCTTAAGACCAGGAAAGTTGGAGAATGATTGTTTTATGGTGGATTGGCCTGGGTGGCTAAGAAGTAACATTGCAATCACTAAAAAGAATATGCAGGTCTAAGTGACACCCTGGTAGGAGTACCTTGCTTGTTTCTCTTATGTTGGAACAAGTGAGAAGTTATTCTAACTCGGCTGGGCCCCATGTTAATTAAGTGATAATTTTTAAAAAGGTC
Source organism: Homo sapiens (assembly GCF_000001405.40). NCBI lineage: Eukaryota > Metazoa > Chordata > Mammalia > Primates > Hominidae > Homo > Homo sapiens. Next base: position 99,235,766 of record NC_000012.12, on the reverse strand, counting down.
AAGCAATACTTTTTTTCTGAAATACAGGTTTGCATTAGATTTTAAAACTGAAAAATTAAGAAACAATTCTCAAAATTTCATACATATGTTTAGTGACCCAAGTATGATATTAGCTCCAAGATAGACTATGTAGCCAGTTCTCTCACATAGAAATGCTGACAAACACTGAGGACTTTGCCAAAACCCAACGAACCAGCCTAGCAACATATGTTGCCACGTAATTCTTTCAGGCCTGCTTACAGAATAATTTCAGGGATATTGTAAGAATACAGATCTTTGATTGATGTGAAGGTAAGAATTTCTTTTCTTATCAACTTTACTCATTCTATCTTTATTCAAAGATAGAGTGGCTGCCCCGTGTGATAGTAAGTTCCTCAATACTGAGGATATTCAAGCTAGGAGTGCTTCTGTGCTGGAATGGTGTTTCATGCATGAAGTCCACAGCTAGACTTAGGTAACATTGGATATTAATGTTCTAAAATTCTTCAAACATATAGTGCCATTGAGCCATAAAAATATAATACACATGATTATTAAAAGTAAAAATAAATGTTAAAAGTGCCACTTGGACAAAGCTGCCTCTTAAGGGCATTTTAGTGGTAAACAAATACACAAATTATTTTTTCTTCTCTTTCTACCTATCATATTGCCATCCTACCTACTGACTTTATTTATCATTTTTCTACAGTGGTAGTTAAAATGAAAGTGGAGACTCAGTCCCCAAAGAATCATTGTTATTAACAGAGGCTGGCTCTGTGTGTGCCTCAATTTTTACCTCTTCATCACACACTACTTACGTGCTAAGTGATTGACCATGGCATGTACCATTCCACTTGGCCATTAGGCTAGTTGTGAATTACAGTTTTGCTGAGTTGCAGTTTTTTCCCTCTCAAGGGTAGGTTTAATTAGAGGTGTGATAAACAACCCTGTGAAAATGGCATTCCACAAGTAATATTTTGGGTACTGAGTGTGGTTGGTAAATCACATGGTAAAAAAAAAAAAAGTCAGACAGACATGAATTCAAATCTTGGCTCTGTTATTTACCAGCTGCTTGATCTTAGGTGACTTACTCAGTTTCCCCATTGACAGAAATGAGAATACTAATAGAGGATGAGTGTAGAGATGCACGATGGCATATACATAAAAGTCTAACATATGCAGATACATATTAAATTTTAGCTCTCACCTTGTCCTATTGTGATGCAGACATTGTGTTTGCTGCTGTGGTCATACCAAAATAAATACACGTAAGCCCTGTCTGTAAGAATCTTAGAATGTCAGCTGATCTTACAATCTTAATGTTAAATTCACTGTATTCCCAGGAATTGTTGTGGTGTGTCAGTTGGAATACAGGTCATGATAAATGCACCAGTCAATTGGTACCAGAGAAGAGCAGTTACTAAAAGAGAGCATAAAATTCCAGAGTACCCTGGCACAGAAAGAAGAAAAGTCTAATACACATTGATTTAAGTGGTCTAAGTTATTTTGATGAAATCTGATCATACTGCTTTTGCTTGACAATTGGGAAGGGACAGGCAATGAAATTAATGGGAGGTAAATTTAAAATGAGCAAGAGGAAACACCGTTTTATGTAGTATGTGTTGTCTATCTGCAAAATTTTGCTTTGGGAGGATACTAAGTCAAGTGCTATGCCTAGCTCTAACAGAGCTCTGTAGTTTTTTGAACACTTATGTTTGTTGCTTAAGACCTCTTAAGACAATTGGGAGAATAAAATCTTAAGCAATGGAGATGAAGGATCAAAGGTCAACATTACATTTGGATTCTCTTGCCTATTTTGTCTCAGCATTTTTTTTGTTGTCCCCACCCCTACACATTTCTAATGTCAGATATTTTATAAACAAAATATTTATTGGATCAGGAAAAGATTTGGAGGTCTCTCATCTTTATTCCTATAAATATGAACCCACTCAAAGTTTGAGCAGTCTCTATGGGTCATCAACTAGTTTTACTAATAGAAATCAGTTTCCTCTTTTTCCTACCACCCCAATTTTCTCAGCAATTGTGTAGTAGTTTGAAACTTATCTAGCAACGTCAACTGTCCAGGACTAAGACAGAAATAAGAGTAAATATAATTTCCTGAATTTGTTTGAGGTCAGTCCTTTTGATTCTCAGAACTTATTAATTCATAAGTTTTACAAACAACACTTCTGTTTTCCCACTTGAAATCAGACTCAAATGCCAAACAAATCAGTATTGGTGTAGGATTCAATTATATTCAATGCCTCATATTGTGCAGAACACCCTGTTCTTCAGCAAAGCTGGATATGTGATGTGATAATATATTCTACATCATCATGCACTCTCAGGTTTGCATTTTTAGAATCCTTTCAGATAACAGGTTTTGAAGTTAGATGGACCTGGTCTCAAGTCCCAGTTTTGCAATTTCTGACCTCCCTGATGTCAACTTCCTCACCTAGAAACTCAGATTTTTAATAACCACCCTATAAGACTGTAGCAAGATTAAATTATACACTGTACTACTACAGTTTAGGTATCCCTTATCTGAAATGCTTGTGACCGGAAGTGTTTCAGATTTCAATTATTTTTGGATTTGGAATGTTTGCATATATATAATGAAACATCTTGTAGTTGGGACCCAAATCTAAACATGAAATTCATTTGTTATTTATATACACCTTCTATACAAAGCATGAATGTAATTTTATACAATATTTTTAATAATTTTGTGCACAAAACAAAATTTTGACTGTATTTTGACTGTGGCTTGTCAAAATACAGTCAAAATTTTCTACTTGTGGTGTCATGTAGGTGTTCAAAAAATTAGATTTGGGAGCATTTCGGATTTCAGATTTTCAGGTTGGGAATTCTCAACTTTATAGCCTGAAACATAGCTGGTAATTCATAAATATAATTTTCTTGCCTTTTTATCAGAGTATGCATGGCTTCTCTTTCTCATTAGAGTGCATGCTCCACAGAAAGATGCTTGGGAAACCTTGCTTATCTTTTGATCACTGAGGATTGTAGTTAAGGTATAATTACTCATATTCTAAGTTGCTTTCATGTGGAATCTTTTCTGAAGTTTTATTTCTTTAACCATTGTCATTGCAATCATAAGAAAGTGCTTTCAAGTTAGGAAATTTACCACCTTCACTGGAACTACTTCAAATACTCACACTTTTCTAAGAATCAGGTTGAATATCTTCTTGATGGGATGGAGGATCACTTAAGTAAAGTGGAGGCAGTAATTGGCTCCACGGGACGTGCTTGTCATTACACAAGAGCAAACATGCAGAGTAATCAAGCGCTCAGGCTTCACAATACAAGGGTGACAGATAATCTCATAAACACCCTCCTATTTCTAAACCAGTTTTAATAATCTTGTTACATTGAACTGACTGCAAGATATATGGACTATATTAGATTAATCTCAAGTGCATTCGTATAAAAATAGTTAAGTAGTTAAAATGTATTTTTAAGGCTGGCATTTTCTTCTTATACTTAAGGTTAAATTGTATTCATTTGTCAATATATAAATGCCATCTAGATTTTAATTATAAATGAAAGCTATTAAAATTAATTCCTAAGGAATTTTATTATAGAGTACATTGTCTATATTGGATAGATAAAGCATAGTTCTTAGACAATTTGCTGGAAAATACATAGCTCTGAAATCAGTGGCTAACACTTATCCTACAGCCTTGCTTTCTAAGCTTTTGCTTCTCTTCTTCCTGGGATCTGAGGGGCAGGTCACAGTTCAGAGTCCCTCACCGCAGCAGAGACCCACCCATAGAGAGTTTCTAGGACCTTAGGAACTCACTAAGGCAGAGTAAATGCTCTCTGGCTTCCTGATCCAAGCTCCTCTTTCCCTGGGTCTGCAAGAACAGGCAGAGCTCTTTCTCCTAAATATGTCCCTTTCTCCTAAAAGAGCCTCTTTCTAAGTAGAGGAGAGCAAACATCTTCACAGCCCTGGAAACTGCTCCTGCTTGATGTCTGGGTTGCTTCCAAGCCCCTCATGTTTGCTTATGTAGCTCTGGGTCTGCATCAGGAGGTACTTTGTCACCAGTGCAGCTGATAGCTATCCTCCTAAGTGGCAATATCACCCACCAAACTCTAGGGAAACATTTTTTTTTAAATGTATTTACAATCTCCTTATTACAGAACTAAAAAAAAGGATGCTAAAATGTACTCCATTCTTAACTGTGTATCAGATGATGTGCAGTTTACTACTGTCAACATTTTTTGTATTCAATTCTCAAAACAACTCACTCAGTGAAGTATTATTATGCCCATTTTATAGATGAAGAAGAGCTCAGAAGAATAAGTAGCTTGTTGACTTCTCAGCTGCTTCAAACCCTGATTTTTCTTTTCCTGAAGTCCATACTCCTTTCAATAAAATATGCTGCTGACATAGAATAACAGAAGCTAGTCCATTTCTTCTTTCTGTTAGGTCAAATCATACAGACATGCACTAAAGAGAGCCATCTGAGGGGGTGTAAGTAGAGAACCAGCCTTCTCTTAGCAAAGCATAACTACCAGCATGGAAGGCTTCAGCTAACACCCCACAGCCCTCCCAAAACACAGGCCACATAGTCATGTATGTAAATGAGTCATAGCCCTGAACATATCCTATGTCCCAAAAGTGAATGCACAAACTCTAATGACGACCTAGGTTTCACTTATTTTCAGAGGAGAAATTTTCCTTGCCTCCAGTCATATTCTTTGTTCCATGAACTGTTAAATTTCACATAAAAGCTTCTCTGAAACGCTTTGCAACAGGCATATTATATTTTTGATTTTTATTTCTTTTTACAGTACTATTTTTAATAGAAGCAACTGGGGAAGGTAGGTAGTAGAATACATTAGCACACAAGCATGCTATTTTATCTAAATCAAGAGAGGATTTATTTTTATTATTATTTTATATAACATTTTACTGACTTTTTTCAGATAGATTAAATCTAAGGAATCACTTAATAATAGGATACCCATGTAAAAATGTGAATTTCAGTAATTGTTAGGCTAGCATGTGCTAACTAATCTTTATCAAGAGATCTTGTTTAATCAAACGATTGTGTTCTTAGCACCACAGACGCTAAAATGTATTTAGCACCATACATTCTAACTAGTGTTTAAAAGCAAAAATAACATGCATAATATAAATTTTGATCTTTCAAATACCGCTGAGATTCTCTAGTATTCTAAAATTAGAGATAATATTCATTGTGATATTTGGTTTCCCTTAAGTGTAAAATAGTTGAGTATTATTCTGTGGTCTAATATTTGCTTATGACGTATCAATGGTTTAAAAATGGTACAGTTTTCAATTCAACAAAATATCTAACCCTCCAGAAGGGGCCTAGGGAGATGAGCAAGTGAAATCGCCCATTAGTAGTAGAATATTTTTCATGTCTCTGATATATGATCAACCAACATCAACTAACATCTGCTAACATACTTCCCATGATGATAAGCTCACTGCTTCCAGAGATAATATATTCTATCACTGAGACACTCAAGTTGTTGAAAACTTATTTTGTTGGGTCAAAAGTATGTCACCTAGGTTTGAATCTCACTATATCAATTATTGGCAGTGTCACCTTGTGCAAATCATTTCATCAGTCTGAATTTCACTTCTTCATATGGAAAACAGCTATAATAAATAATATCTACTTCAATATTATTGGGAGGCTGTAATTAATAAGGAAGTAGTTAACTATATTCCTGGTACATAGCAGATCTTAACAGATGACTTTTTTTTTCCTTGGACTTCTCTTTTCTTTTCCATCTATTATTTTCTTAAAAGAAAAATTTTTCCAAACTATGGATAATGATTTCATATTTCCAGTATATATAAGTGTCTTGAGGATAGGAATGATGCTTACTTGATAGAATATACCCCTTGCACATTCACAATAAAGCTAGAAACCACTTGCAAATGTCTTCTTTGTAGACACTTAAAAAATACTAATTGTATGGTTTACATATAATTGTTAGCGCATTTTCTAAAATCTACCATTAGTGACCTCATACCGGCAACAGAAGAAGAAGTAAAAGTAATTGGAAGTAATTTGTAAGATAAATAGTAGATTTTTATAAGTCATAGATCATCATAAAGATGGTTTTTAGATACAAATTTATTTGCCCAAAATATAATGAAGAATTAAGTGACCAGTGTAGGGCACTTACCCATGAGAAAAACTTTGTATCTGTTATTGGTTGATTCTATGGTCTTCTGTTCTAATAGCAAAGGAATTGTCATCCACTAGTGTTTTTGATACTGAAGTGTAAACTTCCAGGGAGTTAGGAAATTAAATATTTTATAATTAAATATCACATATAGGAATATATCCTAAGGAAGCAATTGAACAGGAGCAAAAAATGCACATATAAAGATATTCATTTCAGCATTGTTTATGGTTGTTTAAAAAATAGAATCAAATCAAATGACCATTAATAGAAAATTTAAAAAAGAAATTACACTAATTCCTGATGATAAAATGTTAAACACCTAATTTAAAATGACATTGTATCTATATATATTACCACAGAAATATAGCCATAATTTGTTACTAAATGAAAGCAGCAGATAATAAAGTAAGATATTAGCCCATTTTTGAATACACATACATGCAAAAAAAATCTGAAAGGACATATGCAAAAAGTCTAACAGTGGATATCTCTGAGTAAGATTATCAGTGGTTTTTATTTTCTGCTCTCTCTTTTTCTAAATTTTCTAAGCTTTTAACAGTGAGTATACATTAATTTTATTTTCATTGTCTAAATTATTTAATAAAGAAGTATATCCAAATTTAGTAAACAAATATAATGGTAAGCAAATAAAATATTTATATGGACGTATATGTACATATATATACATTCATAGGTGAAGCACAAAACTTTATAGGTATCAATGCTGAAAATAAGGTAAAATTTCCTAAGTGAATACTGTTTGTGAATATATGATTACATCTTTTTATCAGTTTTGAGTCAAAATAGTTGTGTTTCAGTGGTTTCAGAAAAGGGAGTCATTGGACTTGTTTTTATTTTTATTTTTAATAAACCCCTGGTCAAAATAATATGTTCTTTTGTTTATGTTCTTGTTGTATGTATATCCTAGTGACTTTCTAGTCTTCGTCTATGTGCACATTCAATTTTTATGTATTAATAATTTTATGGATAAAAGTTTTGCAATCTTCACTTTCACATACCATTTTACCAAATTCTATTTTGCTTCCTTTTTTCTTACTCCTTTTTTTACCCTTCTTGTAAATGTTCAATGTTAGTGTGGTGTATATGCTTCCACTCATTTCTCCAATTTCATTCAATCACATACAGATAGAAGATAAATAAATCAATATAGATAGATAGATAGATTGACAAATATTGTTTGTATTTTAAGAACATGAAATCATGCCATATACAGTTCTCTGACACTCATTCTTCTCATTTAACAATAAATCATAGCTGTACCTTACTTTACTTTAGTAAAGTAAATAACTTATGAAACAAAATTGCATTCGTGAACTTCATTGTCAAAGAGGAAAAGAGCTCAGAGATCTGATTGCTACTCCTCCGTCTGCACCAACTTACTGTATGACTTAAAAAAACAACCCCTTAGAATAACCCTCAATTTCCTCATTTGAAAATGAAACAGTAGGGCTAGATCTTTTCCAGCTCTATAATTCCATGGCTCATACTTTTATCTTCTGTTTTATGAGTTATGCTTTGGTAGAATGTCCTCCTTTAAAGCTTTTCAAATCTCAATTTTGTAAAGACAAATGACCAATAAATCTCAAGTATTTCAATGAGGTTCTTCTAGGGATATTGCCAGATCATCATTTTACAATGTTTTTTAAATATATTAAATATATTAATATAACAAATACATAATGTAAGTGATATGTGTCTGTAAGATAGATAAGTTCTTTACTATAAGCAAAAGTGACTTTCACCTAAGTGTCTCAACTCTCTTAATTAACCTTACGCTGATTTGTAGGAGACTTACATGACTAGCTGCAATTATGTGCTCATTAGTGATACAAATGGTAAGAAGAGTTTCTCTTATTATACTTAGCTTGCTTCTTGGCTCCACTAAGCTTTTTATAAGAATTTATGTGACAAACAAGTAGTTAGCCTTTTGATGGTATATACTTTTCATGAGGTTGCAGATCCCGGCCAGATGCTCACAATTGCCCATTTCTTGCCCACTGACTTGGCTTGATCAAGATTTAATCAGACATCTCTCCTCCCCACAGGCTCCTGACTTTTGGCTTGCCCCAAATCTGAGCAAACACTAAAATGTAAACATCCCACTGTGTTAGGCTGTTCTTGCCTTACTATAAAGAAATACCTGAGACTGAGTGATTTATAAAGAAAAGAGGTTTAATTGGCTCACGGTTCTGCAGGCTTTACAGGAAGCATGTTCCTGGCATCTGCTCGCGTTCTAGGGAAGCCTCAGAAAGCTTACAATCATGGTAGAGGGTGTCAAAGCGGGAGCAGGCACTTTGTATAGCAAATGTAGGAGCAAGCGAGAGAGGGGGGAGGTACCAAACACTTTTAAGCAACTAGATTTTGTGAGAACTCACTCACTGTCATGAGAATAGCACCAAGGGGATGATGGTAAACCATTCATGAGAAATCCACTCCCATGATCCAGTAACCTCCCACCAGGCCCCACCTCCAACACTGAGGATTACAATTCAATGTGAAACTGAACAATACACTAGGGAACAAAAACACTAGCTATATCACCCTACCTTAACAGTTCATTCCAAATTAGCTGATCACAGCAACATTTCCTGTTATATCATCCCCATCATGATGTCTGCTTAGCTCCGCCCTGTCACTCAATTTTACCTCTAAGTTTCTGCTAGTTCTGTTTAGCCGTCCCTATAAAAGAAAAACCTTTTTGATTGATTTTTGAGTGGCTTGAAAATCCTAAGGGAGGAACATTCTCCAGGTTGATGTAGTTTTTTTACGTCTCACCGTGTCTAAGTCTGGATTTGTTTTATTGACGGTACAAAAAGTTCTTAGTCTTCCTTTGGTTCACCTTCTAACTTCTCACCCAATTACCCTTTCCCTTTTAGTATTAATCATACCACAAAGGACATTTCCACGGTTTTATCTCTCAAAGATGATACTCACTGGTTTTCTCTGCTGTAGCCATCAATTAGGAAAATGAATACGTTTGTCCGTGTGACATGTGTATTATATTCCTATGATAATCAGAACTGTAGATGTGATATAATTATATATGTAAGATATATACCCTAGACAATATACACATTGATTCTTGTGTCAACTTCTGATATAATTCTGTATCAAACAAGAATTTCCATAGAAAATTCCACTATTATCTCTTTGGATCACACCAAATGTGCACAATCATAAAACATACGTGAAATACCAGGGCTCATTTTAACACAAGCAAATGTTGTATAATACCAAATACCTATCATCTACTGTTACTGACACATGAAATGGTTGTGATAGTGATGTCAAACTTTTATTATAAGAATAAAAGAAAGAAAACAGGACTCTATTACCCTGTGCACTTACAGCAGAAATTTCTTCTCTGGAAGCTACTCAAGAGATTAAATAGATCATTTGCACCTGGTATACTATTGTTAGTTCTTTCAATGGACTAAATGCTCATGTTCCTTAGAATGGACTCTGTATGTTTATACTCTGCCTATCTTCAAAACAGATTTGAGGAGGCTTATAAAAAAAGATATAATTACAGTAAAATAAAAATCCATTGAAACGGTAGTAAAAGGTATGAACTAGATAGTATAAAAGGAAAAATGTAAAAAGGAGAACAAAGAAAATAATCCATGTATTAGGGTTCTCTAGAGGGACAGAACTAATAGGATGGATGGGGAGTTTATTAAGGAATATTGACTCACATGATCACAAGGTGAAGTCCCACAATATGCTGTCTGCAAGCTGAGAAGCGAGGAAGCCAGTCCAAGTCCCAAAATCTCAGAAGTACGGAAGCCGACAGTGCAGCCTTCAGTCTGTGGCCGAAGGCCCAAGAGCCCCTAGCAAATCACTGGTGTAACTCCAAGAGTCCAAAGCTGAAGAACCTGGAGTCTGTTGTTTCAGGGCAGGAAGCATTCAGCACAGGAGACAGATGAAGGCCGGAAGACTCAGCAAGTCTGCCCATTCCACTTTATTCTGCCTGCTTTTTTGTAGCCACGCTGGCAGCTGATTAGATCGTGCCCACCCAGATTGAGGGTGATCTGCCTCTCCCAGTCCACTGACTCAAATGTTACTCTCCTTTGGCAACACCCTCACGGAGACACCCAGAAACAATACTTTGCATCCTTCAGTCCAATCAAATTGACATTCAGTATTAACAATCACATTTTAGAAAACCCAAATTAAGAAAAATGACTACAACTAAGACTACAACTTGACTCTGAGCTTCTTGATAATCAAGACAAAAGTGGGCTATAGAACTGTCATTATAATATTATATAATATTATATTGATAACAATATTATCAAGGCGTGTAGAGAAAGAAACTCTTTTCCAGCTTTTAAACTCTAGAAAGAATTTTCCCCATGGGTCATTTTATAAAAACTATATAGCTGTAATAGATTTGGAACAATGCTTTCATTAGAATTCAGGGAAAGGGGGAGTATGCTACCTATGATTTATATATAGCCAGGTATACAGTGATAAGTAGTGCTTCTGTAAAGACTTTTCTACTGGGATTTCTAGCTTTTTCCATGATATAAACACACATTGGTTCTGAAACATCAATGTTGTTTTTCCTTACCCTTTCAGAAAAGGCTCTCTATTTAACCTGTTCTGTGTATCAATTACTTAAGTCCCAGGAATTGAGGGATACTTGATAAAATTACACGCATGACCTAAATTTTTATGTAACAGTAATGTTGGGAGAGCCACTCACCATATGAGAAAGATTATGAGATACAGTGTCAGAAAGTTTAAGTTAAAGGCCCTGGTTTTTCGCTTACCTACTGTATGACCTGGGTTGGTCATTGCTTCATCCTTCTGAGTCTTCATTTCCTTATTCTTTAAAATAACAGTGATGATGTATTAGTCTGTTCTCTCACTGCTATAAAGAAATACCTGAGACTGCGTAATTTTTTCAGAAAATAGGTTTAATTGGCTCATGATTCTCCAGGCTTTATAGGAAGTATAGCGGCATCTGCTTCTGGGGAGGCTTCAGGGAGTTTTTACTCATGACGGAAGGCAAAGCAGAAGCATAGGCATCTTACATGGCAGGACCAGGACCAAGAGAGAGAGAAGGGGGAGGTGCTGCATACTTTTAAACAACCAGATCTCACGAGAGAACTCACTCACTATCGTAAGAACAGCACCAGGAGATGGTGCTATACCATTCATGAAGGACCACCCCCCATGATCCAGTCACCTCCCAGTCGACCCTACCTCCAACACTGGGGATTACAATTTGTCATGAGATTTTGGTGGGGACAAATGAGGTCATTTATATGAAAGCACTTATAAACTGTAAAGCTCCATTAGTTATTATTCTGTTACCTCTCCAGAAAGCTCTTTACTTTTAAATTAGAGGTCAGTGTATTCTTTTTTCTCCATGCAATTGAATACAGTTTATAAGCACTGAATAAAATCATTACTTTATATTCAAACATGGATCATTCACCCTATGGAAAGTTCCTAAAAAAAAAAATTTAAAAAATATATACAGGCATTTCTTCCTGAAAAGTGACCAGTAAAACATGTTTTCTAGTTTATTTTTATATATTAAAGAAAAATTTGTTTATTCTGTGAACAAAATTAATACAGCAGAGTTTTCCCCACTAATAAAAACAGGAACAGAGAAATTCCAGGACAATGAAGTATGACAACGAAGTGCTCACTCATGAGTGCAGAAATACAGCACACTTGGCTATAGTTCAACGTACAGTCAAACGCTTCACAGCTAGTTTGATAAAGTAGGCAGTAAATTATTTTTAAAATGATTACTAACAGCTGGCTGGTTGGGCATATAATGTGGAGTGTGGAAAGCCTGAAGGCAGACAGGCCAGCTATACTGCTGTCAAGGTCATCTAGACCAAAGATTTCCAACCCCCAGACCACAGACCAGTACCAACCAGCCCATGGCCTGTTAGAAACCTGGCTGCATAGCAGGAAGTGAGCAGCAGGTGAGCGAGCATTACCACCGGAGATCTGCATCCTGTCACATCAGCAGCAGCATTAGATTCTCATAGGAGTGCGAACCTTTTTGTGAACTGCATAGACTGTGTGCTCCTTATGAGAATCTAATGCCTGATGATCTGTCACTGTCTCCCATTACCCCCAGATGGGACCATCTAGTTGCAGGAAAACAAGTTCAGGGCTCCCACTGATTCTACGTTGTAGTGAGTTGTATAATTATTTCATTATATGTTACAATGTAATAATAATAGAAATAAAGTGCACAAAAAATGTAATGTGCTTGAATCATCCCAAAACTATCCTCCACCCTGGGCCCTGCCCATGGAAAAATTGTCTTCCATAACACCGGTCCCTGATGCCAAAAAGACTGGGGACTGCTGATTTAGACCCAAGGGAAGTTGCCAACCTAGATTTAAATGGTAGCTGTAGGAAAGGGGAAAAGAATAACTAGGAATTGTAATGTCCACTATTTAGTAATATTTAACCTTTCCTATGTCACCCACTGCTTTGAGTGTCTGATGGAAACTGTGAGGCCAATTCTAGGAAAAATGCAAACATACTTTAAAAGAAAACATTTTACTTTCAATACCTTACACATATACATGTGTATGTATGTGTGTACAGATGAGTATATGCACACACCCATGTCCACTTTGAAGGAAGAAACATGCTTGTAGGCAAAGAAAATGGAACCATTGATGAACAATTATTAATTTAAAAAAGAATTTTTCCAAGTCCCAAGAGTAAGTGCTGCAGACTTTGAATTTCCAGTGTTAGAAGTGTTCTTACCCACTTTCAGTGCTAAAAATATCACCAAAGTTTCTCAGAGAAAGATATAGAGCCTCTGTTCTGTTTGGGAAGATCAAGCATGAGATCAACAACAATTCATATCTCAATAAAAATGAGCCATATTCCAGATTTGGAAAATGATTAAATTGAACATTTCAAAGTATGAGATGTCATATAAGAGAGTTTTGTTTGTTTGTTTGTTTGTTTTTGAGACAGGGTCTCGCTCTGTCATGCTGGCTGGAGTGCAGTGGCACAATCATGGCTCACTGCAACCTCCACCTCCCCAGCTCAAAGGATCCTCCTATCTCAGCCTCCCAAGTAACTGGGATCACAGGCATGGGCCACCACACCCAGCTAATTTTTTGTATTTTTGGTAGAGATGGGGTTTTGCCGTATTATCCAGGCTGGTCTTGAACTTTTGAACTCAAGGAGATCCACCTGCCTTGGCTTCCCAAGGTGCTGGCATTACAGGCATGAGCCACCACTCCTGGCCAAGAGAGTTTTAATGTAAGAAAGTATAAAAGTTTATACAATGTTTAGTGAAGCAAATCTCCCTATAATACCTATTACCTCAGATACCCATTTCTCTTCCCAATAGGCAACCACACAGTGTCAGGTATATCCTTCCAGGGATATTTAACCGAGGTACAAGCAAATATAAAAATATATTTTTCCTCTCTTTATCTCTCATTTTTAAGCTATATAAAAAATGGTAGCATACTCTACATTCTGTTCTTTATCTTGTTTTTTTAACCCATTAATTTAATTTAATAGAGATATTTCCACAGTAGAACATAGAGCACTTTCTGGTATTTAGTTGTGTGAATGTTTTATGTGCCTGCAAAATTTTAAAAAATAATAATAATCCTATTAATATACCTTAATTTATTTAACTATCTCCCTATCAATAACAATGGTTTATATATTTTCTTATTATAAACAATGCTGCAATGAATAACCTTATTTATACATCACATATGAAGGCATATGTGTGATGGATACATTCCCAAAAGTTAAATTGCTGGTTCAGGGATGTTTGTACTTTTGATAAGTATTGCCAAATTGCCCTCCTTAGCAGTTACAATGATTTATACCATCAGCAGCAATATAAGGAAAAGTTTGTTATGTCCTGACCAATATAGCATATTATCAAATTTTTGGAACTTACATATTTGGTAGGTGAAAAGTAGTATCTTTGTGCTGTTTCTTGTATTATGAATAAAATTGAGCTTTTTTTCATATGTTTAAGTTCCATTTGTATTTCCTTTTCTCTGAACTGCCTGTTCAAAATGCCTTGGCCCATTCTGGGAGCTGCTGTTGGTCTATTTCTATTGATGTGAAGGGCAAAGGAGCTCTTTCTTATTAGCCATATAGCCCCATGAATGGATACAAGTTGTAATTATCTTTCCTCAGTTTTTCATTTACTTGCAACTTAACTTACACTGATTTTTACCATGCAAATTTTATTTTATTTTATTTTATTTTGAGATGGAGTCTTCCTCTGTCACCCAGACTGGAGTGCAGTAGCATGATCTTGGCTCACTGCAAGCTCCACCTCCCGGGTTCACGCCATTCTCCTGCCTCAGCCTCCCGAGTAGCTGGGACTACAGGTGCCCGCCACCATGCCTGGCCAATTTTTTTGTATTTTTAGTAGAGACAGGGTTTTACCATGTTAGCCAGGATGGTCTCGATCTCCTGACCTCGTGATCTGCCCACCTCAGCCTCCCAAGGTGCTGGGATTAAAGGCGTGAGCCACCGCACCCGGCCACCATGCAAATTTTTAAAATTACTTTGTAGTTTATTTAATCAAGCCTTTTTTAAATGAATGGTTTCAAAATGTTGTATTATTATTAAAAAGGCCTCCCTCACTTCCAGATTATATAAGAATCTTATTATAATTTCTTCTAGTACTTTTATGGTTTGGGTTTTTCTATATTTGATCTATGTAATTTACTGTTGTATAAGGAATGAGGTATGAATCAAACTTTATTTTTACTAGATGACTATTTAATTGTTCCTGTATTATTGAATGAATTAATAGTCCTTGTCATCCTCACTGATTAGAAATGCTGCTTTTAGGCCGGGCGCAGTGGCTCACACCTGTAATCCCAGCACTTTGGGAGGCCAAGGCAGGCGGATCACAAGGTCAGGAGATCCAGACCATCCTGGCTAACATGGTGAAACCCCGTCTCTACTAAAAATACAAAAAAATTAGCCGGGGGTGGTGGTGGGTGCCTGTAGTCCCAGCTGCTTGGGAGGCTGAGGCAGGAGAATGGTGTGAACCTGGGAGGCGGAGTTTGCAGTGAGCCGACGCCACTGGACTCCAGCCTGGGCAACAGAGCAAGACTCCATCTCAAAAAAAAAAAAAAAAAAAAGAAATGCTACTTTTATTGTATGCTTGATGCCAAATTATATTTTGTTTTTTACTTAATTTCTACTGCATTCCCTTTAGGTATCTGAATTTATTCATATTTACTCATGTGTCAACATCACATGGTTATAATTATTTACCTTTATAATGTGTCTAGGCCAGGCATGGTGGCTTACACCTGTAATCCCAGCACTTTGGGAGGCCAAGGCAGGTGGATTATGAGGTCAGGAGTTCAAGACCAGCCTGGCCAACATGATGAAACCCTGTCTCTACTCAAAATACAAAAATTAGCTGGGTGTGGTGGCATGCACCTTTAATCTCAGCTACTCTGGAGGCTGAGGCAGGAGAATCGATTGAACCTGGGAGGTGGAGGTTGTGGTGAGCCAAGATCGTGCCACTGCACTCCAACCTGGGCGACAGAGCAAGATTCCATCTCAAAAAGTAATAATAATGTGTCTAATATCCATTTTGGGAGCTCATATTCTCCTAACCAGTATGTCCTTGTTGGTACTCCAATACTTTTAAAATATTTGAACACCACTCACCACCACTCTGTTCCTTCAGGGTTTGGAGATGCCTAGTTTATCCCTAGAGGGCATGAGAATGACTGGTTCTATAGATTCATACATCAACTGGAATTTTCTTTCTAGCTAACAGCTATGCTCAAAGACTGAATTCTTAGAAAGAGGCTTTCTGAGTGGGTGGAAGATCCCAGCACACCCCTGGGACTTCAGAGACTGAAATGGCTGGTCTTCATCTGGAAGTTTCTAGAAACTAGGCATTGCTTGGAGAGTTGAGTTGACTGTCATTGTGAAAGGCATCTTTTTGTGTACTTTTTCACAAAAGCCTGTAACCTTTGACTTTTTTCTTGTGATTTTAAAGCCCAGCTAACCTGTAAGAGAGGAATATTTAACTTCTCTATAATGACTAAATGATCTGCTTGAATCTGAGCCATGTCTGTCACTCCCTACAAGGCCACTTCTTCATACTTCCTTACTTTGAAGGAAAATCTTGTTTCTTTGTCGGTGCTTATCAAATCAGCCTCCTATCCTTCCACAGAGATGAGAAGATAAGGACATTATCTTTTTTGATAATCATATTTCAAAAGGATGGTTTCTAGGTCCTTGGAAAGGGCATTTTTAGGATGTAAAATCAGTGAGAGACTGGGAGAAGATTTACATGTCAAAGGGCCAGAGACCTAATTTATAATTGCAAGTTTTGTAAAGTAAATGCTCTAAGAAAAGGGAGGTTAGGAGCCAATAGTCAGGAAGAAACCTGCCTAAAATTTAGTCAAGCTGGGCGGAACATTAACCCATAGCAAATCTATTCATTGGTGACTCATCTAGACTGGAACTACCAGATCTCTAATGAGAATTCACCCTCTTCTCTGAAGGAATCATCTGATCTCTCAGGACACCTCCACATTGTGGATTATTTGTGTCAATCAAGCTGAATTAGAGGAATTCTGCTAAATAGCATGGTTTCATATGATTTCATGTTTATGTATAATACGTATATAGGTCAGAAAATGGTTAGGAGGTGCAGGTACTCATAGAATCTTTCACATGCTATGGTATTTTGTACTAGGTTTAACAAGACTCTCCTACTTCTTAATTATAAAAGATATAGTTAGTTAACTTTTAGGTTGGCACTTATTATGAGCTTGGCACTATTAGTTCATGTAATCCTCATGAATACTCTGTGAGGTAGGTGTTACTCCCACTTTACAGACCATGAAATGGAGGGAAAGTGAGATTAAGAAACTTACCCAAGGTCATTTAAACAGAAGCAGTGAGATTCAAACCCAGTTTGATTCCAGAACCCAAGATCTTAACTTCTGTGTTAAAATGATTTGCTTTCTAATATTTCATGAATCTTTCCAGGGGGTTGGGGACAGTATTTTCTGTTTAGGAATTGTTCAGGAGGTGATATAAAAGAGTCAACTGCAAGATGCTGGAACTTAGCTTGCCTCCTTGTTTCTGAGCCTGTATACAGAAACAGAGATTGCAGAGGCTTCAGGACCTGAATACTACTGTGGCAGCCACTTAGCAAAGAATCTCATAATGTTCTGTTCTATGAATTCGTAATCAGATATTTTCCATAAAACACTGTGAAAGAATTCAATAAAGACACCTAGGGAAATTAAAATAAGCCATTTAATTCCATAATAATTCAGAGGACTTAGGGAGAAATGTCAATCAAGGTCAGGGAAACAGAAGAATCCTAGGAGAGAAAAGGTGAGAAAAATGACTTTTTTTAAATTCAAAAAGCAGAAGTTAGAAGGAGAGCATCTTTTCATCCAAGAAGCTTTGAAACTTTCATATTAGCATCCTGGTGTTAATATGGCCTCTAGAGTATGGTGCTAGATAGTCCCCTCACATCCTTGGAATCTGTGTACCCATGGTAGGACATTCTCACAAAGAGAATGTCTTCTTTTTCATGAGCCCTAATCTCTGTGCCCTTGTCTTAACATTGGGCTTAGAAGATAGCCTATATAGTGAAAAGATTATAGATTGGGTTTTAATTGAAGATTCATTACTTACTAGATGAGGCATCTTGGACAAGACACTTATTCACTCTGAGCCTCAGTTTCTTCATCTGTATAAGGGGAATAATACAACCTCTTTTTAGATTTGTTATAAGGATTGGAGGTAATCCCTAAAATGGGACACTTACACAGTAGTCACTCAACAACTTACATATATTAGTATGCTTTGGCAAGCTTCTTCTAGTTATTTCAGCTCAAAGGCCAAAGAGATGGAGACAAGGGATCAGTTATATTTTCTGGGGCCAAAAAAAAACTGAAAGAGATTGAGAAAAGGGACCAGGTCTATTCAAAATGCTGCCTCTGGACTTTGCTGGTGGAATGTGATGAACAAAAAAGATCACATAGGCAAGGAAAGGAAAAGCCAATATAAGGTTATAATTAGTATTGGGTCCAACTTAAGGAAGCTGAGGATCTTAAGAGGAGGTAGGAAACATAATGGAACATCCAGGCAGTCAGAATGAACAGGAACCAGATTTTGAGAAAACATTTCCATGGGTATTGGGGCTTAGCTTTAGGGCAAGACACCATTCACCAGGGAGGAGGACTAGCAACTTCAAGGCAACTAGATTTCAAGGAAATTTAGCAGGTTCTCAGAATAGGAACTCAGAAGAAGCCTTTTTATGAGATTGGCACACATGAGTGACTTTAAGTCGTGTTGTTCAGGGGGAGGAGTGAATGAAAGGGACAGAAACATGAAAATGGAGAGGTTAACGTACATTTTTTAGTGCTGTAACAGAGAGGCCCAAAATAATAGTGGCTTAAACAAGATAAAAATTTGCTTATCTCTCACATTGAAGTCTGAGTCATTGGTCCAAGGTGATATGTTGGCTCCAAAATCATCAGGGCCCATGTTATTTTTGTCCTGCTCTTCTGCCACCTTTAACACACAGCTTCCATCTTTGACCCAATAAAATGTCTTCAGCTATGTCCATCCATCCATATTTCAGACAATAGACAGGGGATGAGGACTGCATCTTCATTTTCAGGGCATGACCCAAAGTTGCGTAGCTCATTCCTCCTCACATACCATTGATCAGAACTTAGTCACACGGCCACGCCAAGCTGCAAAGGAAGCTAAGAGATGTAGTCTTTGGCTGGACAGCCATATGCCTATCAAAAATTCTAGTATGAAAATTCAGTTATGAAATCCTGGAAGGCATGATGTTGTATCAAACTATGCCTTCTTAAAAGAGACAAGACAGGGCCTTGTCAGATCCTATATTTTCACCAATATTTAAGGGGAAACCCACAGATCTCTACTAAGATTTTGGACTCCATCAAACTTCCTGTACTGTTGGTTTTTTCCTACTCAGTTAAGTGACAGCAAAGCTCATGTGTAAAATACATGCTACTTTATATACTGAAGCTTCAAAATCAACTAGAAAAGAAAATTATAGATTTTTTTAAAAAAAGAAATGTGTATTTACAACTTTCTAGTAAAAACTAAAGTAAAACTAAATGTTTATAACGTTTTAACAAATAAAAGAAATGATTTAATAAAGCTTGCAGGATAGCAATTATTAGCCACATGCTACAAATGTTATTCTCTCATTAAGACCTTGTAATATGCCCAGGGTCCCAGGGTGTATGACTCCATTTTCATACTGCTATGAAGAAATACCTGAGTATTTCATACTGCTATGAAGAATTATGTGGGTAATTTATAAAGAAAAAGAGGTTTAATGGACTCACAGTTCCACATAGCTGGGGAGGCCTCACAATCATGACAGAAGGCAAACGAAGTGCAAAGGCACATCTTACATGGTGGCAGGCAAGAGAGCATGTGCAGGGAAACTGCCCTTTATAAAACCATCAGATCTCGTGAGACTTATTCACTATCATGAGAACAGCATGGGAAAATCCTGCCCTCATGATTCAATTACCTCCCTCCAGGGCCCTCCCTTGA
The DNA here is from genome assembly GCF_000001405.40 of Homo sapiens. Classification (NCBI taxonomy): domain Eukaryota; kingdom Metazoa; phylum Chordata; class Mammalia; order Primates; family Hominidae; genus Homo; species Homo sapiens. The sequence continues at coordinate 99,215,999 of NC_000012.12, read as the reverse complement.
CACATGGGGATTATGGGAGCTACAATTCAAGATGAGGACACAGCCAAACCATTTCATTCCACCCCTGGCCCCTTCCAAATCTCTTGTCCTCACATTTCATAACCATTTTGCCTTCCCAACAGTTCCCCAAAGTCTTAACTCATTTTAGCATTAACTCAAAAGTCCACAGTCCAAAGTCTCATCTGAGACAAGCCAAGTCTCTTCTGCCCATGAGCCCATAAAATCAAAGCAAGTTAGTTACTTCCTAGGTATAATGAGGGTACAGGCATTGGGTAAATACACCTGTTCCAAATTGGAGAAATTGGCCAAAACAAGGGGGCTACAGGCCCCATGCAAGTCCAAAATCCAATAGGGCGGTCATTAAACCTTAAAGTTCAAAAATGATCTCCTTTGACTGCATGTCTCATATCTAGGGCACACTGATACAAGAGGTGGGCTCCCATGGCCTTGGGCAGCTCCAGCCCTATGACTTTGCAGGATACAGTGCCGCTCCCAGCTGCTTTCACAGGCTGGTGTTGAATGTCTGTGGGTTTTCCAGACACACGGTACAAGCTGTCAGTGGCTCTACCTCTCTGAGGTCTGGAGGAGGGTGGCCCTCTTCTCACAGCTCCACTTGTCAGTGCCCCAGTAGGGACTCTGTGTGGGGGATCTGACCCCACATTTCCCTTCCAGACTGCCCTAGCAGAAGTTCCCCATGAGGGCTTTGCCCCGGCAGCACACCTCTGCCTGGACATCCAAGTATTTCCGTAAATCCTCTGAAATTTAGAAGGAGGTTCCCAAAACTCAATTCTTGACTTCTGTGCACCTGCAGGCCCAACACCACATGTAAGCCACAAAGGCTTGGGGATTGCACCCTCTGAAGCAATAGCCTGCTTCCCTTTTAAACGTAAGTTCCAATTCCAAACCATATCTTTGTGAATGAATAAAACTGAATGCTTTTAAGAGCTCCAAAGTCACCTCTTGAATGCTTTGCTGCTTAGAAATTTCTTCCACCAGGTACCCTAATCCTTTCTCTCAAATTCAAAGTTCCGTAGATCTCTAGGACAGGGGCAAAATGCCACTAGTCTCTTTGCTAAAGCATAGCAAGGCTCACCTTTGCTCCAGTTCCTAATAAGTTCTTCATCTCCATCTGAGACCACCTCAGCCTGGACTTTTTGGTCAAAACCATTCAACAAGTCTCTAGGAAGCTCTAAACTTTACCACATCTTCCTGTCTTTTCTGAGCCCTCCAAAGTGTTCCAACCTCTGCCTGTTACCCAGCTCCAAAGTGTCTTCCACATTTTTAGGTGTCTTAATAGCAGTACCCCACTCTACTGGTACCAGTTTACTCTTATTAGCCCATTTTCATACTGCTATGAGACTGGGTAATTTATAAAGCAAAAGAGGTTTCATGGACTCACAGTTCCACACGCCACAGGAGGCCTCACAATCATGGCAGAAGGCAAAGGAGAAGCAAAGGCATGTCTTACGTGATGGCAGGCAAGAAAGCATGTGCAGGGGAACTGCCCCTTATAAAACCATCAGATCTCGTGAGATTTATTAACTACCATGAGAACAGCACGGGAAAAACTGCCCCCATGATTCAATTACCTCCTACTGGGTCCCTCCCATGACACATGGGGATTATGGGAGCTACAATTCAAATGAGATTTGGGTGGGGACACAGCCAAACCATATCACAAGGCTAATAAGAAATGAAACCTAAATTTAAACCCAAGCCAATCTGATGTAAAAGTATAAGTTATTTCCCATGTACGCTTAAACTTTTTTTAAACTACATCAGAGGAAAACATCAATTTAACTATTACATAAGCTAGAATTTTTATATCATATATAGTGAAAGAGTGCTAACATATTATTTAGACAGATTTTTTTTTTTGAATCTTATGCCATTCTTGGGCACACATAAAAAAATAAGTAATGTAAATTGGTTCAAATTTTTCTAAAACTTCTTCTGGGTCCAAATCTGAATCTTCTGAGTAGACTCAATTTTCGCTCGGTCATTGAGGCCCAAGTTTTTCCACACAGTATTGTCCTCTGTGCCACCAACAGCTTTGATGTGAAGCATTCCCTAAAATCCTATGAAAAACTAAATTAGGTGAGCTTTGTAATTACATAGAGCTAGCCTACCCCTGCTCCTGCTTATTCTGCAAATGTTATTGCTGGTGTATTTGATACTCAGGTGAAGGCAGAAACAACTATGATGACTGCTATTTGGCAAATAATGGTTCTACCACTGTCTATGTAAGCCACATTCCCATTACAGAATGTTAAGATGAAAAATAAATGGGCATGTTAGAACTGGTGAAATAATATTTCTATTTGATTCATTAACCATACTCAAGGGAAGGCCTTGGCACTTGCAAATAGTTCAGCTCTCTGAGTATAAAGAGCTCCTTTCCCGCTCTCCATATACACATCCCCATTATGGACCTCAAGGCTCAGAAAACCTTTCTTTGTAAGTACTTCAAAGGTAATCTGCTTTAGACACGTCTGAGTGGACTTCTCCCCAAATTTTCAATTAGCAAGTCTGACAGTAAGGTTTCTACTCTTCCCCAGTGCTGCTAGACTTCGGGAGTTGCCACAATTTCTACTTACAGGCCTATGAGACAGACTTAAGGGAAGATGAAGGGGGAATGCAGGCAGGTGAGTGATGAGCAATGTTTGAAATAAAGCAGTTTGTGCTGAAAAGTGGTAAAAACAAGCTGCTGAAATGACCCGCTGCCAGGCTTCCAGCACCTCCTGGGAGCTGTGCTCTGGGTAGAGAGAAGCAGGCCGTGCGGATGCTGAAATGACGCTATAGCCATCAAAAATCCTGTTAGACAAAGCAGGTCACTGGCAGGTGTAATTGGGCTTTTGTGAAGCTGCAGGAGTGGAAATGAACCTCAGAGACAAAGACAGAGAAATAGCAGAAACTTCCATAGAAACTGTGAAGCAATTCAAAGAAGGAATGTGGGATGGTAGGAAAAAAGCTAGATTTGGAGCCAGACTGACCTAGGTGTGAATCCTGACGCTGGTACTCACTTTACATTCAACTCTGGGAAAGGACCTTCATCTTTGAACATTGTTTGTTTCCTCTAAAAATGAGATAGGCATCATCAGTATGTCACTAGGAGAACTAGGGATATGAATGTGAAGTGATTTAGCACAAGCGTAGGCACTCTGTAAATAGAGCACACTAATATTATTCAATGACATCTGCCTATAGCAGGGAAGTCTCAAGGTATACAAGTCCAGCTCTAGGCCTGCAAGTGTTGAAGAGACCCCAGAGCCCTCATTTCTTGAAACCTGGAAATTGTCTTTGACCCTCAAAAATGATAAGTTAGTATAAATGTTATATTTGGCTTACAAAGAAACCATCAATGCAAAGACCACAATAAGTAAAAATTAATATTCATTCAATGAACATTTATTGAGTACCCATAATACAGTAGGCACTGGTATAGGTCCAGCAGATTGAACAAACATGGACCAGACAAGAAAGAAAATGCAATGCTGTGACAAAGCAGTGTTAGCAGAGTTCAGGGGAGGGAAATACTTCTGTCAGCTGGCAAGGTCAGAGTATGTTTGCATAGGGGGAAAGTCAGCTGTTGGAATTTGATGCCTAGCTAGGCTTTTGACTTACAAGTGAAAAAAAAAAAATCTCTACACGTGTAAAGGCATGGAAAAGTACGAAAAAAATTATAGAAGATTGTTGGTTGGAATTTGAAATAATAGGACTGACACATGGAAATATAAGTTTGAGCCAAACCATGGCAAACTTTTAACTCCCAGGCTACCTTTTTTAGGCGATAACCCTAGTGAAGGTTTGGGGCCAAAGGAGTGATACCATCTGAGCAGTGTTTGGGAAGAATTAATCTGGCAGCAGCACGGAAGTACTGTAGCCGCCCAAGTGTGCAAATGCCACATTAGACAAAATCAGTATGCAGAATGGACTTTTTTCCTTTTCTGTTTGCTTGTTTTTCCCTGTAGCACAGTGCTCTACATTGTACTTTGTGGCAGATTGAATTGCCTGGGAACTACTGAGAGAGCTAGCATTCTGCCTTGGGCCTTCTTAGGAAGATGTGCGCTGGGGTGAATATTTCTTGTCACTTCACCAAGAGGTTTGGGGTTTTCCTGGAAGGAAAGAAACTGTCTGCTTGGGTTGCTAATCCCCCAGGAAAAGAAGAATAACAAGGCAAAGGAGCTCCAGGTCTCCTCTGGCCACAGGCTATAATTCTAGCTCAATACCACTTCAATGGGCCAGTCCACAAAAATTAGCATGGCTTGCCCTCCACTTGATGTCATGTGTTCAACATCATTCTTGTGTTTCACACAGCTTTAATCCAAAGAGGAGAATGATCAAGTAGTAGGCAGAACTGGAGCGGGTCCTTCCTGGTGTCAAAAGACAAAATTATAACAAATTCAGTTTAAAAATTGTATTTGACTTTTGTTTGCAATGCTAGGATGAGGTAATACTACATTTTATAAAGTAGAATCAGTGTTCCCATGAGCTAAGCAAGAGGAGATGGGTTTATAGACAGAAAAGAGTTGAGGAAAGCAGAAATAGATGACAAAAAGCAGACTGGTTGTTTTAAAGTTACTTTCCTTCTAAAGGTTAAAGCAGAGGGGACTTCCTAATCCTGCCAGCTAAAACTGGCTTGTTTGGGGATTTGGCCATTATCTCTCACTCTCCTGGTTTCTTGGAAGGTCAGATAAACAACTTACTTTCGGCTTGGTGATGTGGCACCTTAGCATGACTGACTCCATTTTAATTGGGTCTGTTGGGCCTAGTTCAGGAGCTCAGTGCTAGCCAATGGCTTCCTATACATTTTCTTTAACAATTTCCCCCTTTTGGTCATGCTCCCCCAGGGGCATTAGCCCTAAGTTACCACCATTCTGGGTTTCTGAAGTCAACATGCCATTCATAGCTTATAGTGTCCTCATAATCATGCATTTCTTTGAGTTTTTGCCATTCTATTAGGTTGGTGCAAAATAATTGTGGTTTTTGCCATTGCTTTTAATGGCAAAAACCGTGATTAGTGTTATACACCGACTGAATAGCTGAATAGAGACCATTTGAAGTTTGAGAGATGGCTGCATGCAAACATTTAAAACTTTTGAGGGAATGCAGTATACCAGGGAGACTGCTATTATCCTCACAAATAGTTTCTGAATTTTGGCGATAATGCCAAGGATATTAGGAATGCCAAGAGTTTGGAGTATGCACCTTAGCCAGGGTCTTAATGAACCAAACCAACTAAAATTGAATAGAACAAAGAATGAGCCAGAAAAGGAATCTACCCATTTTAACCAAGTAGCCAATTTGCTAACTTTTTGCAATGGAGTCTCTACAATACTTTCTATATTTATACATGTGCAATAAGAAGTGTCAGCAAGGCAGGGAGTAAAAACATGTGAGTCTAGAAGTTTTACCCTATAAAAGGGAACACTAGTACAATTTGAACAGCAATTGCATTAGGGATATTGCCAAAGTTACCCACTGGGTGGACTAAAGGATCCCTTAGGTTTTGTAAAGATCTGGGTTTGACATGACCAATCTGATTTAATTTTGTAAGTTACTTGAAGAAGCTACTGATTATAAAATTACTACAAGTCTATCCTGCTGAGCAAAAAATGGTAGGCATAAATAAGAAAAAAATTAAGAGGGCTAAGAGTTTCATTATGATACAGAGTCTTGTTTTGGCATCTGGGCACAAGCTGTCTGTAAGAGTTAAAGAAAGAGGAAAGAAACATGACAAGTGGCTCAACTGTCAAAGACAGGGTTTATTTTGGAGAATAAATATTTTGGAGAGGGGCTTCTGGCTGATTTTGGTCAGGAACATTCTCTCTTACAGATTTGGCACCAAATATAAGAGTTAAAGAAAGAGGAAAGAAACACGAAAAGTAGCTCAACAGTCAAAGGTTTATTTTGGAGACTAAACCTGAGAGGGGCTTCTGGCCAATTTTGGTCAGGAGCATTCTCTCTTAGGGACTAAGAGTATTTATTAGTTTTAGGGTGAGAGAGCTTTATCACAGGCTTGGAATGTTTCTGTGTAGGGGAGAAGTTTATGGCAGGGTTGGAATGTCTCTGGTCAGAGGGGAGGTTATCTTGGGGCTAACATCTCTCTGGCCAGAGGGGAGGTTATATGAGGGCTGGCATGTCTCTTGCCGGGAAGGGGTTTGGAATGTTTTTGGTCAGAGATGTTATTTGTGGTTTGTGATCAGGCTGACCTTAGCCATTAGGCTGATGTCCTTTGGATTTAGGCAGTTTTTGATCAAGGTGAACTTTAAAATGACAGTGCTTATCCAAGATGGTGATGCTCCTGCTCTGTCACTGTCCACAACATGAAATCATCAAGTTCTCATCCTTGTTTATAGTTTGAATGTCTCTGGTTACAATATTGGGCATTTTGGTGAACTCTCTGTATGGCCCACACATCAAGCATGAGACTTGTTTCTTGAAATTTATATTGAGTTGTCTAGCTTCATCTTACAGGGCTTAAGAAAGAGAGCAGGTCTTGTTTTCAGAGCCAGATATTGGAGGAAACTAGACAAATTCAGGATCCAGTCCAGTCCACAGGCAGATAGTAAAAACTCAAAAAATAGTTAAAGAGGCTACAATCTAGTAACAGTGGTACTACAGTTTTTCTTCTAAAGCAATTTTTCTCTCTAGAGTCACCCTCATTGTTACAAAAAATGGAGTGAGACTAATTTGTTGGCAAAATAAGTTTAATCTCATCCAACTTGGCCTGATTATTTACATAAATGCAGAAAAAGTAGTGACCACTTGGGCTCTTTCCGAGTTTTGTTTTGCTGGAACCTTTAATAAGGAATCTCAAATTGGACTTTTGAAAACCTCTGGAAGATAGGAAACCAAACCAAGGCAGACTTCAGACTTTACCCACAGTACCTACAGAGTCATTCTATGTGCATTCTCAGGTATGACATCCCAGTCAATGCTTTAGTAATGCAACCAGTATTTCCAATTGTATCATGTTATAAAGAGAGTAATTCTTATTGAATTTATGCAAATAACCATATTGCCATAAAAACAAGAATCCTCACAAATAGTTTCTGAATTCTGGAAAGATCAAATAGAGAGGAAAAAGTAAATGTTTTAACTTTTGTTCACAAAAGTATACTTTACCACATTGCTGAAAGCTATAGATAGGTTTAAAAAAAAGCTTTTCTTAAATCTGTAAAATAAAACATTAAAATAACAAGTAATGTTTCAAATTAAAAAGCCATAAAAAACCATAACTCTTCTTCATCAGTTTTTCAGTCTTACATAAGTAAATCTCGCTCTGCTTGATCTTGGTTGGCAGTTTCATGAAGCCTCCAGTTTCTTCACCAGAGTTCTGGAACTTCTCACCCAGTCCAATGGTATGACCTTAACATTATCAGAAACTTATATATTCAATGTCCCGTAGCATACAACATTTTAGCACAATAACCAGAATTAGGACTGATATATTTCTAGGGATTACATACAATTGTTGGAACACTCCCCATATAATTTAACATATGAAATAAGCCTAACTAGTTTAATATCTCTCTTTTAAAAGGTGAGAGACACGTCCTTTGAGGTTTTCCCAAAGTTAATTCAAGGTCAAGAAGACTTAATTTAGTTTATTTTGGAAAGTTTATAAAAAATGTCAAATGGTTTAAAACATTTGATCAAAATAGGATCACAGATCACTGTGAAGTTATAGTCATTAGTTTAACCAGAGTAATAATTAAAAGACTCTAAAGGCAAATACAGTAAGTTACCTAGTTGTAGGAAAAACTCTTAGCTCTTTAATAGAGAGGATTCAGTTTTCTCAGTCATCAAAGACCTAATAAAGACAATACAAAGCACACAGAATCATCTTGATAAAGTACAGACTCTTTGCTTTCTAGGCAAGTTACCTAAAAAAATAAAGAAAAACTTTTTACTATTTCCTATTAAGAACAGATCAATAATTCCAGAAAACCTTGTGGTTTTAACACAGGAGATCAAATTCTAGTTTTATATCAGTATACTTTTGATATTAATACTCAATTCTTAGAAAAACATATGGATAACATTTTTTCTCATTTTAGCCAGCTTGATCACCCTTATAGAGTTCCTTTCACAAGATTCATCTTCAACAAACTGTCTACAAATTTCTTATTCATTCAGTTGTGTTTTCAATACTTTTTCTACTTTGGAAAAACTAGTCATTCTACTTAGGAGAAAAATTACTCTCTTTCTTCCTTAACAAAAACACATCTTTCATACCTCATAGTTTTATTTAGCAAAAATATTACTTATTTTTCTCATATTTGGAGTTACTTCCTTTATTATTTCTAGTTTTAGCTTTCATATATTAATTGGAATTTTTAACCCTTAGTAAGTTTAACTTCCAGTGGAATCTTAAGAAGTAAGCAATTTTGAGCTGTCTGTCAAAAACATTTTAGGAATACAAATTTTATACTTTCTAGAAACATGTGCTTCCTCATATAACAATTTTTTCATGTTTACTAACAGACTTAAATATGTTGAGCTCTTCTATATGATATAAAAACAAGATATCAAAGTGTATACATTTTAAGCTTATGTTCAGCAATTAATATTTTAATACTTTAGTTTTGTTAAGAATGACTGATATTTCATAAATATCTATTAATTTAACATGACTTTAAGAGTTAAAGTTACTGAAAAAGACTTTTTAAACTATGACAAGTTCAGCTATAAACTTTTATACCATTTACATTTATGTAAATTTACTCATTCTTAACATTCATGCTCGAATTGCTTCTTAAACTACATAGCCATTAAAGTAGTTCAGAAAATCGCACCCCAAAATATGTCACTTTGGTATATTGATTACTTTGAACTGAAGGCACTTAAAGAATAGCACAATGCAAGACAGGGTTTTCTGAATATTCTTCCTTATTTGCCTAAAGACAGATCCAGCAACCAGGGAAGATTAACATTTGTCACAGGAGAGGAAATCTACAAATCCAGACAGACCTTGTCGTAACCATCATTCTTCTAAGAGTCCATTCACCCTAGACAAAGAAAGATGTAGGTGGGAAGCCCAGTTAAGACAAACTCATCAAAGGTCAGGCTTGTTTAGACCAGTACTCTCTCTCACTTTAAGAATTTCTAGTGATTTTTCTTTATAGATGTAAATTTTTTACAAAAAGTTTCCAAATAGCCAGCTAAATGCCAGAAGGGTGTACTTCAGAGACTGATCTAGTTCAATAGGCTATATTTTCCATTTAGCTTGTTTCTTAACTACATTACTGACTCCAGAGTGGAGCCCATTAGAGAATGGGGCAAAGAAAACATTCTCTGTGCCTGGACTCGGTATGGATAGCTCTAAAAAAGAAGCAAACCTGCTTGACCTGAGATCCTAACCTTTAGAAACACTTTAGCTTTCTTTTTACCTTCGGGGTGGAAGAGTAACTAAATGAAAAGGATAGTAGATTTAATTTTTCTTATCAATTAATCATTAAACTTTTCACTTGATTTCTGTAAAACAATCTTTGAAAAGAGCCCATTAAATTTTTTTTTTGAAATCTTTTTAGAAACTTCTGCACATCTGGGTTTGGCCTAATTTGAGAACCCTCATTGATATATGCACATCTTAAATGCAGTGTTGTTCATCTGAAACATGCTATATAATGGCCATTGTCATTCTAAAGTATCTTTAGTAAGATTTGGCCATTTTTGTAAGTATTTGAAGCTTCCGGGGCCTAATAAAGTGTAAAAGGCAAGTGTGGCTGAAAGGTGGAGTGCTCAGTTTTTTTATAAATTAGGAACTATCTTTATATTGAATGTTGAGTCTCTCAGAGTCTAAATCAAAGCCTAAGAGGGAAGTGCCACATTGGGTTATATAATGCTTTCACAGCGTACCTTGTTGAACGGACATTTTCTAGAGGCTGATAGGTGCTACCCTATTTTACATGCAGCTTATCCTTTCATGGTAGTCTTATCTTTTGGTGGTGGGTTGCTCTAATAGCTCTCAAGTGCCCAAATCATGCCCACTGATCAAATTGTGGCTTTGGCACTGAGATGCCTTTGACCAACTTAGCCAATAATTTTCCAGTTTCTGCCTGACCCTGTCAGACACCTGAGGCATGCCTCAACTAAGTGCTCAAGACAAAGCAATTAAGAAGATAGAAACCAAATCTCTACGAATTTTGGAAGCTGGAGTTCTGACTCCCTGCAGTAATAACCACTTACTGCAACTGTTGTCAGTCACCTTTAAAACTGCAGCTCCTGCCAGTAACTCATCAGCCAGCACAAACCCAAAGGTCAAGCACCTTCTCAGAGCACAGACTAACCCTTGGCACCTCAAGGTCAAATGCTCTCTTACAGCACAAAGTAACCCCCAAATGAAAGCTGATAAGCTCCAGAGATTCAGTGCAAAAAGACCGGAGTCCAACCTGAAAGGAACAGACTGGGGCTCCGTGAGGAAGACAGGGGACCTGAAAAGGGCTCAGTAACATCTCTCCTGCGTTCCCCAAGAGGTCTTGGGATTCATCAGCAGTGTCATTTGGGTCCCTTTGTTGGTTGCCAGAATTGTCAAAAGATTAAGTTTCAACAACAACAAAAAAATTTAGTATAAAGATCTTAATAAGCTTTTATTTGCAGTTCTGGACAGGCAGTACCTCATTCTCTAAAATAAAATGACCATTATGATGAGGTGAGCAAGAGGACATTGGTTTATACACAGAAAAGGGCTGAGGAAAGCAAAAATAGAAAACAAAAAGCAGACTGATTGTTTAAATGTTACTTTCCTTGTAAAGGATAAAGTAAAGGGGAATTTCTAATCCTGCCAGCTAAAACTGGCTTGTTTAGAGATTTGGCCATCATCTCGCACTCTCTTGGTTTCTTGGAAGGTCAGAAAAACAACTTAGATTTTGCTTGGTGATGTGGAACTTTAGCATGAGTGACTCCATTTTGGTTTGTTTTTCTTTTTGGGGGGGGCCTGGTACAAGAGCTCAGTGGTATCCAATGGCCTCCTATACATTATCTTTAACACTGATTAAAATAAAATAATGCATCTCCTTTGGGGTAAACATAATCCAGAAGGGTACTCATTTCAACCACAAACATTTCTAAACACTCTCTGTGTGAAAAGAACCTAAGACAACTTTACTGCCCTCAAGAAAATCAAGGGTTAAATTAGAAAAATGGCTTGTATCCAAAGAAAAATAATATAAGACAGTGTGACAGACTTCCACGGGCTACCCTCAATAAGGCTTTAGGAGTTTCTTTGCCTTAGCAACGGCTTATCAAAGTCAAGCACTGTGTCACCTGGTAATGCAAACCCTTCCAGCATCTCTGCCTTTAGGTTTTAGGGGGGAATCGTCAAAACAGACATGCAGCCCACTACAAAGTACTTGAAAGCAATAGGGCACCATTCAAGCACACGCCTGCATTTACTGGGCTACGTTTATTTAGGGCATTCAGGTGGCTGTAATTATTGTGCATAAATAGTTTTCTAAAAAGCATAAAACTAAAAACTTGATCCATGGAAACACAGTGTGGTTTTAGGATGGAGATCGGATTTCACTCACCTCAAAATAACTCCTGGTGTTTGCCTCCAAGACCCATTAATTTATGTTATCTCTTGCTCTGTAGCAGTTTGGATTTGTCACACTTAGCAAAGTAATTTGGTTTCCCACAGGTTTTGTTCTGTTTTATAGAAGCAAGAGAACGGTTTTGTGTTTCAGAGCATGAATACATTCCTTCAGAAATTTAGCCAGCATTTCAGAAGGATATGAATTTTTATTTTTAGCTATTTACACCTGCCTGAAAGGTTGATGCTGCTAAACATTGATATTACTTGAAAAGTTGTGCCCAAGGCATATTGCTTCTTTCCTAGCTAGGAATTGAAATGTTTATGAAGCTTGCTGAAAATTTACCAGGTTACCAAAATAAGAGTTTATATCTCTTATGTAGTGACTAACAGAAATAGATTTATGTATTCAACCAACCGTCCAATATTTATTAAGCCACTAATATATGCATTGAATTATGCTGGATTTGGGGTGACATCAGATTATACAACATACACTTCTCCTGTTCCAGTTCCCTTTTAACATGTTATTACTGGGCACTTACAGAATGACAAAATCACATTAATAAGACTCAGGCCTGACTTCAGATTGTAAACAGTCTAGCTGGTGAAACAAACTCATAAACAAATGCCCAGACATTTTACTACAATATAATAAGTTCCGTGAAAGAGATAAACACAGGATATATTTTAGAATCTCAGAAGCAGGTCTTGGCCGGGTGCAGTGGCTCACGCCTGTAATCCCAGCACTTTGGGAGGCTGAGGCGGGTGGATCACGAGGTCAGGAGATCAAGACCATCCTGGCTAACACAGTGAAACCCCATCTCTACTAAAAGTACAAAAAAATTTGTCGGGCTTGGTGGCGGGCACCTGTAGTCCCAGCTACTTGGGAGGCTGAGACAGGAGAATGGCGTGCACCCGGAGGGCGGAGCTTGCAGTGAGCCAAGATCACACCACTGCACTCCAGCCTGGGCAACAGAGTGAGACTCCGTCTCAAAAAAAAAAAAAAAGAAAGAAGCAGGTCTTAACAGAACCTGAAAGCATCAGGAAAGGCTTCTGGCAGGAGATAAAGCCTGAGCTTGAAGTTTTGAGAAGAAAGACTTCAATAGATGTCAGAAAGTAGAAAAGCTGTCCCAGACAAAGGGCCCAGGATGAGTAAAGGTAAGATGACTTCTAGAAATGAAGTGTTGTTGGAACCATGCAACGCAAAAGAGGTAGGACTCTGATCATGGCCCCTTGGTAAGGAGCTCACCCTACCCTCCTGAAACTCTTTATCAATCTAAAGATCTAATGCAGGTTTACAGATTATTTGAGTCAAGGTAGGTGTAGTTGTTACATTAGAGACCTCCACTGAACCATGCCTGTAAGTATTCACATTCCTGTGTGGTTTCCTCACCTTGAATCTAGGCTGGCTCTTTCACTTGCTTTCACCAATAGAAAGTGGTAGAAGTAATGTATTTTAATTCTGGGGCTAAGCTTTAACAAGTCTTGGAACTCTTGAGAAGTCTGAGGCTCATCCAACTTGCAGAAAGAGAGTGTGGAGAGGATGTAGGACACTTGGAGAGGGAGAAGCCTGAGACTACAGGAATAAAGACAAATACAGATGTCCTAGTGTCCCCAAGTGGCATGACTGGTGGTATACAACCACACCAGTAACCTCAGACAAGACTAACAGAAGAAGCACTTGGCTGAGCCTAGCCCAAATTGTAATATCACAAGGAAATAAAGTGTTTGTTGTTTTAGGTTGATTGTTATACAGCAATAGATAACTGAAACAGAAATGTTATAAAAATGTTATATCAATACTATAGACATGTAGTGGCATAAGAGCTGTCTGTAGGCTGGAGAGATTATTACTTTTCCATTACTATTTTAATCTAACAATGTGTTAGAAAGATGAGAACTTTATCCAAAGAAGTGTTCAGTATAGAATGGAATGCCTCCAAGTTACAAAAGCAACAGTAAACTAACTGCTTGACGTCCAAGTACTGAAATGAGAACTAACCATCATTTCAGCCACATATACTTTCTCTTTTAACAGAGAGATAGGACTTTCTGTGAAGTAGCCAATGTGTGTAAACATCTGAACAGCCACAGAGGGTTTATGGATGGTAGGTCACTGGAGTGAACTCTACAGCATTTTCAGAGGATGAGTAGAAGGGGGCTGCGGGCAACCATCTAAACTGATTCTAAGAATTATGCATTTGTCCTGTTGGATTATTAGCTGATGTATCCAGTTAAGCTAATAGTCCTATTGATTACAAAGTCACAGCAGAAAGGCAGAAGAGGAAATAGAAAGAGAAAGCCGAAGCTTAACAGTCTATTGCCAATTGTCATAGTGTGAAGACATATGCTGACCCTATTTTTATTTGGAATTAGAAGAAGCCAATGTACTCTGTTGAGTTCTTCTAGACTGTGGATTATTTGTAGCTGTAATTAAAATTTTTCTTTTATTTTTGGCTCCTAGCATAGTGCCCTGGTACATGGTACATATATAATAGATGTTAGTTAATATAAATGAATGAATGAATGAATGAATGAAGTCAAATATTACAACCACTTAGCAGTGTTTATTTTACACAGTAGCTCTTAAAAAGTAACTGCTTATTGTGTAACTGGAAATAACCAGCCTAGTTATTTCTTCCCAGTAAAATTTTCAGCATAAACTGTAAAATAAACCTTGCTATCATCCTTTCCTTATCAAAGATTTCACATGATTTGACTTGTAAATGTGTGTTTTCTTTCAGCAAAACATTTACTAAGAAAGACTGTTTACTACTTGGCTTCCTTTGCAGCAAAGGAGAGAGGAGATGTATACATGCAAAATTTATCATGCAAATTGCCTGCACACCTGAAAGCTCACCTAAACCAAGACAGGAGCGTGTTGGCATTACACTAAAATAACTCCATGCTTAAGGACTGGGTCTCTGGAAATTATAATAAATTTATTCAACTGTTCCAGAAATAAGAAGCTTTCTTTAAAAAACTAAATCTATACCCATCATGATAGCTTGAATAATAACACAGTATGTTCCTTAGTAATCATTTTCAAACACATCCACCTACCAGTGAGTTAAGAGTATTTATTCAGTACTCATAGGATACTTGACTGTATCTTCAGTTTCTAGGGTTTTTTTTTTCCACTCAGGAAATAATGTTTTTCAAAGACAGTCTGTCACTGTCATGGACTATTAATACTTATTCTGCTGGCCTGACCACATTCTTTAATCAATGACACCTTACTATGATTCAGAATAAAATCCTACATTCTTATGATGACCTCCTACACCATGCGTGATCAGGCCCTCACCTGCCTCTCTTGCTTATTTCCTGCCACTCTCTCTTCCCTTACTCTGTTGCATGTCAAAGCCCTCCTTATTGCCCTTTGAACATGTCAAGCTCACTGCCACACCAGGGCCATTAACCTGCTGTTCCCACTGCCTGCTACATGCTTCCTCCAGGTAGCCTGTGTCTCCACTTTCTTTCAGATGTCTTCTCAAATGGCACTCCATAGAGAGGCAGTCTCCACTCTATTTCCTTATTCAGCAGTGCCTCTTACCTTTTGATGAGTCACAGATTCTTCTGAGCATTCCCTGGCTCCTTCATACAGTCAAGAAATTCTTGTTGAGTGCATAGGAAAGAAAAAGAGCAAAGACTTCTGCCCTTGTGGAGCTTAGATTTCTTACCTATTTCTAAGAACTGCCTAGAATCTTCATTGTCTTATAGTAAAATTGGTTCTTTTTTATTCTCCAGTGACTTTCCTGAATTTAGACAAGCTAAGGAGATAACACCAGGTTTTGGCTACACCCCCTTAACTTCTGAAACCACCCCTGAAGAGGTCACTAGCTTCCCCACCTATACATAGAGCAATGGAGAACAAAATTATTTCTGTAGCCTAATAAATAGACACTCATAAAATTTAAGTGCCAATGACATGTTACCAGTCATATGATGACAAAAAAATAATAATTTGAAACTATTTTGTCATTCCTGCTTAGAAAGACTAGAATCTGCTACATAGTTCTACTATTAAATTTCAGGATGCTAAAGACAACCATCTAGCCATTCTATCTAAATGGAAGCAGATTTATGGCAAGGCTGCAAAATGCGCTAATTAACCTGTAAACGATGGTAGCAGTAAACCTTAGGCTAGGTATTTATAGATTCATGTGAAATGTTTTCTCAAAATCATAAATATTTTATCTGATTTGAAATTTACCTTATGATGTAGTTCCACTGTAATATGTTACCTTCTCTGAAGAGACTGAACTAAACTAGAATGCAAGTATTTTTCTTCTAGTTGTGCCCCATCTCTCCTTTTTGCAGGAACCACTTTTGTTAGAACTGAAATGTTTCACTTAATTCATCTTCTTAAGAGCATTAACCAGAGTGTATCTGTGTTAACTCAACAGCCTAGGAGCAGTTCTGGCCTGTGCCTGAACAAGTCAGGCTGTTTGCTGTTTCTACACAATTGGCCCTCTCCTGTTCTTCCTTTGCCCTTTTTCATCACTCTCTTCTTCCTACCCCCTTTCTTCTCCCTGCTCCAAGCATCTCTGATGCTTTTGATGAGATGACATCAAGACATTTGCTCTGTGATGGTCACACATAAAGGAGCAAATATAACACACTGAGTACGTGTCCCTCTACAGACTCTCTAAAATAAGAAAAATATGATGAGCCTCAGGAATATCATAGCTGAAGGATGGCAGATAGCTTTTCTACCTTCTATCTCTCTCTCTTTTTCTGTCAGGAAAATAGAGAGGCCCAAAAAGGTATATTTCTTTCCTGAGCCTTATAAGGAGGAGAGTTACAGTGTGTCATGTCTTTCTCATTTTCTAAGGGCACATTGGAAATCTCATCATCCAATTTCAGGTGCCTCAATAGTAGAAAAAAATACAGACACAAGGGAGGAGGAAATGTCACTTATTACCGAGAATTGGCAGTAGAGTAATAAGACTGGCTCTTTATTTTGTTTTTAGTATAAAATCTAAAAGGAGCAGATGTGCCTTGAAGTTATCTTCCTTCTAAGACTCTTGTTTATTGGTTTGGAAGACTAGGGCTGAAAGTGAAAGGATAATAATTGTTTTTAAAAAACCACGGCTAACAACACAGGAAATAGTTTATAGTGACTTTTGTCTATTTTATTCTATAGGCAGAATACTAGTTATCTATTGCTGCATGTTATCTAAAACTAGTTATCTAAAACTGCATGACTTAAGACAGTAATAGACTTTTATTTATTTCTCACAGTTTCTGCAGGTCAGGAATTTGAGAGTGGATCAGCTAAGTAATTATTGTTCAAGGTCTCTTATGAGGTTGTAGTCAAAAAATTGGCCAGGGATGCAGTCATCTGAAAGTTTGTCTGGGGCTGGGGAATCTGCTTTGAAAGTGGCTCACTTAAACAGCTGGCAATTTAGTACTAGCTTTTGCTGGAAGACCTTAGTTTTTCTCTAATGGGCCCCTCCACAGGACCGCTCGAGTGTCCTCACAACATGGTATCTATCATCCCCTAGAAGTAGGAGCAATTCAAAAAAGTAAGGTGGAACCAGCAATTCATTTAAGATCTATCTTCAGAAATCATACATTGTTACTTTTTCAAAATCCCATTGGTCACACAGGTTAGACCTATTCAGTATTGGGAGGGACTACATAAGGGAGTGAATATGAGAAGCCAAGAATCATTTGAGGACCCTCTTGCAGGCTGATTCTATGTAAATGTATTGGCCAGATTCTAGGTGATAATATTAGATGTTATTAATTAATGCCATTAGAGAAGAGACCACATTTTCCAAGTTCATTGATCTTTAGAATTCAATCTAAAGCCTTGTCACATCAAGAAAGATTGATTACAACCAATTTCTTACTCCCAAATTTATCAGTTCAGTTACTGATGTAGAAGGAAGAGTTTAGACAACTAATTTAGACAAGATTTGCTCATAATAAAAATGTACCTGCTATCCTCAAGTTATTTGACAATTGACCTACTACTCGTTGATTTCCAACATTTTTGTGGCAGTAGAAGTTAAATCCCTAGTGCTATATTCATGTTCTCTTTTTAAAATATGCTGGACCTTTTTCAGTTTTCAACTCTTTCTCATTCCTATATAAATCTCAAAGTGAGTAACCAGTGCAATGATTTTTCATGCATACACAAGCAGTTATTAAAATGTACTATGTGCTCAACATGCTTTACCTGTGATATACATTGAGGAATAGGATATAGTCCCTGG
Source organism: Homo sapiens (assembly GCF_000001405.40). Taxonomy (NCBI): domain Eukaryota; kingdom Metazoa; phylum Chordata; class Mammalia; order Primates; family Hominidae; genus Homo; species Homo sapiens. The sequence goes on along the minus strand of NC_000012.12, from coordinate 99,198,233 downwards.
CCTAATATAAATTTACAGTCTGAGACAAATTTCATACAGCACTTTAAATACTATAGCGGAAGAATGCAGAGTGCTGTGTGGCCATAAGAAAAAAGTATTCCTAGGAGTCACATATTCCTAGGAGTGATGCTAAGGAAGGCTTTAGAGAAGGAGTGAAACCTGAGTTATAGTTTGAATAAGGGTAGGGAGTTCACCAAGTGGGCTGGGATTGAGCGGGGTGCATCAGTGTGGAAGATAGATGTGGAAGATAGATATTTTACATGAAATGACCAGAAAGTACAAAATCAAGAAAGCATGACATAGAATGGCCTGTATAATTCTTCTTATTGCTGTGACAAATTACCATAGACTTGGAAGCTTAAACGATAAAAATTTATTATCTTTCAGTTCTGTAATAGATCCAAAGTGAGACAAAAGTCTGATTGAGCTAAAATCAAAATACCAACAGGATTGCATTACTTTCTGTAGGCTTTCAAAAAAAATCCATTTCCTTGCATTTTCCAGCTTCTAAAGGCCACCCACATTTCTTGATTTGTAGCCTCTTCCTCCATTTTTAAAGCCAGCAATGGTGGATGGAGTTCTTTTCACATTGCCATATTTCTGGTTATCTGAATCTGGAAGAGATTCTCTGCTTTTGAGGACTCATGTGATTAGATTGGGCCCACCTAGGTAAACCAGGATGATCTTTCCATTTCAAAGTCCTTAATCTTAATCACATCTGCAGTGTATCTTTTGTCTTGCAAGTTAACATGTTTATACGTTCCTAGGATTAAGGCATGAACATCTTTGGGGGCCACTATTCTGCCTAGCACTGCCTATTCAGAAAAGATCCAAGTGTTTGGCATAGTTAGAAACTGGAGTTCTTGGGAGGGAATGGCGAAAGATGAGGCAAGAAACATGAGCAGAGGCCAATCCAAGAAATTCTAAGAGTGTTGGGCTAAGGAGATTGAATATTACTTTTTATAAAGGATATTTGGTTTTTCATCTTTCCAATATTCCTTACTCTTTTCTGTTATTAATTATCCCTGATTTTCTTTGAAGCACTTACCCTTGGACCTTCCAAGTGCTGTAGTTCTGATCAGGCTACCAATCATAGTACAATATCTCTCCGTTCAGATTGGACCTATGACCCAGGCCCACATTCTTGGCCTTAGCAATTAGGTGTGGTACTGTTAGTCAACCAGAGACTTTCCTTTGGATTTCATACACAGAGAATGGGAGAGAGGATATCTCCCTTGGCTTTGGGGTTGCTAGGTAGGATGATATAAGCCTGGAATTATCTGTGGCCCTGCCCTCTCATCCCTGTCACTGAGAGGAAGCTCTTTTGCTTATGAGATACAACTACCTAAGAGAGAACAGAAGCAAGAAATAGAGATTTGAGGACACAATTTACAATCCCTGGACCCAAAGTTGTCCTTTTCTTTTCATTGGGTCACTAATAAACAGAAAGCTTGGGGGAGGGGAGAGGGATAGCTTTAGGAGATATACCTAATGCTAAATGACGAGTTAATGGGTGCAGCACACCAGCATGGCACATGTATACATATGTAACTATCCTGCACATTGTGCACATGTACCCTAAAACTTAAAGTATAATAATAATAAAATTTAAAAAAAAGAAAAAAAACAAAAACAAACAAAAAAAAACAGAAAGCATCCAGAGCAACTCACCCTCTATGTTCTGTAAGATAAGTCTTTGAAGAGGCAAAAGCAATGGAGTAATGTGGTCAGGATTGCCCTGGTGGTAATTGACAGAATGGCTTGTAGTAAAGACAGCCAGCCATTGCAGTCTTCCAGGTGACAGCTGATGCATGGTTAAATTAGAACTACCAAGCCAAGGGAGCAGAGAATTTTAGCATGGAACATTGAAAAAAGTCAGATGCTTCACAGAGCCAGGAAATAAGAGCAAGTATCCATTTGATTTATCAAAGCAGTGATTATTGGCAACTTAACAAGAGTCCTTTAAATGGACTACTTGGAATTGAACTGTTGGAGACTACAGTAGGTACTTTGAATAATATTTTTATTGTTATGCCTGATTATAAAAGTAATTCCCATTGCAGAATATCCAACAAATGAATAAATAGATGACAAAAATAAAAATCACCAGTAATATTATCAGCAAAAACTACTGTTGACAATTTGACGATTCTCTTCCAGACAACAACATGATTTGGCATTTATTACTTAATATCATATTATTAACTTTTTTAATATTATTAATAATAACTTTTATTGGCTGCATAATATTCCATTATATGTGGATGGTGAATCCTTTAGGTATCTTTGCATATAAATCACATCATAATGGTTAAGTTATGTTAGATTAATTTTTTAAATATTTTCTTGCGCCTTAAATTTTGCACCTCTCAATAAATGCTCGATAATTCTACTTTATCTTTCTTTTAAGGAGGATTTTTTTAAATTACCAATTGCATGTGCATTTTTACTATCATGGACCATTAGATTTCCTTTTCTCTTCACTGAAGGAGCAAAGTGTGTCATTTAGCTTTCTTTTGTTCCTGAAATAGTAAAAGAATTCTTTTTTCTGTTTCCTTTCATGTTTCTTAGATGTGGCATCCTGTTTCCTGCTGAGCTTTTTTGACCCAACTCCTACAAGCTTTTGCTATTTCTTTGTGATCTCCTTAGAAATTTGCCCTACATTCTACTTTCTGAGGCATTTCCATTTGTGCTTCATCTCCTTGTGAAGTTCTTTCTTAAGTAACTTTTATAGTCCTTGCCAATTTTTTTTTCTCATTGCAATATAACAGATTGTGCTGCTGCTGCATTTTGGGAAGTGTTTTTGCTTGATCCAGTCAAAAACAGTATCTTTGACCAAATCAACATTTGACACTATGGCATTCAGTTATTAGAAATCCATGCTCAAAATCATCAAAAAGGTAGATTTTCAGAAGAGATTTAATACACTAGGCACTTAACATGTTTATTACGTTATTGGAGTTCTGTAACTTGTCTGACTAAATTAGTGTCCATGAAGAGTATGGAGTCAATAAAGTCAGTAAAATTTAAAATTCTCAGCTAGCTATAGGTCATGATTCCACCATCTAATATATTGGCATAGCTAACTAGGAAACCAATAATATATAGTAAAGATATTTAAATAAAGTACATCAGTTAAACAAAGTATGAGAGCATTTTATTTCATGCCACTTTTTTTCTGGAAAGCCACTTTATCTCAAGAATCCAATGTTTTCAAAGTTCCTCTGATAGTTTTATTAGCATGATTAAAAAAACCTTTTTATTTTTGAAAAATTCAAATATATACAGAAGTAAAGAAAATGGTGTTATGAACATCCATGTTCCTATCACCCAACTTCAAAACCTATCAACAAATAACCATATTTCCTTCTATACCAAGCATTCACTCCCCATATACACACAGGATTATTTTGAAGAAAGTCTAAGAAATATCATCTCATCTGTTAATATATTGCATGTAAAAATAACAACTTTAAAAAATAACCAAAATACCATTACAGTACCTAATGGAATATCAAACAATAATTGCTTAATATTATCCAAGACCCACTTGATGTCCAAATGTCCCCAGTTGTTTTATAATTTATTTTTTAACCTTTTGTGTGTTTGAATTGGGGTGCTAATAATATCAAAACACAAATGGTTGATTGGCCTCTTAAGAGTTTTAATATCCATTTCTTTTTTGTTTCATTCCTCAAAATTTGTGGATGAAGTCATTCCAAAATGTTTTACAAGCTTCATTTATGAGTTTGATGATCTGTTTTATTAAATAAAACTCAAAATATGAAACTCTATTTTTAAAATAATTAAATATATATATTTAAACTAAAGGGGTAAGAGAAAGTTGTGTCAAGGAAAGCACCAGCACATCTGTGACCCCTCAAAGTCATCAGGAAATGACCTAAACTCATTTATGTTGAGTATAACATACTTTTATTCATTCACTAAATATTTATTGAAGACTTTATGTTAGACAAATACATGTATTCATATGTTTATGCAATATGATATCAATTTCAAATGTAGCTTAGTCTTCAAATGGGTGTAAATAAAAAAATTCCCATGAATAAATGTATTCTGGTTAAACTTACCTTTAAAAAATATATATTCCATTTCATTTAAAGCCTGAAATATGGCTGGGTGCAGTGGCTCATGCCTGTAATCCCAGCACTTTGAGAGGCTGAGGCGGGCGGATCACGAGGTAAAGAGATTGAGACCATCCTGGCCAACATGATGAAACCCCATCTCTACTAAAAATACAAAAATTAGCTAGGTGTGGGGGCATGCGCCTATAGTCCCGGCTACTCAGGAGGCTGAGGCAGGAGAATCGCTTGAACCTGGGAGGTGGAGGTTGTAGTGAACCAAGATCGCACCACTGCACTCCAGCCTGGGTGACAGAGCAAGACTCCATCTCAAAAAAAAAAAAAAAAAAAAAAAAAAGAACTAGAAATACATGGAAAATCTGTCTTCTTACACTAGGTCCCCAGAGATTCAGTGGCTGAGTAGAGAGGCCAGGAAGAAAGTCAGATGAGCAATTCATTCATATAACATGTATTGAGTATTCTAGGAAAGAAAAAGAAGTATCTTTTCCTCACCCATCACAAGGTTCACAACTGACACTCCTACAACATAAGACAAGATAACAAGAAAAATGCATAATGTATTTAACCAAAGTTTTGCATGACACAAGAGCCTTCAGAAATGAAGACCCAAAGAACCAGAAAAAATTGTATTTTTATACTTAAGTTTAATGAAGAATGAACAGTTGTGTAGATGTATAATTGGACAAAAAGTGGATATGAACTATTTGTAATAAACTGGAAGGAACTTACCAGGACCTCTTTGTTCAGATTTTTCTTAGTTTCTGGGTATAGGGTAGGACCTGTGTGGTGTGAGGTTCTTATGACCTACATTCAGGTGAGATAGGTCGATAACTCTTTATGAATGTTCTTTAGAAGAAAAAGGGAGGAGAAAGTAAAAGCAACCTTCCTGCTTCTGCAGTCTTCTCAATTGCCAAAGTGCCATATTTCAGGGTATCATGTTCTGAGCCCAACAGTAGCTATAGCTGTTATGTACAAGGAATAAGCATATTAAAGGTATATATAATTTATTGCAGGTGTAAGGTATGCAATATGAATCCAAAGAAAAGTCAAATCTGAAGAAGTAGGAAGAGATGCCAGAATTTGACAACAGGTTGTCTAAGAGATGGAAGACAGAATATATTAAAGTGTTAATTTAAAAATTTTTCTCTTCTTCAGTAACTTTGGTATTAAAAGATTTTAGCTTGCAATACTAGGAGAGTAAAGTAGCATAAGTTATTATTATATAAAATATAGTATAAAACTTTTTAAACTTTTGCACTCAAATTGTATTTATTATATTGAATATTAAAAACAGAGATAATCTTCTTAATGGTTTTAAGAATAGAGCTATTAGAATAATTTGGAATTTTTTTACATAATAGTCCCTATAATGTTTACCTAGAGAATGTAAGAAAATGCAGTGTTATATTATAACAGATGGTTGACGTCATGCTTTATTTTGGGCAACATATATTTGTATACGTTTTTCAATTATTTAAAATGTGATATTATGACCACTCATTTCTAGAATGCCTTGTGTAATGGTTAATCTTCGTTGTTATTAGAAATAAGCCCCTTTTATATCTCTAAAATGCTAACAAAAGAAATAATTATGTACCCAACTCTGGTTTTTAGGAGTAAATAATATAACTTTTAATAAAGTATTGAATAGTACTGAACATGTATTTCAGATAGTACAAATTTGTTAATCAGAAGAAATCATGAATAATTAATGTGCTTCCAACAGTTCAATGGCCTAGAGAAACAAATAGATTCTCCCTAGATAATCCATATGTCTCATTGATTTATTGAACCCTGAAATATTTCAAAGTATTGAACTGAAAATACTTCAAAGATAGTAGGGAAATCAAGCAAGACAATTTTCAATTTTCAAATCATTTTTAACAATAAAATTTGTATCAAAGCCAATGGATGCTTCTCAGAATAAGAGTACCAGCTCAAACACCTACCTCTGTTATGATCACAATATGTGACTTTTTTTTTTTTTTTTTTTTTTTTTGAGATGGAGTCTTGCTCTGTCACTCAGGCTGGAGTGCAGTGGCACAATCTCGGCTCACTGCAGCCTCCACCTCTCGGATTCAAGCGATTCTCCTGCCTTAGCCTCCTGAGTAGCTGGGGTTACAGTTGCCTGCCACCACGCCCAGCTAATTTTTGTATTTTTAGTAGAGATGGGGTTTCACCATGTTGGTAAGGCTGGTCTCAAACTCCTGACCTCGTGATCTGCCCGCCTTGGCCTCCCAAAGTGCTGGGATTACAGGCATGAGCCACCGCACCCAGCCAATTCTTTTATTATACTTTAAGTTCCGAAATACATGTGGAGAACATGCAGGTTTGTTACATAGGTATACACGTGCCACGGTGGTTTGCTGCACCCATCAACCCGTCATCTACATTAGGTATTTCTCCTAATGCTATCCCTCCCCTAGTTCCCTACTCCCTGACAGGCCCAGTGTGTGATGTTCCCCTCCCTGTGTCCATGTGTTCTCATTGTTCAGTTCCCACTTATGAGTGAGAGTATATGGTGTTTGGTTTTCTGTTCTTGTGTTAGTTTGCTGAGAATGATGGTTTCCTGCTTCATCCATGTCCCTGCAAAGGACATGAACTCATCCTTTTTATGGCTGCATAGTATTACATGGTGTATATGTGCCACATTTTCTTTATCCAGTCTATCATTGATGGGCATTTGGGTTGGTTCCAAGTCTTTGCTATTGTGAACAGTGTCGCAGTAAACACACGTGTGCATGTGTCTTTATAGTAGAATGATTTATACTCCTTTGGGTATGTACCCAGTAATGGGATTGTTGGGTCAAATGGTATTTCTGGTTCTAGATCCTTGAGGAATCACCATACTGTCTTCCACAATGGTTGAACTCATTTCACTCCCACCAACAGTATAAAAGCATTCCTATTTCTCCGTATCCTCTCCAGCATCTGTTGTTCCCTGACTTTTTAATGATCACCATTCTAACTGGCATGAGATAATATCTCACTGTGGTTTTGATTTGCATTTCTCTAGTGACCAGTGATTATAGCTTTTTTTCATGTTTGTTGGCTGCATACATGTCTTATTTAGGGAAGTGTCTGTTCATATCCTTCACCTACTTTTTGATGAGATTATTTGTTTTTTTTTTTCTTGAAAATTTGTTTATGTTCTTTGTAGTTTCTGGATATTAGCTGTTTGTCAGATGGAGAGATTGCAAAAATTTTCTCCCATTCTGTAGGTTGCCTGTTCACTCTCATGATAGTTTATTTTGCTGTGCAGAAGCTCTTTAGTTTAATTAGATCCCATTTGTCAATTTTGGCTTTTGTTGCTGTTGCTTTTGGTGTTTTAGTCATGAAGTCTTTGCCCATGCCTGTGTCCTGAATGGTATTGCCTAGGTTTTCTTCTAGGGTTTTTATGGTTTTAGGTCTTACATTTAAGTTTTTAATCCATCTTCAGTTAATTTTTGTATAAGGTGTAAGGAAGGGGGTGCAGTTTCAGTTTTCTGCATATGGCTAGCCAGTTTTCCCAGCAGTATTTATTAAATAGGGAATCCTTTCCCCATTGCTTGTTTTTGTCAGGCTTGTCAGAGATCAGATGGTTGTAGATGTGTGGTATGATTTCTGAGGACTCTGTTCTGTTCCATTGCTCTGTATATCTGTTTTTGTAACAATATCATGCTGTTTTGGTTACTATAGCCTTGTAGTATAGTTTGAAGTCAGGTAGCATGATGTCCCCAGTTTTGATCTTTTTGCTTAGGATTATCTTGGATATATGGGCTCTTTTTTGGTTCCATATGAAATTTAAAGCACTGTTTTTTCTAATTCTGTGAAGAAAGTCAATGATACCTTGATGGGGATAGCATTGTATCTATAAATTGCTTTGGGTAGTATGGACGTTTTCACTATATTGATTCTTCCTATCCATGAGCATGGAATGTTTTTCCATTTGTTTGTGTTCTCTCTTATTTCCTTGAGCAGTGGTTTGTAGTTCTCCTTGAAGAGGTCCTTCACATCCCTTGTAAGTTGTATTCCTAGGTATTTTATTCTCTTTGTAGCAATTGTGAATGGGAGTTCACTTATGATTTGCCTCTCTGTTTGTCTATTATTGATGTATAGGAATGCTTGTGATTTTCGCACATTGATTTTGTATCCTGAGACTTTGCTGAAGTTGCTTATCAGCTTAAGAAGATTTTGAACTGAGACGATGGGGTTTTCTAAATATACAGTCATATCATCTGCAAACAGAGGCATTTGACTTCCTCTCTTCCTATTTGAATACCCTTTATTTCTTTGTCTTGCCTGATTGCCCTGGCCAGAACTTCCAATACTATGTTGAATAGGAGTGGTGAGAGAGGGCATCCTTCTCTTGTGCCCATTTTCTAAGGGAATGCTTCCAGTTTTTGCCCATTCAGTATGATATGGGCTGTGGGTTTGTCATAAATAGCTCTTATTATTTTGAGATAAGTTCCGTCAATACCTAGCTTATTGAGTTTTTAGATGAAGGGCTGTTGAATTTTGTTGAAGGCCTTTTCTGCATCTATTAAGACAATTGTGGTTTTTGTCATTGGTTCTGTTTATGTCATGGATAATGTTTATTGATTTGTATATATATTGAACCAACCTTGCATCCCAGGGATGAAGCCAACTTGATCGTGGTAGATAAGCTTTTTGATGTGTTGCTGGATTCGGTTTGCCAGTGTTTTATTGAGGATTTTTGCATTGATGTTCATCAGGGATATTGGCCTGAAATTTTCTTTTTTTGTTGTTTCTCTGCCAGGTTTTGGTATCAGGATGATGCTGGTCTCATAAAATGAGTTAGGGTGGAGTCCCTCTTTTTCTATTGTTTGGAATAGTTTCAGAAGGAATGGTACCAGCTCCTCTTTGCACCACTGGTAGAATTCGGCTGCGAATCCGTTTGGTCCTGGACTTTTTTTTGGTTGGTAGGCTATTCATTCCTGCCTCAATTTCAGAACTTGTTGTTGGTCTATTCAGGGATTCGACTTCTTCCTGGTTTAGGCTTGGGAGGAAGTATGTGTCCAGCAATTTATCCATTTCTTCTAGATTTTCTAGTTTATTTATGTAGAGGTGTTTATAGTATGCTCTGATGGTAGTTTGTATTTCCTTGGGATCAGTGGTGATATCTCCTTTATCATTTTTTATTGCGTCTATTTGATTATTCTCTCTTTTCTTCTTTATTAGTCTGGCTAGTGGTCTATTTTGTTGATCTTTTCAGAAAACCAGCTCCTGGATTCATTGATTTTTCGAAGGGTATTTCGTGTCTCTGTCTCCTTCAGTTCTGCTCTGATTTTAGTTATTTCTTGTCCTCTGCTACCTTTTTAATTTGTTTGCTCTTGCTTCTCTAGTTCTTTTAATTGTGATGTTAGGGTATTGATTTTAGATCTTTCCCGTTTTCTGCTGTGGGCATTTAGTGCTATAAATGTCCCTCTAAACAGTGCTTTAGCTATGTCCCAGAGATTCTGGTACATTGTGTCTTTGTTCTCAATGGTTTCAAATAACTTATTTATTTCTGCCTTCATTTCATTATTTACCCAGTAGTCATTCAGGAGCAGGTTGTTCAGTTTCCATGTAGTTGTGTGGTTTTGAGTGAGTTTCTTAATCCTGAGTTCCAATTTGATTGCACTGTGGTCTGAGAGACTGTTTGTTATGATTTCCGTTCTTTTGCATTTGCTGAGGAGTGTTTTACTTCCAATTATATGGTCAATTTTAGAATAAGTGTGATGTGGTGCTGAGAAGAATTTATATTCTGTTGATTTGGGATGGACAGTTTTGTAGATGTCTATTAGGTCTGCTTGTTCTACAGCTGAGTGCAAGTCCCGAATATCCTTGTTAATTTTCCGTCTCATTGATCTGTCTAATATTGACAGTGGGGTGTTAAAGTCTCCCACTATTATTGTGTGGGAGTCTAAGTCTCTTTGTAGGTCTCTAAGAACTTGCTTTATGAATCTGGGTGCTCCTCTATTGAGTGCATATATATTTAGAATAGTTAGCTCTTTTTGTTGCATTGATCCTTTTACCATTATGTAATGCCCGTCTTTGTCTCTCTTGATCTTTGTTGGTTTAAAGTCTGTTTTATCAGAGACTAGGATTGCAACCCCTGCTTTTTTTTTTGCTTTCCATTTGCTTGGTAAATATTCCCCCATCCCTTTATTTTGAGCCTATGTGTGTCTTTGCACATGAGATGGGTCTCCTGAATACAGCACACCAATGGGTCTTGACTCTTTTTCCAATTTGTCAGTCTGTATCTTTTAATTGGGTCATTTAGCCCATTTACATTTAAGGTTAATATTGTTATGTGTGAATTTGATCCTGTCATTATGATGCTAGCTGGTTATTTTGCCCATTAGTTGATGTAGTTTCTTCATAGTGTCAATGGTCTTTACAATTTGGTATGTTTTTGCAGTGGCTGGACCGGTTGTTCCTTTCCATGTTTAGTGCTTCCTTCAGGAGCTCTTATAAGGCAGAACTGGTGGTGACAAAATCTCTCAGCATTTGCTTATCTGTAAAGGATTTTATTTCTCCTTCACTTTTAAAGCTCAGTTTGGCTGGATATGAAATTCTGGGTTGAAAATTATTCTCTTTAAGAATGTTGAATATTGGCTCCCCTACTCTCTCCTGGCTTGCAAGGTTTCTGCAGACAGATACGTTGTTAGTCTTATCAGATTCCCTTTGTGGGTAACCTAACCTTTCTCTCTGGCTGCCCTTAACATTTTTTCCTTCATTTCAACCTTGGTGAATCGGACAATTATGTGTCTTGGGGTTGTTCTTCTCATGAAGGAGTACCTTCATGGTGTTCTCAGTATTTCCTGAATTTGAATGTTGGCCTGTCTTGCTAGGTTGGGGAAGTTCTCCTGGATAATATCCTGAAGAGTATTTTCCAGCTTGGTTCCACTCTCCCCGTCACTTCCAGGTACACCAACCAAACGTAGGTTTGGTCTTTTCACATAGTCCCATGTTTCTTGGTGGCTTTGTTTGTTCCTTTTCATTATTTGTTCTCTAATCTTGTCTTCATGCTTGATTTCATTAAGTTGATCTTCAATCTCTGATATCCTTTCTTCTGCTTGATCAATTTGGCTATTGATACTTGTGTATGCTTCACAAAGTTCTTGTGCTGTGTTTTTCAGCTCCATCAGGTCGTTTATGTTCTTCTCTAAACTGGTTATTCTAGTTAGCAATTCATTTAGAACATGCTCCTTTAGCTCGGAGGAATTTGTTATTACCCACCTTCTGAAGCCTACTTCTGTCAATTCGTCAAACTCATTCTCCATCCAGTTTTGTTCCCTTGCTGGCGAGGAGTTATGATCCTTTGGAGAAGAAGAGGCATTCTGATTTTTGGAATTTTCAGCCTTTTTGCAGTGGTATCTCCCCATCTTCATGGATTTATCTACCTTTGGACTTCTGATAGGGTTTTGGTGTGGATGTCATTTCTGTTGATGTTGATACTATTCCTTTCTGTTTGTTAGTTTTCCTTCTAACAGTCAGGCCCCTCTGCTGCAGGTCTACTGGAGTTTGCTGGAGGTCCACTCCAGACCCTGTTTGCCTGGGTATCAGCGGCAGAGGCTGCAGAACAGCAAAGACTGCTGCCTGATCCTTCCTCTGGAAGCTTCATCTCAGAGGGGCACCCTCCAGATGCCAGTCAGAGCTCTCCTGTGTGAGGTGTCTGTCGACTCCTGCTGGGAGGTATCTCTCAGTCAGGAGGCATGGGTGTCAGGGACCCACTTAAGGAGGCAGTCTGTCCCTTAGCAGAGCTCAATCAATGTGCCGGGAGATCTGCTGCTCTCTTCAGCGCTGGCAGGCAGGAACATTTATGTCTGCTGAAGCTGTGCCCACAGCTGCCCCTTCCTCCAGGTGCTCTGTCCCAGGAAGATGAAGTTTTATCTATAAGGCCCTGACTGGGGCTGCTGCCTTTCTTTCAGAGATGCCCTGCCAGAGAGGAGGAATCTAGAGAGACAGTGTGGCTACAGCAGCTTTACCAATCTGCAGTAGGCTGTGCACAGTTGGAACTTCCTGTAGCTTTGTTTTGCTGTGAGGGGAAAACCGCCTATTCAAGCCTCAGTCATAGCGGACGCCCCTTCCCCAACCAAGCTGGAGCATCCCAGGTTGACTTCAGACTGCTGTGCTGGCAGTGAGAATTTCAAGCCAGTGGATCTTAGCTTGCTGGGCTCTGTGGGGGTGGGATCCACTGAGCTAGACCACTTGGCTCCCTGGCTTCAGCCCCCTTTCCAGGGGAGTGAACAGTTCTGTCTCGCTGGTGTTCCAGGGCCACTGGGGTATGAAAGAAAACTCCTGCAGCTAACTCGGTGTCTGCCCAAATGGCCGCCCAATTTTATGCTTGAAACCCAGGGCCCTTGTGGCATAGGCACTGGAGGAATCTCCTGGTCTGCAGGTTGCGAAGACCATGGGAAAAGCGTAGTATCTGGGCCAGAATGCACCGTTCCTCACTGCACAGTTCCTCATGGCTTCCCTTGGCTAGGGGAGGGAGTCCCCCGACCCCTTGCACTTCCAGGTGAGGTGACACCTCACACTGCTTCTACTCGCCCTCCATGGGCTGCACCCACTGTCTAACCGTCCCAATGAGACAAACCGGGTACCTCAGTTAGAAATGCAGAAATCACCCACCTTCTGCATTGATCTTACTGGGAGCTGCAGACCAGAGCTATTCCTATTCGTCCATCTTGCCAGCCACCTTCATGACATCTTCTTTGGTTCCCAGTAGAACACAAACCAATTTAAAATCTATAAAATGATTAACATTATCAATACTCTTTCCAGAGATTATCACCTCTGAGCTATACCAATCGTTGTGAGTAAATGTCTAAATTTCAGTTTATTTTATTCCTTTGAGGCTCAACGTACACTGGAAAGCCTCTCATACATAATTTTTGAGCTCTGCTTTTCTTACACATATTTTTAAATGGCATGGTAATCTAGGATCCTTCTGAAGAATCAGTCAATGATCTGATACTTTTTAAACTCACATTCTTGGTGATGTTATGGTGCACATTGTGTGTCACTCATCGTGTTCTGATGCAGCTCTTGGACCAAAAGTGTCAGTTCACAACTACATGTTGAACACTCACTTCTCCTTCTCTGCTATGTGATAGTTTTTATCATAAACACAATCACTGTACTTTATATTTGATGAATTGTCTTTAATTATCCAATATATAGGATGTATATGTGATGAAAAGTATATACTAACTACTGTGCTAAGAATTTTTCATCAATTTCCATTTAACCAGAGCAATCTTGTGATATAAGCATAATTTTTAACCCTCATTTTAGAAATACGAAACCTGAGGCTCAGGGTGACTAAGTAATTTAACTAAGGTCATGTATGACCTAGTTAGTAAGTGGCAGAGGAAATTCAGGTCTAACTTCTTTTATCCATTCATTCTTTCATGAAATAAATGTTCATTGAGGATACATTGTAAGCAATGCTTTGCACTAACTCTTGACGAACTTAGATAAATATAGTTTGAACTCCAAAAATTAACAACATACTATGCTATCTATAGGTGTTTTCTCCTAATGATATTTTGAAATAGACAAAACAGGCATTATTTTCCATAATCTATAGATAGACAAGATAGCTAAGGTCACATAGCAAGTGACTTTTAGAACTGGAATTGGAATCTAGATCTCTAACTCTAGGTCTAGGGGATGTTTCTAATATGAACTTGTAGCCCTAAGTCTTTTCTTTATTCTGTACATGTTCTATGCTTGAACCCAAATGGAGCTAAACTGTACCTCCTATCAGTCCTCTAGGCCAAATTCCAATCTTGCACACCATGAAACCTTCTTATCTCTCCTCTATTGACCTCCCACTTCTTTAATAGTCTATGGCTCAATAACTTATTGATATAGTCTCTTGACATATTTTTTGAACTATTTTGCCAAAGAAAGTACCTTTAGAACTCTGTGGAATTGCAATCTAAATGGGAAGATATATTGTGTTACTATCATCTTTTATTATCTTGGTACTGAACACAGTGCTTGTCACAAAGAAGGTAAAAACTGAGTGCTTGTTTAATGAATAAGATTCTAAACAACAGGTGAATTAATATCCAGATTACCCATTTGAGATGATAAGGCTCATTTTACTTCAAGACTATGTCTTTTTTATATTTGATATTATAAGTGAAATGTATATTTGATTTATATGAAACTGCATTTTGATTAATTTTTCATTGCATATTGTCATTAACCTCCTTTGTATATAATATTAGACATGAGTTTCCCAAAATGTGCTTCATAGATTGTCAGTCCTTCAAGGTGCTCTGACAGAAAAAAGTCAAGAGTAATCCTTGGCCATATGAGGTCAGGAAACATCAATGCCGTATAACCCTTATTGGAGATTCATGAGGAAAATTAGTATGTCAAAGTCTCAGGGATCTACATTAAAGAAATCTGTTTAACCTGCTTTGCCCTCTATTTCCCAAACTTCCTTGACCAATGATTTGTTGTTGTTATTGTTGTTGTTTTTGGAGATGGAGTTTTGCTCTTGTTACCCAGGCTGGAGTGCAGTGACACGATCTCAGCTCACTGCAACCTCCGCCTTCTGGTTTCAAGAGATGCTCCTGCCTCAGCCTCCCAAGTAGGTGGGATTACAGGCGACCACCACCACGCCTGGCTAATTTTTTGTATTTTTAGTAGAGATGGGGTTTCACCATGTTGGCCAGGCTGGTCTCAAACTCCTGACCTCATGATCCGCCCGCCTTGGCCTCCCAAAGTGCTGGGATTACGGGCATGAGCCACTGCACCTAAGACCAATGATTCTTATTGGACATTATTCCTTTTGTTATCTGATGGAATTTCTAAAACTTTGGGAAACGCTGCATAAGCTCAATCCAACTGTTGAATATTCCCTACAGTGTAGTTTCTTTAATGTGTCTTGTGATATCTAGATCATCCATAAAAACATTAGGGAATGAAGGTCATCATGTCATCAGTGTCTCTAAATTTTTCAGATATGGATGCAACTATTGTTTTCTTTCTAAATATTTCATATAATTAATAACCCATAGAGTGGGAGAAAATATTTGCAAACCCTCCATCTGACAGGGGATTAAAACCATAACATACAAGGACCTCAAACAACTCTACAGGAAAAAGAATCTAATAATTTGATTTAAAACTGAGCAAAAGATCTGAATAGACATTTCTCAAAAGAAGACATATATATGGCAAAGAGACATATAAAAGTGTGTTCAACATCATTGATTATCAGAGAAATGTAAATCAGAACCACAATGAGATATCATCTCACCCCAGTTAAATGGCTTTTATCCAAAAGACAAGCAATAATAAATGCTGGTGAAGACGTGGAGAAAAAGGAACTCTCGTACACTGTTAGTAGGAACGTAAATTAGAACCACCATTATGCAGAACGGTTTGGAGGTTCCTGAAAAAACTAAAAGTAGGGCTACCATATGATCTAGTAATCCCACTCCTAGGTATATACCCAAAAGAAAGGAAATCAATATATTGAAGAGATATCTGCACCCCCACATTTATTGTAGCACTATTCATAATAGCCAAGATTTGGAAAAAACCAAGTGTCCAACAGATGAATTGATAAAGAAAATGTAATACATATACACAATGGAGTACTATTCAGCCATAAAAAGAATGAGATCCTGTCATTTGCAGCAACAACGATGGAACAGGAGGTCCTTATGTTAAGTAAAATAAGCCAGGCACAGAAGGAAAAGCTTTGCATGTTCTCACTTATTTGTGGGAGCTACAAATTAAAACAATTTAACTCATGGAGATAGAGAGTAAGATGATGATATGGTTTGGCTCTGTGTCCCCACCCAAATCTCATGTCAAATTGTAATCCCCATGTGTTGGGGGAGGGAACTGGTAGGAGGTGATTGAATCGTGGGGGTGGTTTCCCCCATGCTGTTCTCATGATAGCAAGTTCTCACAAGATCTGATGGTTTAAAAGTGTGTGGCAGTCCCTACGCCCTGCCACCATATAAAATGTGCCTTGCTTCCCCTTGACCTTCTGCCATGATTATAAGTTTCCTGAGGCCTCCCCAGCCATGTGGAACTGTGAGTCAATTAAGCCTCTTTTGTTTATAAATTACTCAGTCTCATGTAGTTCTTTATAGCAGTGTGAAAATGGACTAATACATATGGTTACCAGAAGCTGGGAAGGGTAGTGGGAGGATAAGGAGGAAGGGGAGATGATTAATGGGTACAAATAAATAGAAAGAATGAATAAGATCTGGTGTTTGATAGTACAACAGGGTAACTATCATTAGTTATATAATTAAATATAATAATTTAATTATACATTTAAAAATAACTAAAAGAGTGTACTTGGACTGTTTGTAACACAAAGAATAAATGCTTCTGTTGATGGAAACCCCATTTATTCTGACGTGATCATTACACATTGTATGCCTGTATGAAAAATCTCATATACCCCATAAGTATATACACCCATTATGTACCCACAAAAAAATAAAAAATAAGAAAATACCTAAAACTTTCTCTTGAAAAAATGTTTTTCCCACTCACAAAATTAAATTTGTTTGAATATGAAAATTTCAAATTAGCCAATATTATTTGGAAAAGGAATATTTTCTCTTGTGAAGGCCATCTTGGTTTTTGTTCTTATACATTTAAGATAAAACTAAAGAAAAATACTTTTGTTCACTAATTTGCTGTTTACAATCTTTTACCTTGAGGCTGTGAAAGTTGTTTCTCTTTGATCATTGTCCAAATGAAAGCTAAAATCTAGAATAATGAGCCTTCAGAAATAAAACATAGATTTCAAGCTCAGTGGATGGTTGGGGCTTTCAAAAGAAAAACATATTATGAGAAATTATAAAGTTTTATTCTGTGAGCAAGGTATTGGGAGCCAAAAAAAAAAGCCAAGGCTTCTTTTTCCTAACTTATCGCAAGGATCATGGTTAACATCCCTATAACAGAACATGGATTGACAAGAGAAAAGCATAACGAATTTATTTAACCAAAGTTTATGTGACACACAAGGCTTCAGAAATGAACACCCACAAACCCAAGGAAAGCTATATTTTTATGCTTAGATTTGATGAAGAATGGATAGTCATGTAGAAGTATGGTTGGAGAAAACAGTATACTCTAATGGATGTAAACTGGGGAGAAACTTAGGCCTGTTTGTTCAGATTCACCCCAGATATGGGACAGGACATCTGTCATATGAGGACAGTCAGTAGGGAGGGGAGGAGGTCAGAGACCTTCCTAGGTTTTATGGCTTGCTTTGGGGGAGAAAGTGGAGAGGGAGAAAGAAGGCAGGAGAGGATCAGAAAGACCTTGCTTCTGAGGCACTTTCAGTGTCCTTCAGTTCAAAGTAGTCAGCAAACCAAGAGGCCATGCTTTGGGGTTTTGTGTTTGGACCCCTGAGACTCATAACTCAGAAATTTTTATCCCATGGTGCTTTCAATTTTGGTCAAGTAAGAAGCATTCCCTTTTTTGAAATTTCGTTCAGATTAAAAAAAAAAAAAAAAAAAAACCCTTTCCCTCAAAGAACTTTCCCCAATTTCAGGCATTAGCCCCAATCTTGGGAAAATCAAAGAAATCCAGTGATCAGCCTTGATTACCTAAGAAACAAACCTCCAACAGTGAGTCTCTATAATCAACTTTTTGGGAAAGTAAGCACTGCTTAGTCCAGTTAATTAGAAGATTCTTCTAATGAAGCAAAAATTACATGTCTGATTCCTATAATCACCATTTATTTAGAATATCTGTTTAGCCCCCTTTGTGCAAGGCATTCTGCTAGGTACTGTGTGGGACACAGAGATGGTTAAGACATGGCTTCCATCATCTAGGTGTTTAAAGTCTTGTGAAAAATATGCAATGTATATGTACATTTTTAACAGTATCAAAAGTTTAAAATGCCTTGTAAGAGGCATAAATAATGTACTATGGGAGTTTATAAGAAGAAGAAAACTGGAAGTATCCTAGAAATTCTTGCTGAGGAGATGAAAGGACCTCAAAGGATCAGTAGCACAAAGCCAGGAGGAAATTGGCAAAAAGGATGAGGGAGCCACAGATTATTATAGGTAGAAAGGATAGCATGAACAAAAACAGGGAAGCAAGAAGCCATGAGGCAGGTAATGAATAAATAGAAGGAAGCATTCTCATAACAAGGAGGAAAGGGTTCATAGAAATGAATGTTACAGCCTAGGGTTTATTATAAATGCAGTTGGGGTTGATTAAGCCCAAATGATGGAGAACCTTAAATGCCAAATAATTTTGATGATACTAATAATAAATAACAATAGTCACAGTGATATTATAATAGTAATTACAGTTAGCATTATTGAGGATTTATCATATGTCAGCACTGTTGTTAAGTATTATCACATTTAATCTGTCAACAACCCTATTATATAGGTACTCACTTTACAGATTTTCCTAATTTTATAGATGAGAAAGGAGATTCATAGAGAGTTTTTCCCATGGTCACATAATTAGGAGTCTGCTCTTTGTTAAGAAAATTTCCTAGAGCTAATATACTAAGCCAGCTGTTACATGGCCCTAAACCATCATCTTTTACAAAATGCTATTGAAGTCAAGAAGGATGGCAGGAAAGAGAATGCATGGCACTCTTGTAAACTGTTTGTTAAGGTAAATGACACAATGCATGTCTTTTCAGTTTATTCCTTAAAATAGATAACTAAATTTTTTTTTTTTTTTTTTTTTTTTTTGAGACAGAGTCTCGCTGTGTCACCCAGGCCGGAGTGCAGTGGTGCCATTTCGGCTCACTGCAAGCTCCATCTCCTGGGTTCACACCATTCTCCTGCCTCAGCCTCCCAAGTAGCTGGGACTACAGGCACCCGCCACCACGCCCGGCTAATTTTTTTGTATTTTTAGTAGAGACGGGGTTTCACCGTGTTAGCCAGGATGGCCTCAATCTCCTGACCTCGTGATCCGCCCACCTCAGCCTCCCAAAGTGCTGGGATTATAGGCATGAGCCACCGCGCCCGGCCTCAACTAAATTTATATCCTTCCTAAGCCCATTTTCTATCATCACACTTAGTCAATCCATAATATGTATTTGATCTAGATAATTACTATAGTTTATAGAAATGAATGTTATAGCCAAGGTTTATTTTATTACTGCTAACCTTTTTTTCTACATTGTCTCTATATTTGGTATTCCTTTATCATGCTAAAGCATTATTTTTATTATCCCAATTTTATGATTAGTCATTGATAGTTCATTAGGGTGAGTTGAAGAGATATCTGGTTTTGGATCAACAACTGGGCTAGCATTTGACCTCGATAAGATTTTATGAACTTTTGTTCTTACTATTTTATTTAAAGCACGTCTAAAACTACAAAAATATTGTTATTTTTGTTATCTTATTACATGAATGGTCTTAAGTTATTTATGATCTATTAGGCAAATTATGCATATAAAGTTATTTTCAATGAAACCATATTTGATATAAAATAAATAATGAACAAAGCAGAAAAATATAATAACAATAGGGAACAAACATTTAAAAGGTTGGGGAAACATTCCCTGCATTGTTATAAATACAACAACAAAGTTGATAGTGCCTGAAATTATTTTAATTTATTCAGCATCCCCAAGGGTAAAAAGGGCCCCCAGCCCTCTTCAATTGCAACATATTCACATGCCTGCCCAGATTCCTCTCCCCCAACAAGCCTGCCAGTCAAAGGTAATAAGAAAGCATGTGTGTTAATTGGATATGCCAACAGCAGGTTCCCCATGAGGTGCCATGATGTCCTGTGTGGGGCCAAGACATGTGCATTACCCATTGTGGATTTTTTGCTTAATCTCTGCTTCGTGGTAAAAAGATATTGTTGAAAGAGTCCAAATGGCCTACAGACACCCCTGTGGGTATGGATAATCATGATTTTAAAAAGAGGAAGAATTAATGTTTGTCTATGCCACAGAAAGCCAAGCTGTTGGAGAAATTGGATATTGGTGAATGTGTGAAGCATCTTACAGAAGAGTATGGCGTTGGAATGACCCTGGATATGACCTGAGGAAATAGCAGGATAAACTGTTCAAGTTCTATACTGAAAGTGATGAGCAGAAGATAATGAAAAATAGAAAAACACTGCATAAAGCCAAAATGGAATATCTCAATTGTGTATGGAAGGAATGGATCTGTTGGTGTTGCAGTGAACACGTGCCACTTAATGGTATTCTGATTATGAAACAAACAAAGATCTATCACAATGAACTGAAAATTGAAGTTAACCATGAATATTCAAGAAGAGACACAGCATTAGACTTGTAAAGATTGTGGTAGTAAAGCATCTGCTGATTACAAAGCAGTGAAAAAAAAATTTAGTAACAAGTTTGCCAAGGTCATCACTTGTGAAAATCTGATGCTAGAACAAGTCTATAATGCTGATGAAACATCACTGTTTTGGCATTATTGCCATTATTGCCCCAGGAAGACACTAACCACAGCTGATGAGACAGCCTAGACAGGAATTAAGGAGGCCAAGGGTAATACCTCTGCTGGGATGTGCTAATGCAGCAGACATACATAAGTGTAAACTTGCTGTTTTAAGCAAAAGCTTGTGTCCCTGCTGTTTTCAAGGAGTGAATTTCTTACCATTCTGTTATTATGCTAACAGAAAGACATAGATCATCAGGGACATGTTTCCTGATTGATTTCACAAACATTTTGTACCAGCGGCTCATGCTCACTGCATGGAAGCTGTACTGAATAACAACTGCAATATTTTGTTATTCCTTAACAACTGTTCTGCTCATCCTCCAGGTGAAATTCTCATAAAAAAAAGTTTATGTCATGCAATTTTCCTCAAATGTGACTTCATTCATTGAGCTATGTGATTAGGGTACCCTTAAGTCAATGAAAAGGAAATATAAAAACACTTTATTAAACAGCATGCTAGCGTCAGGGAACAGAGGTATGGGCATGGACGTTTTCGTAAAGGAGTTTAACATGAAGAATACTGTATATGCTGTTGCCAAGACTTGGAACATAGTGACTAAAGACAGTTTTGCATGCCTGGTACAACCTGTTGTCTATGGCTGTGTTCAGTGATGATGATGAACAAATTGGTACTTTGAAGGATTCCCATATGTCAAGTGTGAAAAAAATGATTTTGGACCTCCTCTCATATGCAGAAAATATGCATTCAGAGTCTATCAGTATATTAGGCTGTTCATGCATTGCAATAAAGAAACATCTGAGACTATGTAATTTATAAAGAAAAGAGGCTTAATTGGCGCATGGCTCTGCAGGCTGTACAGGAAGCAGGGTGCTGGCATCTGCTTGGCTTCTGGGGGGCTCTCAGGGAGCCTTTATTGATGGTGGAAGGCAAAGGGGGAGCAGGCATCTCACACGGAGAAAATGGGATCGAGAGAGAGATAATTAGGAGGAGGTGCCAGACACTTTTTAATGACCAGATCTCATGTGAACTGAGAATGAGAGCTCACTTATCGCTAAGGGGATGGCCCAAGCCATTCATGAGGGATCTGCCCCCATGATCCAAACACCTCCAACACTAGGGATTACACCTCAACATGATATAGTTTGACATTCAAACTATATCAATCAGTAAGCTGGTAGAAGTGCATATCAATGAAGTTTTTTTAACATTGAGGCTCCATTTGTGCATTCATTGACCAATCCTGAAGCAGCTGAAATGGTTCTGAATCAAGGTGATCATGATCGTAGTAATGATGAAGATGACATTCATACTGAGGAAAAAGTGCCTATAATGACATGGTGAAAATGTGTGATGGACTTGTTGAAGGTCTAGAGCAGCATGCATTCATAACAAGAAATCATGTCAGTTTATGAAATCAAAGAGAAACTTAAAAGACAAAAAACATTGTAAATGAGGCAAATGACTCTGGAGGAAACATTTTAAAAAGCCAACCAGTAGAATGCCTCCTGATCCCTGGAGGACCCACTTCCTGGTCTCTCACCTGTGTCTGATGTTTCTTCCCACCTAAAAAAATAAAACACAGGCCAAGTGTGGTGGCTCACACCTGTAATCCTAGCACTTAGGGAGGCTGAGGCAGGCGGATCACCTGAGGTCAGGAGTTTGAAACCAGCCTGGCCAACATGGTGAAACCCCATCTCTACTGAAAATACAAAAAAATTAGCCGGGCATGGTGATGGGCACCTGTAATCCCAGCTACTTGGGAGGGTGAGGCAGGAGAATCACTTGAACCCCAGAGGCAGAAGTTTCAGTCAATGGAGATCATGCTACTGCACTCCAGCCTGAGCAACAGAGCAGGACTCGGTCTCAAAAGTAAAATTAAAAATAAGTAAATAAATAAAAAATAAAACACAGTGTACAGAAACCTTTCAATCAAAACACAGCATCGTAGGTGGAGCCTGGAAGCCTGCAACTATTTGTTGTTGCTCTTCTTCAACAGCTGATGCAGGTATTCTGGTGATGGTACTATGCGGATTAGCTAACCTGAACACATTATTTTTTCCTGTATTAATGGTATGTCCTATTTTTTACTATGAAGTACTTGTGTTGAGTAAGTATAAAAAAAGATTGCTTATCAGTAGCATATAATTTCAGAATCAGGAATTATGATGATGCCAAACAACCACAGATTGTCCACATGGGCAGCTGAGATAGTGACACCTTTGCTTTCTGATGGCTCAAGATATACAAACTTATTTAAATGCACAAAATTATTTAAAATATTGTGTTAAATTACCTTCAGACTATGTGTACAAGATGTATATGAAACACAAATGAATTCCATGTTTAGACTTGGGTCTCTTTCCCAAGATGTCTTATTATGTATATGCAAATATTCCAAAATTTGAAACACTTCTGGTCTCAAGCATTTGGATAAGGAATACTTAACTTGTAACACAACCACGGTAGAATCTGGGAAACTTTGCTCAATGTCCATGGAAACTTAAAGATGTTATTTGGCTTTGAGTAGAATTCAGCATAGAATGAAGGGTTCTGTGGACACAGTAGAAAGCAACATGTTGGAAATTTTGTCTCTATATTATTTTAAAAAACAAAATGCATGTGACTATACAATTCAAATCCATGTCAATGTTCTTATATCCAACATCAGCTAGCTATGTAAATGCTACTGAGCTGATTTTTAGCACTTTATTTTTAAAAATTTATCTTAGACTCCACAGGTACTGAAGTAGAGAATTCCTTCATTGAGCATCAGTTTTCTTAACTCTATTAACAATTAATCACTGTTTTATAGAGAGAATAAAATATTATTTGCAAGACAAAAGCAAGAAGAGGAATTCAATGACTATTTCATGATGTAGTATATTAGTTCATAACTCAAATTGTTTTAAGCAAAAACATATACCTTGAAAATATAATTTTTTTATATTTGTAAAATATAAAGGGGCATATCCAAAAATCCAAGGGAAATTCAAGTTTCAGTTGCAGCTTGATTCTGGATTCTCAAAAAAGGTTATTAGGAACCAGCCTCTTTCCATTTTTCTACTCTATTATGCTCTATGTTGGCTTCCTTTTCAGACTCCAAATGGTTCAAGTAAGACTTCCAATACCACCAAGATTAAGTCTTTGCAATCTTATGCCCTGTGTGTACAGCAGAGGGAGAGAGACCCTAACTTTTATTGTACTGAGTTGGATCATGTGGTCAACTCTGAATGAAACATTTTGGCCAGGGGAGCATAAAAAGCACCCAGATGCATTTCTTGTCTATTGTTGTATAACAAATCACCACAAAATTTAGCAGCTTAAAACAGCATACATTTTATAATCTCGCAATTTCTGTGGGTCAGGAATCTAGACATGGCTTAACTGGGTCCTTGCTTCAGGCCCTTTCACAAAGCTTCAGTCAATGTGTAGGCCAGGGCAAGGGGCTCATCTGAAGGCTCATCCTGAGATACACTTCAAAGTTCATTTACATGGCTGTTGATAGGATTCAGTTCCTTTTGATCTGTTGGACTGAGGGCCTCCTTTCTTAGATGGCTGTTGGCCATAGATTTTCTTCAATTCCTTGGCACGGGCCTCAACATAGAATCTTGCTTCATCAAGGAAGAGGATCTCCTAGTAAACCAGCAAGGAAGAGGATCTCTTAGTAAGATCAAAGTCAGAACTTTGTAATCTAATAATGGAAGTGACATCTTCCCAATTTTGAGGTATGCTATTAATTAGAAGAAAGTTATTCAAGTGGGAGGGACTTGCACAAAGCCTTCAGTAGAAGGAACTAAGAATCAATGCAGCCATCTCAGAAGCCACCGACAGCACCAGATTTTGGTCATATACCTATCCCAGTAGATGATAGGCAAGAAACTCCTCCCAAGCACAGGAACTACGAGTAATGAGAGGGTAAATCCCCCAAGGAAAATTGTGGTTATCAGAAGAGAAGGACACATGCTTGGTGGTGAATATAACTGTCCATGACAGATTCCCAGGTTGGCTCTGAGTTGTATAGAAAACAGAAGAAAAGAAAGCTCTTTTTCTACCCCCAGACTTTGGGTCATTATGAATCTCAATGCTTAGTTTAAATTACCTAATTATATGTTTATATTATAGTATAAATATATTTTAGTCTGTTAATTCAACATTTTTAAGCCAGCTCTATTCTTTGTTTTTGGTTTATGTTATAATTTTCAGCCAATGCTTCTATATGAAATAAATTAAATTTCCTGCATGTGAAGTTTCTAAGATTGTCTTAAGTGTGAAAAATACACACAGAATTGAGGGTCAAATTCTCTGAAAATTTATCCCACTTTACCCAAAGAAACATTTTACGATTGCTGGAAAAATGAAGCAGAAACCAGTTTTTAGCCCTGGATTTTCACAATATTAGTAGAAAATGGAAATAAGCATTAATTTTCAGGTTGAGACATTTTTCTGGCTTCTGATTTATAAGAATTAGAGATTTACCAGTTGACTTTATCAAGAAGGTAAATAAGCATCCATCACAGAAGGTATTTACTCTAATCATGAGATTTCGGAACAGTTAAAATAGGCTAAGATGAAAAAAATAAATTCAGTGCCTCTTCTGTGTTCATACTTAATCTTAATACATCTGCTGAAGAGTGATGGATGTAAAAACTGAACCAGAGTTTCCTGATGAGTTCTTTCAAAATCACAGATTTCATGGATTTTAGATAGTACCTAACTTATTCAGAGAGGTGACTATTTGAAATTTGTTTCTGATTCAGGAGCCAATTATTATTAATACATTATTACATGTATTATGGTTATTATAGGTAAATACTTATTATAGCTAATAATATATAGTCAATATTTATTGTTATAGCTAATATTTATTTTCACTAATATTTATTCAGTGCATATATGCAAGTACTGTTCTAAGCACTTTCTGTATTTATCAACATCTTTAATCCTCTCAGCTATCATCTTTTTTAAAAAAATTGTTATTATTTTTCATCACTTTGTAAAGCATACACGAAACACCTGAAATTTTAACATTGCTCTTCTAGCAACTAAAGAGTGTTCATTTGCCATGGCTATCAAGCTAAGTTTGAACCAACATTAGACCAAGTCTTCTCTATGGGAAGAATCCTCTCATGTCTGACTTCTGCAGCTGAGGCATGGCAGACTAAATTTCTTTCACAGGAAGTCCAGTCAGCTGTTGAACCAGGGCTTACTTTGTTCTAGGAAACTAAGAATATTTGGAGGCCCCTCTGCATTAAAGACTGTCTCCTAAAATAATTAGTTAGGTCATTTTGTCTATTTGCTCTTTAAGAGAAAGAGCCTTGCAGGTTTTCTATACCTTTCCACTTCCAGTTTCTTTCCTGTATTCGTCTATCTCCCACATCCTCCAGGGGATGTTTGTGCAACAACAATTTGATCAAATCTCTCTGTTCTCAGGAAAGAAAAGAGTTCTCTTTTTCATGGCACACAAGTCCCTTGATTGTCTGTTTCCTACTTATCCTGCCTCCATTTCTGTGCAGATTTCCCTCCTCATACATGCACATATAACCTTTGAAGTACAGCAATAATGAATCATTTGTAGTTCCTCAAACATACCTTTGCACATGCTGTTCCCTCTGCCTGGAACACCATCTTCCTTCTTTTTGCCTCAAAAATTCCTACTACGTCTTCAAGGCACAGATTAGATGGTCTCCTCTATAAGCTCTCTATCCAAGCCAAGTTAAGCATCCTCCCCTTCCTTCAACATTTTATATATCTTGCACACATCTTTAATATAATACTGATCATTCTTTATGGTAATTTCCTCCTCACTAAACTCTAAAATCTTTGAGGCTGGGACATGTTCCCTTTCCTCCCTGGTCCTAACACAAAGGCTGTCACACAGACTGGCTCAATGACTTAATTCTCTGATCACCTTCTTCTCAATGGGGATTCAAACACTTGCCAGCAACCTTAAAAGAAGGGAAAACAAGAACAAAATCAACGGAATTACTATTTTTTTCCAATCAGGTATGGCCTATATATATAATTTTGTTGTCTGCCAAAAGATTTTAGCATTTTAGGCTTAAATTTCATTTCCTATTTTAGACCATACCCCAGCACATAAGTTGTCAGATCTGTTTTGTAAAGGCTGGTATTTCTTAAGTGCTCCATGAAATTTTAGTTAGAAATAAAATGCAAGGCCTTAGGGAAAATTGAATCCAAGCTCCTGACTTCCCTTAGCATTTTAACATCAGACCATAATCTTGGAGTATTTTCCTATTTAAATCTCGGCGTTATGATCCAGAACTTTGTTGACCTATAGCATTCCCCAATTCTTGGAATGACAATCCCTTTCATTTTTCTGTTGTCTGCTACCTCTGCTTTGCATTTCTATTTTTGAATTTCAGAATGGCTATCCTTTTATCAGGAGGAAGCATTGTTCTTATGGGTTGTCTCTTTTCCTGCTAATTCTTACTGTCAGTTTTTCTCCATAAGGAAGAAGGACATGTAGTTTATAATTCTCAGATCAGAGGACACCTAGGATTGGAAAAATGAGATACTGCTACTTACTAGTTAAAAATAGATTTGTTAGTCGAGATCTTTCTTATTCTGTCCTACAGAAATGAATACTATTCACTCCTAGCTCCTATACCTGTATCACAAGATGTAAAAGACAGAAAGGCAGGCTCACATAGACACCAGCACTTTAGTTATTAGTGGAATACACAGTTTCTTTCCCCAATGTGGGCATAGCCTTCTTAAGAAATTATGTGCTTTTTTTAAACCAGTACCTTCAAAAATAACCAACCTTTATTTAAAATATGTTAAAATAACTAATTGTCCCTTTTGCTAATTACGGTAGAAATAAGAATCATCCTGTCTTTGCCACTCTTGGCCCCACATTGCTTTTTCTCTTTTTACTTTTAGATAAATTGCAAAGACCAGGCTGCTTAGTGCTGAAGACCTGGCTATTGGTGCATATTAGATAAGACAAAGCCTTCAACAACATCATGGGTGTGGGAATTCTGATCACTTCACGGTACAATTAGCTTTCCTGTTATTTGGCCAGACTGCTCACCCCATGCATTTTTGTCTGTTGGAAACAAAGAGAACTGGGCAAGGAAATGCACTGATGGCGCAGGACCAGTCTCTTGGTCGAGGGACTGAATGAACAACACAGGTATATATTTTACTGGCAGTAAAGATAACAATATATCCCTACGATTGAGATAGCTCTAAGTTACAGTGCTTTTTTCACGTGCTATTTCATTTCAGCTTCAAATAAAACCATGAGATAGATGGGGTGAGGTGTCCCCCCTCACTCTTCCAAAGAACAACTAAGCCCCCAGAAACAAGTCTATTGCTGTATATTAAAAATAGAAGCAGCAAATATTTAAATCATGGAAAAGAGCCAGGATTCAAACCCAGGCAGTCTGGCTCGAGAGTCTGGGCTACCGACCTCCACACTGTCCCCCATCTCATCAAGGCAGCTGTCTTCTGGACACATAGCACAGGCATCCATGCATTGCAGACCAGCTGAGCACCCATGTGGAAACAGCACTGAAGCTGCAATATTTCAAAATCACAGCAGAGCCCTTTGCTGACATGAAATAAAAATATCCAGGTGATGGGCTTTACTATTCTCCCACCTCTTGTTATTTCCTCCTGCCTTTTCTCATGGCTTTTCACATTAGAAGCCAAGAATAATGAATGTAAGGTGAAGGGGGGAAGGAGAATAAACAACAACAAAGTAACCCCAAGAAGCCCTTTTAAAACAAACTTGCTGGCACGTGTATGGATGAGCATTCTCACTCCTGCAAAAGGACAAGTTTCCCATCCTGTGCACCTGGAACACAGAAGCGGCATAGAGTAGTGGCTGAAAGCTTAGTTAGGCTCTGGAGCCAGGCTACTTAGGGTTCAAGTTTTAACTGGGCAGCTTTAGACAATTCATAACTTCTCTGTATCTTATTTTCATTCCCTATAAAAGGAGATGATAACAATAGTACTACTAGTTTACTGTAAAATAAAGTGAGCCAATACATGTAGAACGTTTAGAATAGAAGCTGACTCCCAGTAAATAAATGCTCAATATGTGTTTGATGTTGTTTTACATAATGAGATAACATATATAAAAGGCCAGACCCATAGTAGGTGCCCAATAAATATTAGCTACCTTCTATTTTCTATGGCTTTGATCACTAGAAAGACTCACATTCTTTGAAAAGTATGTGCCTTATGTCAGTCACCTTGATGCTAGCATAAACAGATAGTTATTACATTTTGGAGGGTTCAGCCAGTTTCTTCATCTTTTTTTTAAAACTCTTGTTCAGAAGTTTTCCTTCATCCTTTCCAAATGTCATTTTCCTGCTTAGCAAACATAATTAACTGCTGCCTCTGCCAAATCATTTTACTCACCTTAACTGTTTCATCAGAGTTTTACCAAGTAACACCTATTAAATCAGGTAGTGTTTTTGCTAATGTATTTCTCATCTCTATGTGGTCACAATAGGAAGTCATGTCTCTAAGTTTTAATTTCTCTCATCTCAAAGGACATTTCTCTAAATGATAAACTCATTTTCTCCACAAGGCTATAAATTCCACAAGTACATGGATATTCAAAGCTATCTCCCCACCGCCTGGCAAAATGCTTAGAACATAAATATTTATTGAAGAAATCAGTGAATGCTGAAGAAATGAATAAAGTATAAAAAGAAGTATTTTCCCCCTAATGAACTCGAACCTAATTAAGAGATGTCTGAAATTAATCAGAATATTAGCTGCCTTTTACTTTTAAAAGAATAAATTAATTTTAGATACCTAAACTAATATTATGGGTTTATTTTAATGCAGTTATGACAGTTTTCAGACAGTGTCCTGAAATAACACATTTATCTCAATCTCCTAGGACTTCAATGGCTATGCAATACACAAGAAGACTGATATTAAGAACATGCCAAAATTGAGGTACCACTGAGTTTCACCCCCTCAGGATCACCATGGCATTACAATATAGAGCAGGTCATTGGTCCTCAAATTTACTGTTCCCGCTGCCTAGAGCTTTTACCTAGATGCTGGAATGGCTTGTTCCCTCAATACCTTTGAGTCTCTGTTTAAATATTACCTTTTCAGAGAGTCATTCTCTGATTATTCTGTCTAAAATAAGTTGCTTCCCTCCTCATCATTCTGTATTTTCTTTTTCTACTTTATTTTTTTAACTTCCTTTTTTTTTTTTTTGAGATGGAGTTTTGCTCTTGTTGCCCAGGCTGGAGTGCAATGGCACTATCTTGGCTCACTGCAACCTCTGCCTCCCAGGTTCAAGTGATTCTCCTGCCTCAACCTCCTGAGTAGCTGGGATTATAGGCTCCCGCCACCACACCCAGCTAATTTTTTTGTATTTTTAATAGAGACGGGGTTTCACTGTGTTGGCCAGGCTGATCTCATACTCTTGACCTCAGGCGATCCACCCGCCTCAGCCTCCCAAAGTGCTGGGATTATAGGCGTGAGCCACTGCACCCAGCTTAACTTTTTAAAGTAGGCTTATTGAGGTATCATTAACCTACAACAAACGGCATATATTTAAAGTGTACCCTTTTTGATACTTGAGAAATGTATACACACCTGTGAAACCATCACCACAATCAAGAAAAGGAATATATTCATCAGCCCCAAAAGTTTCCTTTTGCCCCTTTGTAATCCTACCAATCTTGTCATATCCCCAAGGAGCCATTGATCTGTTTTCTGTCACTATATTTAAGTTTATACTCTCTAGAACTTTATATAAATGGAATCATACAGAATGTATTCTTTTGGTCTGGTTTCTTTCACTGTGCAAAATGATTTTGACATGCATCCATGTCTTGTGTGTATGAACTATCCATTCCTTTTTATTGCTGAGTAATATTCAGTTGTATAGATATGCCACAATTTGTTTATCCATTCATCTGTTGATGGACTTTTAGGAT
Organism: Homo sapiens; assembly: GCF_000001405.40. Taxonomy (NCBI): domain Eukaryota; kingdom Metazoa; phylum Chordata; class Mammalia; order Primates; family Hominidae; genus Homo; species Homo sapiens. Next base: position 99,167,791 of record NC_000012.12, on the reverse strand, counting down.
GTTTCTAGTTGTTGGCTATTACAAATAAAGCTGCTGTAAACATGCCTATACAAGTCTCTGTATGGCATATGTTTTTATTTCTTTTGGGTAAATATTCAGCAGTAAAATGGCTGGGTCATCTAGTGGATGTATATTTGGCTTTTTAAGAAACCATCAAACTTTTCCAAAGTGGTTGTAACATTTTCTATTCTCACCAGCAGGGAATGAGAGTTTCTCTTAATTCGCATCATTTGGCAATGATTTTAGACATTCTAACAAGTGGTATCTAATTGTCATTTTCATTTGCATTTTCCTAATGGCTAGTGATGTTGAGCCTCTTTTCAAATGCTTGTTTCCCTTCCATATACCTTCTCTGATTCTGTTCAAATCTTTTGCTCATTTTTAAAAATTGATTTATTTTCTTAATACTGAGTTTTGAGAGTTCTTTATATATTCTGGATATACATTTGTTATCACATGATTCACAAATGTTTTCTTCTAATCAGCATTTTGTTTTTCATTCTCTTAATATTGTCTTTCAAAGGGAAGAGTCTGAAAATTTTAGTTGTTTATCATTTTTTTCTTTTATAATTGTACTTCTGGTGCCTACTGTAAGGTTAAGACTTTCCCTAAGTTTTTTTCTAAGTTTTCTTCTAGAAATTTTGTAGTTTTAGATTGTATGGGTAGGCCTATGATACAGTTTGAGATAATTTTTATATATGATGAAAGATATGGATTAAATTTTTTTTGGCATATAGGTATTCTATTTTCCCAGAATAATTCATTAAAAGTCTCTCCTTTCTTTACAGAACTGATTTTTCACCTTTGTCAAAACTCAGTTGACCCTCTGTGTGTCACACTATTCCTGAAACCACTATTTTGTTTCATTGATCTGTTTGTCTATCTTGACCCCAATATCCTAATATGTGGATAACCATGTCTTTATAATAAGTGTTAAAGTCAGGTAGTATACCTTTGTCAACTTTGTTCTTTTTTTCGAAGTTGTTTTGGTTATTCTGGGTCATTTGCACTTCATATGAAATTTAGAAAAATCTTGACAATTTCTACCAAACAAAGCACCTGCTGGGATTTTGATTAGGATTAAATTGAATGTATAGATATATTTGGGAAGAACAGATATGTTAACAATGTTGACTGTGCCAATTCATTAACATAGTATATCTTTCCATTTATTTAGGTCCTGTATGATTTTTCCCAGCAATATTTAATTGGTCTTGACACATCTTTTGACAGTTTTATTCCTTAGAATTTCATAGTTTTGGTGCTGTTGTAAATTATGTTGGTTTTTATTTCAAATTCCAATTGTTTATTGTTAGTGTAGGGAAATACAATTGATGTTTGTATATTGATCTTATATCCTGCAACTCTGCTAAACTCACTTATTATTTCTTGTAGTTTTTATGTAGGTCTCACAGGATTTTATACATAGAAAATCATGTCATGTGGGAATAGAAGCAAGAAGCAGTTCTACTGCTTCCTTTCCAATATGAATGCATTTTATTTCTTTTTTGTAACTTACTGCACCAGCTAGAACCTCCAGTACAATGTTGGGTAGAAGTGTTGAGAATGGACATCCTTGCTTTGTTTCTAAACTTAACAGAAAAGCATTCAGTCTTTCACAATCTAGTATGGTACTAACTGTAGGTTGTGTATAAATGCCTTTTTATCAGGATTAAGAAATTTCTTTCTATTTTGCTGAGAGTTTTTATCATAAGTAGATGCTGGATTTTGTCAAATGATTTCTTGCATCTGCGGAGAGGATTATATGGTTTTTCTTTATTAGTTAATCTGATGAATCACATTAATTGATTCTCCCATGTTTAAGAGACCTTGCATTATTGGGGTAAACTTCACTTAGTCATATTGTATCATCCTGTATATATTGTTGGATACTATTTGCCAAAATTTTGTTAAGAATTTTTACATCTATGTTTATGACAGACACTAATACATATAGTTTTCTTTTCTCATAATGTCTTGATCTGATTTTGGTATCAAAATAATGCTGGCTTCATAGAATAAGTTGGCAAGTATTCTCTCTCCTCAACTTTCTGGAAGAGTTTGTGTAGAATTGCTATTATTTCTTTCACTATATGTTTGGTAGAATTTAACACTAGAGCCATTGAGGCCTGGAGTTTTGTTTTGTTTTGTATAAAGATTTTAACTGCAAATACAATTACTTCAATAGGTAGAGAGCTAGTCAGTTATGAACTTTTCTTCATGAGTGAGGTTTGGTACCTTGCTTCTCTTAATGAATTTGTCATTTCATCTAAGTTGCTGAATTTACTGATACTAACAGTTATTCATAACATTTCTTTATTCTTTTTATATCCATAAAAACTCTTTTGCTGTCACTTCTCTCATTCCCGGTATTGATTACTTCTTTATTCTCCTTTACTTCCTGGTCAGCCTGAATAGAGATTTACCAGTTGGACTAATCATCTCAAAAAACAGCTTTTGGTTTCATTGATTTTTCTCTATTGATCTTTTGTTTCATTTATTTCCCCTCTGATCTTTATTTCCTTACTTCTGCTTATTTTTGTTGGAGTTATCTTTCTTCTTACTTTCATTTCTTAAAGTGAATTCTGAGATAAATGATTTGAAATTCTTGTCATTTCTAAGGTAGACATTGTTCCTTACTAGTATAGTGGTGAGTATTTCTGCCTGTCTAATATAGGCATTTAGTGCTATACATTTATCTCCAAGTACCATTTTACCTGCATCTCACAAATTGTGATTCACTCTGCTTTTATGATTAATCAGTTTAAAATATTTTCTGAATATATGAGAAACTATTCTAACTAAACTACAAACAAATGGAAACAGAAACCTCAAGATTAAGATGGTTATAAGGATATGAAATAGTGGTGACCAATGAATCTTTACAATAATTAAATCTAAACTGAAATGTATAAACCAACTGGGAGTGTGCAACATAAATATTAAATAAAGACTCTTTAAATAGGAGGAATATACTGTGAGGAAATTCTAGTAATTGACTAGGAAAATGTTTACTAAATGATTATCAGCAAAACCTAGGAACTGGTTGGGAATAAGGCAGATGGGTAAAGGAAAAGCATTCCAGAGATCACATGTGGTTGTAGGAAAAAGAGAACGAAGAAAGGAAAACATTCTGAGGGTCTAATTTTACTGGAGTATGAAGGATATAGAGCGTTTTTGAGAGGGAAATAATTGGTAACTTATTTTCAAATAATCATAGAAAAGTATATATCTGATCATTAGAGCAGGGAAAAATAAAGTAACCTTGAAAGGAATAGAGAAGTATCTCAGAGTCACAAAGTTAAAAAGAGAAAAATAGAATGAATAAGAATGTTACCAGAGTACCAAAAATGAAGAAAAGGAAAATGAGGAAACAACAATGTAAATAAATAAGAACATAAGATGGAATGGATAAAATCAAGCATGATTGTCATTACTCCAAATTGTATTTGCCCATTAAAATGTAAGCCATTAGAGATTGTATTTTAAAACTTCAGATTAAAATATTACAGCTCTGGGCTATTTATGAGACACATTTTTAAATGCTCATTTTTTAAAGTTAAAAATAATGGGATAGACACCAAAAACATGATCCATAAAAAAATTGATAAAAAGTCCAACAAATTCCTAGTATCTAGACTATGTAAAGAATTCTCAAAACTCAACAGTAGAAAAACAATCCAATGAAGAAAACAGCAAAAGACATGAACAGACGTTTTAACAAAAAGATACAGGCAATAAGATTTTGTTCAACATAGTAAGCCATGAGGGAAATACAAATTAAAACCGCAAGGAAATATTAGTACATACCTATCAGAATGACTACATAAAAAAATTGACAACACCAAATGCTAGTGAAGATGCAAAGAAACTGCATCATTTGTATACTATTAATGGGAATGTAAAATGGTACAGCCACTCTGGAAGAGAATGGGTAAATGGTGCGGTACATCCATATCATGGAATACTACTCAGAAATGAAAAAATAAGCTACTGACACACTGAATAATTTGTATGGATTTCAGAGGAATTCTGCTGAATGAAAAATCCCAATTCCAAAATGTTACATAATATATGATTTTATTCATGTAACATTCTTGAAATGATAAAATGATAGAGATGGACACAGATCAGTAGTTGCCAGGGGTCAAAAAATGGGAAAGGGAGGAAGAAGGCTATGGCCATAAAAAAAAGTTCCAGGAGGGATTCTTATGATGGTGCTGTCGGTGTCTCGACTGTGATGATGGCCACGTGGTCTGCACGTGTGATAAAATTGTACAGAACTAAACACACACACACACACACACACACACACACACACACAGAGTGCATGTAAAACACAGGACATATAAACAGGGTCAGTGGATTTTTTTCAGTGCCAATGACCTGGCTGTGATATTGTGATACTGTGCTAAAGTCATACAGGATGTCACAACTGGAGAAAACTGAAGAAAATCTATCCAGAATCACTCTCTCTATCATTTCATGCAAATTGACAATTATTTCAAAATAAAAATCTTTAAAAAAAGAAAATAAAAGGATGTATATCAGGCAAAGATATCCTAGAGATATCAGGCAAAGAACTGAATAAACTGTGGTTTATCCACATTATGAACTATTATGTAGTTATTTTTAAAAAGTTGAAAATAACTAAAAATAACTATTTTAACTTTTTACAAATAACCAACAAATAATAAATTAAAACTCATTTACTTAGTAGAATTTTTTTTTTTTTTGACAGAGTCTCGCTCTGTCGCCCAGGCTGGAGTGCAGTGGCACAATCTTGGCTCACTGCAACCTCCACCTCCTGGGTTCAAGTGATTCTTCTCCCTCAGCCTCCAGAGTAGCTGGGACTACAGGTGCCTGCCACCATGTCCGGCTAATTTTTGTATTTGTAGTAGAGACGAGGTTTTACCATATTGGCCAGGCTGGTCTCAAACTCCTGACCTTGTGATCCACCTGCCTCGGCCTCCCAGAGTGCTGAGATTAGGCGTGAGCCACCACGCCCGGCCAGTAGAATTTTTATAAGATGTTAAATGAGCAAACTAAGGTTCAGAAAAGTGAGTGGTATAATTTCATTTTGATGAAACCATGCCAAAAATACTCTCCCATATACGTATATATCCGAACATATCTGCCTTTGTGTGTGTGTGTGTGTTATTTGAAAATGGGTAAATATATATGAATATACATACCAGTTTATTAACATGAATAACCTTGCAGGGAGGATGGATGATGCAGATTGCAGGACAAGAATGGAGGAAGGGGTAACCAAGAAAACTAAAGAAGAAAAAAAACCCAGAGCACTAAAACTACCAATATATATTAAACAACCCCAATGTTTTATATACAATTATGTATGTGCATTTTGTTCTTGTAAATTTAAAGAAATTTTAAGATTTGTTTTTATTATTTTATATCATCATTCAATAATTTTAAATCTACTGATATACTATATAAATACATATATATAATTTAAGTAACTGATTTAAAAGGTACAATTCAGTTGTTTTTAGTGTAGTCACAGAGTTGTGCAACCATCATCACAATTTTAAAACATTTTCGTCACTCTAAAAAGAAACCCTAAATCCATTAATAGTCACTTTCCACAGTTCACTTCTCCAGCCCTAGGAAACCCCTAATCTACATTCTGTCTCTATAGATTTGTCTATTCTTGACCTTTTATTTAAACAGAATTATACAATATATGGTCTTTTATAACTAGCTTTTTTTTTTCACTTGGCATGATGTTTTCAAGGTTCATGCAATTTGCAGCATATATCAGCACTTCATTTATTTTTATTGTCAAGTAATAGTCAATAGTATGGATGCATCACGTTGTATTTATCCTCTCAAGGGTGTAGCCTTGGCCATCTGCACAGTTTTGGGATGGCAGTGGTTATAGCAGGGCTCTCTTTGTCTCTTTTCCTAATCTTTCTGTTGTCTATCTCATTTGATATCACATCCAGATATTAGACTCCAGTAATTGCCTGCTGATTGCTCTATTGTTTTTGACAATCCGTCAGCTATAAATTGCTCCAGAGTCTGCTCCAATTAAATTTGAGAAGGAGGAATTTTTGAAGCTAGTATTTGAAGTTTCTTTTGACCTCAACAGGGCTCTTCATAACTGTCTTTCTCTGTTTCTTTAAAACTAGCTAACCTACCATTTAGCTTATTTCCCTACTGTAGCTATTAGCCACTTTTTGATTGTTTGTCACCAGAATATCTCCACTGGGTTTTGGGGGGGATTTTTTTGTTTTGGTTTGGTTTGTTTTTTTACAGACAGGGTCTTGCTCTGTTACCCAGGATGGAGTGCAGTGGTGCAATCATAGCTCACTGCAGCCTTGGGGTCCTCCCATCTCAGCCTCCCGAGTAGCTGGGATGATAGGCACATGCCATCATCTCTGGCTACTTTTTAATTGTTCGTAGAGATAGAGGGCTTGCTATGTTGCCCAAGCTGGTCTCAAACTCAAGTGATCCTCTCACCTCAGCCTCCCAAATTGCTGGGATTACAGGAATGAGCCACTGTGTAACCTCCATTGATTTTGATAACACGTTTAGGCTTAAACTTCCGCACACTCTGTGTCAAATAACCTCAGTTTCACAAAAAAATGGAAAAACATTCTGTGCTCATGGATTGAAAGAATCAATATGGTTAAAATGGCCATACTTCCCAAAGCAATCTACAGATTCAGTGCTATTCCTATCAAACTACCATTTTCACAGAACTAGAAAAAACTTTTCTAAAATTCATGTTGAACCAAAAAGATCCTGAATAGCCAAAGCAATCCTAAACAAAAAGAACAAAGCCAGAGGCATCGCATTCCCTGACTTCAAACTATGCTATAAGGCTACAATAAACAAAATAGCATGGTACTGGTACAAACACAGATGCATAGACCTATGGAAGAGAATAGAGGACCCAGATATAAAGCCGCACACCTACAGCCACCTGATATTTGACAAATCAACAAAAATAAGCAATGAGGAAAGGACTCCCTATGCAACAAATTATGCTGGGATAGCTGGCTTGCGATATGCAGAAGAATGAAACTGGACCCCTACCTTTGACCATATACAAAACTTACCTCAAGATGGATTCAAGATTTAAAGTAAGACCTCAAACTATAAGAATCCTAGAAGAGGCTGGGCGTGGTGGCTCATGCCTGTAATCCCAGCACTTTGGGAGGCCGAGGCAGGCAGATCATGAGGTCAGGAGATCGAGACCATCCTGGCTAACATGGTGAAACCCCATCTCTACTAAAAATACAAAAAAAAAAAAAAAAATAGCCTGGTGTGGTGGTGGGTGCCTGTAGTTCCAGCTACTCGGGAGGCTGAGGTAGGAGAATGGCATGAACCCAGGAGGCGGAGATTGCAGTGAGCTGAGATAGCACCACTGCACTCCAGCGTGGGTGACAGAGCAAGACTCCATCTCAAAAAAAAAAAGAATCCTAGAAGAAAACCTAGAAAACACCATTCTGGACATCAGCCTTAGGGAAGAATTTATGACTAAATCCTCAAAAGCAATTGCAACAAAAACAAAAATTGATAAGTGGGACCTAATTAAATTAAAGAGCTTCTGCACAGCAAAAGAAATTATCAACAGAGTAAAAAGATAACCTACAGAATGGGAGAAAATATTTACAAACTATGCTTCCAACAAACATCTAATATCCAGAATCTATAAGGAACTTAAACAATTGAACAAATAAAAATAAATAACCACATTAAAAATGGGCAAAAGACATGAACAGACACTTCGCAAAAGAAGACATACAAGTGGCCAACAAACATACGAAACAATGCTTAACGTCACTGATCATCGGAGAAGTGCAAATCAAAACCACAATGAGATACCATTTCTCACCAGTCAGAATGGCTATTACTAAGAGGCATAATAATAGCTGCTGGTGAGGCTACAGAAGAAAGGGACACTTATACACTGTTGATGGGAATGTCACTTAGTTCAGACTCTGTGGAAAGCAGTTTGGAGATTTCTCAAAGAACTTAAAACAAACTACCATTTGACCCAGCAGTCCCATTACTGGGTCTATATCCAAAAGAAAATAAATCATTCTACCAAAAAGGTATCTGTGCTCATATGTTCATCGCAGCACTATTCACAATAACAAAGACACGGCATCAACCTGAGTACTCATCAATGGTGAATTGGGTAAAGAAAACATGGTACATATATACCATTGAATACTATGCATCCATAAAAAAAGAAAAAAAATTATATCCTTTGCAGCAACATAGATGCAGCTGGAGACCATTATTCTAAGGAAATTAATGCAGGAACAGAAAACCAAGTACTGTATGTTCTCACTTATAAGTGGGAGCTAAATATTGGGTATTCATGGGCATGAAGAAGACATCAATAGAAAGTGGGGACTACTGGAGTAGGGAAGGATGGAGGGGGACAATGTATGAAAAACTAACTATTGGGTACTGTGCTGAGTACCTGGTGACGGGATCATTCATGCCCCAAACCTTAACATCACACAATATACGCACGTGGCAAACCTGAACATATACTCCCTAAATCCAAAACAAAAATTGAAAACAAACAAATAAGTCAACCTCTTGGGGGAAAGCTTTAGAGCTTTTTGTTCTTATAAACTGACTCTCCCTTTAAGCAAAATCGTTGAGCCACTCTTCCAGGCATGGGGCAAGAATGATAGCCTCTGGTCTTCCTAGTTTACCTTTCTGGGCATGGAACCTCTACCCTATATGTAAGCAGTCGAGGGCAGTGAAGATCCCAGTATTTTTGGCCTGACCCAGCTGGGATGAACTTTCTATTCTATGAATGGGGTCTGGGTGGAAGAAAGGAGCCCCTGACCTCTCAGCCACACTCACCAGGAATTGAACCTCTACAGCTTAGATTTAGAGGAAATTGGAAATGCTGGCCTGCTCCTTTTGATGAGATCCCATGCCGCTTGGTTGGGATTTGAGGAGAAGGGGAGCCCTTTCTCTTGGACACATCCATCCAAAGTGGAGCATCTATGGAGATGAGTTGCAGGGAAGGAGGGGCCAGAGGGAGCTATGGCTCAAGTGCTACAGAATCTCAGAATCTGTTTTTACCAAGTTTTAGTGTCTGTCTTTGGAATAAACATTTTTACATTATATGCTCTTAGGACACTTTGCAAAGACTTTGATGGTTGGTTTTTGTTGGCATTGTTTTTGGTTTCTGATTGTGTAGGGTTTTTTGATTGTTTGTTTATAATTTTCAAGTTAAGTTTTTTGACTGGGGCTTGGACCTGTGGAGCTCCTCACACTGCCATTATGGGAGTAAAACCCCTAGAATTATTATTTTTTAAAAGACTATGACAAAGAAAATTCCTGTTTTCACCACATACTCTGAGCTTCAGTTTCCTTACGGTAAATCAGGATAATAATTCACACCACACTGCCTAGGACATGGTAGCCCAGAATAATGGTCAGTTTCTTCTTTCCCTCCTCTTGTCTCACTTTTGGAACTTAAAGACATTCTAGTTGAATAAAAGTTCCTGCCTAATTAGTGTGTTGTTATGCTTTAAGAATTTTAAGACTCCATAAAAGTATTTTAGGTAAAGAGAGTAATATATTTAAGCACTGTTACAGAGTGATCTTCAGACCTGAACCAAGATTCTTTTAGAGATTTGACTCATGAGAAAATACTTCAACAAAACCGCAAACAAACAACATGACTCAGGGTCTTCTTTTTTTTCCTTCTTCCCTCTCTTTTATACCTTCCTCACCCCATCCTCTCCCAGCTCACTTCCTCCATATATTATAACATTTTGTCAACATGTAAAAATTATTGAATAAAAATTGAAGGATTGAATACCTAAAAGAATAAAATTCAGGCAGTCTATATAAATTTTGTAAAGTAGTTCATAACCAGTATTTTCTCTGAGTTGTGTTCTTATATAGCAGTCTGAACCTTGAAATAATCCCCACCACAAATATACTGTCTTTTGTAATATATAATTTTATTTATTTTTATTGCTCTAAGAGGTACAAGTGCAGATTTGTTACATGGATATATCCAAAGTGGTGAGGTCTGGGCTTTTAGTGTACCCACCACCCAAATAGTGTACACTGTACCCATTATGTAATCTCCCATCCCTCACTCTTCTCCCACCCTCCCCCTTTCTGAGTCTCCAGTGTCTATTAGTCCACTCTCTATGTTTTGTGCACACACACATTTTTTCTTCCCTCTCCCTCTTTCCCTCTCTCTGTACTAAGAAATGAGAATCTCAAGAAAGGCATTTCCAATATCATTTATTCATTTAGTTACTCAGGCATTTATTTAACAAAGTTTATTTAATAAGCAGGATGTGTATCGTGCTCTGCCAGGTACTTGGCCCCTGGTTTGCATTTTAACAGATGAAACAGGTTTGAAGAGCTGGCCAATCAGCATGTGCCTTGCCAAGCCAAAGTGTCATTGTCGTGTTTGCTCAATTTCCATGTAGTATATTCAACTATTTATAATTCAAAATGACCAGGTGAAGCACTGTGGCTGTGATCCTAGGAGAAGCTATAATTGAGACTTTCCTTTTCTTCCACCTTGTAACAGCTTTAGAGCTGGCCAGGGACAAATAGTATCTTGTTTTTAGCTTCTCCTATAGGTAATGTTGAGCAACTAGAATCTATTAAAATTGATTCATAAACTACTACAAACTCTTTGATGTTATTAAAAGATCCAGGACCAATCAGCAACAAAATATAATCAAGTACTATGCAGTCCACCCAGGGCTGCTTATTCAAAAAGTGGATGAGGATGATGAGCTAAAAGACAGACATGAAAAAATCTGTTTAAAAAACAAGTTATCTTATTTTAAATAAATAATTTAGAGACTTGGGATAGAGTTAAAACTTTTTTTAAATTTGAAAATAGAATTTTTTGTACTTTGGATCATGAAATTACATTATTTTGTTTAGCAGGTATGTACTGAATCTTTACTATGTGAAATATTAGCAAAGCATATTGCCTGCTTTCAAAAAATAAGTCAGACACAAACAACTAAAATTGAAGGCAGAAAATATCTGTTACAATAGAGGGTCTAAAAATGCCATTTAAGACAGAGAAGAAAGAGATTTATTCGTGGTAGAGAAGATTAGAAGAGGTTTCATAATGGAAATAGCAACTGATTCAAAGCCAACAAATGGACAGAAATGTGGGGACATAATAAAACCAACCAAAGCCCATTATGGGCTGCCTTTAGAGACCAGCAAGTAATCCTGCCTGTCTGGGGCAGTGGAAAAGTGGAAATAAAGTTAGATGAACTGCAGTCAATCATGAAGACCCCAAAATGTCATCAGAGGAGTTGGGAGTTGATTTTGAAGACAACAGAAAACCACAGAAGGGTTTTGAGACAGGGAGTAGTAATCAAAACTGTGTCTTAAAGGGATTATTCTGACACCATGCATAAAATTGATTTTTTAAATATTAGAGGTAGAAAGATCAATATAGAAGTCGTTGTTTCACTAGGCTAGGTGGGCCTGAACTATGAGAACAAAATCAATGTAGGTGGCAGTTCTGTAAACTTAAAACAGGAAATAGAATCAAGGGAATGGATCACACTGGGAAGAGGGATGATAGAATTTGGGGACTGATTTCAGTAGTGAAAGAGGAGTAGAAGATGTTTTGAGGTTTAATGTCTGTGTGCCAGGAAAGTTGACAATGCCCTTAAAAAGAGAAAGGAAACAGAGAAAGATGAGGTTTGAGGAAAAAAGAAAAGCGATGTTTCATTTATTCAATAAATTTGTATTAGGCACTTACTATGTGCCAGGCGGCTGCTCTGGGGGGATGAGAGAGTTATCTTTAAATTTTAAAGCTCTTTATGTGGAAGAGGCACTGTTCTCAATCTGTGCTTCTCCGAAGGCAGAGCTGGAGCAGTGAGTAGAAGCAAGGTAGGAAGTGAAATATCTTTCTAATAAATTGAGGCTTCGTGAGAAGTAGTAAGAGCTCTGTTACAGGCAGTATTCAAGTAGAAGTTGGAAGATATTCCTCTAGGAACATTTTAGCCAGGGATGCCTACGTTAGGAAGAAGGTTAGACTAACCTTTCTGCAAGTTCTCTCCCAATCTTAAGAGTCTGTTTCTTCTGATGATCTAGTCCTGTGGGTTCTATTCTTAATCCCTGGTTTCTCCCAATTATTAAATAAATTACTCAGTCTATCTGCCATTCAGTAAAACTCACACATTTACATCTGTTATTCTTGAATTATTTTGGGTTAGGGCTCATCTTCTTTATTAAAAAAAAAATCTATCCAGTTAATGTTACCTTTATAGCTAATTTAGAATGGTAACCCTGGTAGATTGGGTTATAAATATCAGAGGGGAAAAAGGATTTCTTGTGCCTAATAATACTTTTGTTTGGAAGAAACCATGCAAACAAGAAATAAATTATCTTGACTTCAAGATTGCGATGCAGTTTCTGTATTTTGCAGTATTTCAAAAAAGAAAAAAATATATATCTCGGAGAGGCTTATTTTGCTATAGCATGGTAAAGAAACAGAATAATTATTCTCCAAACACTGCAAAGCTTCAGATCAGAAACGTTTATCTGTGCTCCATTTAAAAAGGAAGAAGAAAAGACAGGAAAGAAAGGAAAAGGAGAAAGGGAACCTGTCGTGAGCTCTGTTATAAGCTATAGTTCAAGCTTCGCATTTCCTGGTGTCTTTTGAAACGTAAAATTCCACAACAAATAGCTCTGTAACGTATAACCAGTATGAAGATTCAATTCAGATTTAAGCACTTTGGTTTGCTTTTGAATCTTGCTATTTTCTGCATTTGTTTTGACTGCTCTCATCATTCAAGATTGACGCTTGGATGGGTGTGTAGGAGGAAGCAGCAGCAGCAGGCTTACAGCTTGCAGACAAAAAAAATCTGCCTTATCTGATGGCTATTATTGAAAATGCGAGGTGTAGCCTGGGCTGGGTAATGAAGGGGAGCGAGCGAGGGGGAGCAAGGAGCATGGAGCTGCATACTGATGAGTGTAGGAGTACTTGATAAAAAAGAATTCTGGCTGCCGGCCGTGCATTGCTCATTGTGGAGTACTCCAACAATCACATAGAACGCAGACCAGCCCAAGCTGACAGCTTGATATGCCTTCTTCTGCTGCCTGGTTTTGGGGGCTGTATGACGTACTGGTCGGTAGTAAAGATTAATATGTAAGAAATGTGGAGCTAGGATCAAGTCATACTCCACAGCCTGCCTGGCAAACTATGTTTTACTTCTGACTTTGCTCTCTCGCTGAGAACATTAATCTGTCAAGCTGGCGGGCTCCTTTGATAGCAACTTTCCCAGGGGCATGATGTGGCAATGCCACCTCTCAGCCCAGGACTACCGCTATTACCCCGTGGACGGCTACTCCCTGCTTAAACGCTTCCCTCTTCATCCTCTTACAGGACCCAGATGCCCTGTCCAAACAGTGGGACAATGGTTGGAAAGCATTGGGCTACCTCAGTACGAGAACCACCTGATGGCTAATGGATTTGACAATGTGCAGTTTATGGTAAGAAGCTCTCTGTGTCCACGGAGCTGCCTTTTGTCTGTCTTTGCTTCTTATGTGTCTTACATGGCTCAGAGGCAGCCTGATTTGCACCAAAACTGGTCAGATTTATATATGTAACTGCATTGGAAAATTGGATGCCCTTAGGACTGAACTTGCTGTGTACATATAGACTCTTGCTAAAAAATGAGATCTGTATGTATCCATATACATATGTGTTATATGAATGAACTGGTGAGAGTGCTATTTATAGGCAGTGAAAGAAGATTAATATTGATATTCTCCCTGTCATTCTTGGTATGATTTTTTAAATAAATTTGTAATCTTAGAATACTCGGATTATATCACTCTTCAGCTAATTCTTGATTCTTATATTATTTCACTTGAGCATCAGCATTTAGTGGTTAATGAGACAATTTGTTGTGTTTATGGTGTGAAGATCATTTCTTTTCCTGATAATTGTTCAATAAGCAGTTTAAATCATGTGGACAACCTTCAGTTCATTAGCAAACTGCTTCAGATGGTCAATTATGGAGAGCGTTTACTTCCACTTGCTGATTGAAGAGCGATGAAGTATTGTTTATTACTTTAGGTGGAAAATAAACACTTTGGTCATTTAGCTGTCAATATTTAGAAAGAAAGGTTGGTGGAGTAAGTATAGTCATGTACTTCTGAATTCTGGTCTACATGCAATCTAAACCTGGCATGTGCTAACTTTCCACCGTTTTGCATATAGGTGAGGAAGGAGGATGGGGAACTGTGCAAACCGACAATTCAGCTTTCTAATCATTCCCATACCTCCCCCAGTGCTCATCAGTTCCCCTTGTTAAGCTACGTCACAGCTCTATTACCTTTCCTTGCTTTTAAGTACCCATCACACATATCACTGATCCCTAAGTTTAGAGAGACCTACATAACACAGGCATGTAACACACAAATGACTTGTGGAAATAAGTAATAGCCCTGCCTAAATACAGTAATAGGGCTGACACCTGCAGCTTACTAGTACCAGAAATGATAACACAATAGTGACAGCTGATTAGATTTTTTAATTTCTATCTTAGATTATTTTTCTCTGAGGTTGACTTGAATATTATAGATTTGAAGATTATTAACATTATTCAACTTCTGCTCCTTCTCCAAAAGTATGTATGCCCAAGAGTTTTTAAAAATAAAAAAGACATAAATATAGTAAGATATATGAGCTCTAAGTAATTGCATGCACAGAATGCTTTATGAGTGATTTGTTGGTTTTTTTATACTGATATATGCAGCTACTGTTATTTTTCTTGTGTTTATCAAGTACTGTCACTGGTTATATAGACAAGATATTTGGGTATTGAAATGGAAAAAAGTGAAAGTTCTTCAATTGCTATGAAAGTCTTAGAACACTGGGCAGATTTAGGACAGACTTAGGACACTAAACAGATGGCATTAAGAATTAGAAGAACTATCAAACAGAATTGAAGTCTTTTTTTATTATTTATGTTTACTGTACATTTCAATATCTTAATTATTTCTCCCTATGTCTACTTGAAATAAGGGTTTCTCATTCCCAACCCTGAAACCCTTGTCCAAATTTATTCTGGTCCCATGAGAAGTTAGGTCTTTGGATTTCCTGGATCATTTGGCCAAGCTGAAAGACTTTAATTCAGCTTATTTTTCCTCTGAATGTTAAACACTTATGAGCAAATATAATACCTTTTTGAAAGCCTCGAACTGAAAGGTTAATCAAACAGGTTTCAAATAAGCATTCAAAGAGAGATCGTAAAAATTATTCATGAATGAATCATGTATAAGCACTTCAAAATTTATATGGAAGGCAAAATCCTGGATATACATGATGTAACCAAGGTCTAATCATAGATTATATTCTTTACTTGTTTAATTCAAAGTATTTGGTATAATTTTCTAGAAAATAAGAAAATATTATTAACTTAGATGGGCCAATCAAATACTTTCTTCATGAGACAGAATTATCTTTTAAAAAAACTTTGAATTGCCATTTAGAGGAGTTAATTAATTATGAAAATGAAGCAAATCATGAAGTGGTATAATCAATTAGTGCTTTACATGCTGTTATACACCATTTATTTGCTACTAGTATCATAAGCGATTAATTTCTACCTTTATAAAAATTATTTATTGATCTACATAATCTAATTTATGTAATTGCAAACTTAGTTAAACACATGAATATGATTGGCTTGCTCTAAGAAACATATTTCTTTAATGTGGTGAAAAATCTGTTAGACTTGCTTAGTCTCCACTCAGTATCATATTCTAGCTTTTGTTTTTCTTGAAGCACATTCTGACCTGCATTTATTCCTCCTGTTGCCTAAGCAACAAGCACCACACTCCTATTAACTATGATGTAGTGCATGTCTTATTAGTGTTTTTGAACAAGACAGTAGAAATCAAAAGGGTATAATTAATGTTGGTTGAAACATCATAGTGCATCCATGCATAGATGTACTTTATTTAGGAAATATTTTCAGGAGTTAATTTTTTATTCAATCAAGAATCCATTAATGAATGTGCATTTAAAGTGTCCATATAAGTCACTTAAAGTATTTATTGAAAGCTTTAAAAATTATTTGCTAAATCTGTTCTACATACATACTCTCACACATAAATGCAACACTTGGATGATTTATCTCCATAGCTATTATTATCTTTAATAAGGACTATTTTCACCAATGTCTAGATATGGTTAGAAAAGAAAGACCCCAGTTGTTTTTTGTTTTTGGTTTTTTTTTTTTTTGAGTGGGAGTCTCACTTTGTTACCCAGGCTGGAATGCAGTGGTGTGATCTCAGCCCCCTGCAGCCTCCATCTTTCCAGTTCAAGCGATTCTCCTGCTTCAGCCTCCCAAGTAGCTGGGATTACAGGTGTGCACCACCACACCCGGCTAATTTTTGTAATTTTAGTAGAGACAGGGTTTCACCATGTCGACCAGGCTGGTCTAGAACTCCTGATCTTAAATGATCCGCCTGCCTTGGCCTCCCAAAGTGCTGAGATTACAGGCATGAGCCACCACACCTGGCCCCCAATTGTTTTTAAATATTTGTCAATTATTGCTCCTCCTTCAGGCTGATATTTATCCTTGATTTTACTGATGTGTGATTTTTTCCCTGTATCTTAAAGACAAAATTTCAAACAACTTTTCCTTTGTGTATTTCATTTTGATTTTCAGTTTGGTTTGTAGAATAGTTGTGCACATAGTTTAGATCCTTCTGTGCCCTTAAAAATGTAAAATAAATAGAAATTTGTACAATCAATGAATAGTTTCAGAAGTACATCAGGTCACCTAAGACTTAAGGAGAGTCACATCTATGTTAAAACCAGAAGCCCCTTCACAACAGAATCTTTTGTCTGAAAATCTGCCCAGATCCCACCTTACCTGTTTATCCCCTCAGAAGTCAAATATCATCACCTCCCTCCTGCTTGGCAAAGCCTACCTGATACTCACTAACCTCTGGGAATGCTGCCATGCCTTCTGACATTTCACTCACTTCCCCTGAGTTTGCAACATAGAGAATGTGTCTAAGTTTCGACATTTTTTTTCACCAAGGAGTTTAGGTATGAAGTGATTACTATACAAAATGTGCATGCTTATTTATTTCCTTGTTATATTTGTCTCTACCATCATATTTATTTTTCAAAGTCTAATGACTGCTTCCTAAATTTTAAGTCCCAAAGAATCTATTCTTATCTTAATAACTTTGCTCATCTGTATTCTCTACCCGCTCCTCCTGGACAGACATTTCCTTTCCTTCCCTGCTGTCTTTTATCCTCAAAGGTATAACTCAATTCTTGCCTAGTTTAGGTAGCTTTCTTTAATGGCTGCAGTACAGAACAGGCTCTTTTCTCCTGAACTCACGCAGTGGTTACATTTGACATGAAAAAAATACATTTGGCATGCCATGATTCTCTCTCTAGAATTAGGAGTTAAGTTTTCACTTGTATGTATCTTGTCTCCCCAATTAGACTGAAAGCTTCTCAAGTCCAAGTTCTGTGTATTCAGTTTCCTTGCTTTCCTCACAAGTCCCAGCATAATGCTGTGTGCGTAGAAATCAGCCTGTAAAAACTGAAAGCACAACAGATTGTTGTAGGTGGACCTCCAGTCTCATTTTTAAACTGGAAGCCTTATTTTGCCAATGGGAACATGGACCATTAGTACCCTTCACTCATTCATGCAGCAAGCACTCCTTAGATATCATTTCTGTGCCAGAGACAGTGTTAAGTACTAGGGATGTAACAGTGAATAAGACATGACCCTTACCTTCAAGGGGAGTACAGTATTTCCCTCAGACCTATATTATTTGCATGCACATCACACATACACACGTTTCTTCATGCACACATGGGTGCACACACACTACACCACAGGGATCTTGCCCCTCATTCTTCACATAATCACCATCGCTCAACATATGTATTTACTAGCAATTGGTGTGTCAGCAGCAAATTACAGTAGATAATAGAAGAGGTAAAATCTATCATAGCTTGAAATAAAGGAAGATGAAGATACTGATGATATCAAAACACTGGCAATGTTATGGTAGATTCATAGTCTGAAGACTGTATTAAGGAGTTTATATTACTTGGAGGAGGACTGACCAATAACCTCACCATGATAACTAGCTGACAGTTATATTTATAAACTAATCAAAATGGGAGAAGAATGAAATTATTACCAACTCATTTTTTAAAGCACCTCCTGCATTTCTAACAATTGCCATCTAGATTGACTTGGAATGCTTTGACCCTTATTAAAATGTTCAAAATGCAGCCTTTACAGAATAAGAAATAACAATAATACTGATAGCCCTACATGAATTGGCATTTTCATACACTTGGGTGGATAGCATTCATAAAGGGCTTGCTGAAGGTTAAAGTGAGTAGTGCCTATTAGACACTGAAGTGGAACCACAGAGCTCTTGGAGTCATCCATTTCAACAAAACATTTGCGCATGATAGAGCTCATACGTATTTCATTAAAACTTTTTTCCCATTGCTATGGTGCATTTTACACGTTAATGGACTTACATCTCTTTTCCACTTTTACATAACTTTTCTATAATGAAAACATCATTTGCAGTTGGCCTGAAAAAATGACCTTTTAAGTATCTTAGTAGCATATTGTGATCCAAATAAGAAGTTAAACTTGTGAAGTAGAAAAATTAATTGTCCTTAAAAGGTGAGATTAGTCACCCCCCTCCCCCCGTGATAATTTCTTGTTCCAATATTGGTTAGGAAAATTTTGTGAACTTACTGAGATTTAAAGATACAAGAGAAAAATACCTGCCAAATTTCCTATACCTTCTTATTTCTCAAACAGTCTAGGCTCAGAGTTGAGTGGGTGGCCTTATGTTGAAAGTACAGCTATAGTTTTCTAAAATAATTTAAGCCAATAGTTACAAACCCACTTTTGAAAGAAAAAAAAATAACCTTTTCAACTGCCGGCATTTAAATATCTGTTGGTATCTAAAAGTCAAAGCCAAGCAGGAATTATTGTTTATCTGGACAACAGCTTAATTACAGATATAATAGGCACAGCCTTACAGTGGTGTGAGATAGAACCAAAGTAAGACTTCTCATTTCCACTATCTTGTTTCTCTATGATTCAGTTTACTCATCTGTAAAATCAATCTAATGAGTAGTCTAGAAGAAATGTTCTTTCCAATTGTTATTTAATATTTTGAGCTCTTTAAAGAGGCAAGTACAATATTGGCGCTGGCAGAGCTACTAATTGTTCTTGTATATCCCATTAGCCTTGCACGAATACTGATTGCTTGTGCAGCAGAAAGTCAGAAATGAGGGCATGTGCAGGGATGACCATCTTAGAAGAATGGCTTTCAGAAAAAAAAAAAAATTGCCATGATTCAAATCTTGTGTTAAAAAGGAGCCTTTTCCTCCTTCTGGAAGTTGCTCTGATTAAATTTTTAAGCATTAAAATATGCTGCCCCATTTTCTAATAATGCAGTATATAATACAACTCCCATTACTAACTAATGCTCACATGAATAGGCCTTTAATTTAGTCATGCAGCATATTTGCGTAATTTGATCTCCAGTATTACTTCAAATGACCAGATATTTGAGATGAGAAATTTACCTCATGAATCAGAAAAGTTACCAAAGCTGCTGAATTACAGCCTAATTTTAAGAAATCCAGCCACAGTCATATTTCTACTCTTCTTTAAAAAGACAAATCTCTCAAACAAGTGTTCAGTGGCAGTGACCTCCATTTTCTCACTTCCAACCACTTCCTTAACCCTATAATCCAGCTTGTTTCTCAACTTTTCTGCTGAAATTGCTCTCTTTTAAGTCAGCTCTGATCTGCTTCTTACCAGTTCCCTGCCCCCTGCTTGTTCTTCCACTTTT
Organism: Homo sapiens; assembly: GCF_000001405.40. Lineage (NCBI taxonomy): Eukaryota > Metazoa > Chordata > Mammalia > Primates > Hominidae > Homo > Homo sapiens. The sequence goes on along the minus strand of NC_000012.12, from coordinate 99,147,904 downwards.
CTTCTCTTAGCTCTCTTTACAATATCTGATTTTCACTATCCACTCCTCCTTGTTATTTACTCCCCGTTTGTGTTCCATGACAGTATACTCCCCTTTGCAATCACCCCTGTTCTTCTACTTCTCCTCATGCCTCCAAATAAGGGTGGTGCTCTACACCTTTTCATCCCTTAGGGAGATCCCTGGTTCTCATAGATCCATATCTGTTCTCCATGTTTCACCTCTTTCTACCTGGTTCCCAGTGCTGTCCAGCTACTCAATAGATATTTCCAAATGCAAAGAGCGTTTAGCACAGACCTGGCATAGAATAAATGCCCAGTAAATGTTAACTATCCTACAGCCAGAGTGATCTTTCTAGAGCACACATTTGCTTTAGCACTACTCTGCTTAAAATCCTTCAAAGGTTCTCAGTTACCTATGGGAGAGATTATAGGGCATTTCTAAAATCCTTAATATGGTTTTCATATTTAGGATCCTTAATGACCTGGCCCAAACTGATTTTCCTGCCTTATCTTTCACCGCTTCCTCTTTTTGCAATAGAGAACTGCATGTTTTTCTTTCATTGCCTGGCTTTGCACATGCTACTGTCTCTGCCAAGAATGATCTTCCTTTCCCTCTTAACTCCTTTTTATCCTTTAGCTCTAAGCGTACTTGTCACTTTTTTTAGCTCTCAGTTCTTTTCTCAATCTCCAAGTATGGGTTAGGAACTCTCCTTCTATAGTACCCTTTTGAAAAACTTATCTTACAGGGGTACATTACCTCTTTACTTGTCCATCTATCCCCACCACTTCTGCCATATATAAACACTAGAACAGGGGCCAGCAAACTTTTTCTGTAAAGGGCCAGATGGTAAATATTTTAGGCTTTGCAAGCCACATGGTCTCTATTGCAACTACACAACACAGCTATTGTAGCATGAAAGCAGCCATAGCCAGTACATAGATAAATGGGCGTGGGCATGTTCCAATAAAACTTTATTTACAAAAACAGGCGGATCTGGTCAATGGGCCATAGCTCGCTGACCCTACTTTCAGTTTCGAGCTCCTCATGAGTTAGATGTATGCTTTTATCCCCTGTATCTCCAGGCACAGCCCATAGTTTACACATGTAGACATAGGAAATGTTTAATGAGAGGAGGAAGAAAGCAGATACCGAGGAAGGACAGGAAGAAAAGAAAGAAAGCAGGAGAAAGGGAGTGAGGAGATCAGGCAGGTGGCTACATGAAGGGTTTCTGAAGGCCTGTTTAGTTTAAAGAGAAGCCAGCCAATAGCTGAGGCTGTTCAGAGCACGATCCAACCTTCAGGAGTCTGACGAGAGCTAGAGAGGGTGTTTTTGCTTTAACCAAGCCGACTAGAGTATATTTTCAGCAAGGAATTGCACAGGCACAGGAACTAGAAAAACACAGCTGCAAAGGAAGCCTGTTGTTCCCTCTGTTTGGAATTCCTTTTTCTTCCTTCTTCACCTAATTGCGTATCATTGTTCATGAATCAGCTTAAGCATCACTTCCCCCAGGAAGTATTCCCCAACACTATCCTGCCGTCTGGCTGGCGTAACTGTCCCTCCTCTGTGCACCCACGGTGCTCTGTTCTTAGCCCTAAGCTAGTCCTTATTCTATTGCATCACAGTTCTTTTATCTATTCAGATGTCTGCTTCCCCATCCCCCTAACAGAAAGTAAATTCCTTAGAGGCAGAGATTGGGTCTTGTTCATCTTTCTAGTCCTAAAGCCTACCACAGGGCTTGGCATATAGTAGCTTCTTAATAAATATTGATCAAATGGAATTTTTAAGTTCTATATATTTCCATGTAAATTATCCCATATAATTCTCACCATATACTGTAAGCATTAGTATACCCATAATTCTATATAGTTTCATATAATTCTATATAGTTCCATATATTCTATAAAATTCCATATAAATTATCCCATGCTAAGTATTAGTATACCCATAATTCTATATAGTTCCATATAAATTATCCCATATAATTCTCACCAATACGGTCAATATTAGTATACTCACAATTAGAAATAAAGAGGATGAAACTCAACAAGGTTAAAAAAATTGCCAGCAGAGCCTAGATTTCAAAACCAAACCTCTGTAACCTAAAAGTCCCTGCTTAATTCAGTAAAAGGACAGAATTTCACCACTTCTCCCTTCACTTATTCAGTGATTGTTTCTTGAGCCACTGCTATACTGCAAGCACTAAACAAGATACTAGCCCTGCCCTCAAAGCACTCCGTTTGTCATACTTCTGGTCCTTTGAGAGACTTTATCTTACCTCTTAGCTTCTCACTTGCTTGCTCTGCTTGTCAAGAGGATGTCTGCTTTAACCAGACCAGAATGCTCACTGCCAAATAAATATACGCATTCACTTTTGTTTACAGTTTCCCTCCTACCTAACATAGCCTATGTCCTCGCGATTGCTAATCAAGGAAGACCTACCTCAAGGTTCTAGGTGCTCCCCTTGCTCCAGGGAGCCTTCCGCTACTGACCTGGAACTTGCTCACCTCTCCAGCCTTATCTTTCACTGCTCTTAAGCTCTGGCCATGTTGGATTACTTACAGTTCTACAACAGTGCCACACCTGCTCAGATATCTGTGCCTTTGCATACACTGCCTCATATAAACACTGTTTTCTGCCCAGAACTCTTGCTTCTTGCACTCATTCTTGCACTCTTACTTCAAAGGCCTGGCTTAGAAGTCCCTGCTGAGGAGCCTTAAACAAGCCTTTGGTAATACTCAACTGTCCTTCACTGTCCTCCCATGACACCTTGTACATACTTCTCTTGGAGCAGGTTTATTACATGGGACTGAAGTATCTGCTTCTTTTCCAAACTTCTTCCCCTGAAACAAATAACAGTGCCCTGTTCAGTGTTAGTTTCCCAGTTACTAGCACATAGTAGGTCTTCATATCAGTTTGCTATGGCTGCCACAACAAAGAACCACAAACTAGGTGGCTGAAACAAGAGAAATTTATTGTCTCACAGTTCTGGAGGCCAGAAGTCTGAGACCAAAGTGCCAGCAGGGTTGGTTCCTCTGAGGGCTATAAGGGAAGGAGCCATTCTGGACCTATCTCCTTGGTCACCTTCTCCTTGTGTTTCAAATCTCTTCCTCTGTGCATGTCGAATATGCACCAGTCATATTTGATTAGGGCCCACCCTAATGACCTCATTTTAACTTGATTATGTCTGTAAAGACCCTATCTCCAAATAAGGCCACATCCTACTATATCTACTAGGATGTGTATCTATATCCACATATCTACTAGGGGTTAGAACTCCAACATATAAATTTGGGGTGACACAATTCAACTCATAACAGTTCTCAATAAATGTGTGTATATGTGTAGCCTTTGTTTATTATCCCCCACATTGCCAAGCACAGTCCATAATGATCATTCAATAAATAGTTATTTAATTGAATTAAACTCAGTCTACGTGAGGTTTACATAAGATTCCAGATGCCTGAAGGATCTCTTTCATCAATGATGAATTCAATCTTTCTAATAACTTAGAGTTTTTCATAGATGGGTAATCATATACAGATAACACTGCTATTTAATATGAGAACTGGCAACACCAGAACCAGGAACTTGTCACCTTTCTAGCCCTACACTCTTTCCATTTTATTTTGCAGCCTCTTCCAGTACCTAAATAAATCACACTTACAAGAAATATTTATTTGGGTTCCATCCTTACACTTGATAACTACCTGATAGAAGCACTCCAAGGAAATTGATGATTAGGCAAGTAATGTTTTATAGAAAGAAAAAAAATATAGCCAATTTAATAATATAACTATTGTTTATCAAGAACTTGTTATATGATTATCACATACATTATCTTTACCCCCTCACAAATGTTACACAGTATGTAGTATTATTCCAGTTTTACAAGGGCAAAACTTAGTTATAGAAAGACTAAATATATGGTCCAAAGCACTGAAGATTTAAACTGAGGTCAATCTGAGTCCATAGGGAAAAGTTTTCAATAAGAGATACTGGGGCAACATATCTGAGTGAGCTGAGAAAGATCTGAGCCCTGGACAAACAAAAGTAGCGTGAGCATTCCTTGATCTTGGGTGGATGATGATTCAGAGGAGTATCAACAAGAGAGGTGAGAGAGAAGAAAAAAATGGCCTTATACAGATATTAAGCAGTCTAGACTAAGGAAACTTTCTCACCATACACAGGGTTGTAAAAATACAGATGAATTTCCAGGTCAAGTTTGTTCTCAGACCATGAGACCTTCTGAGTGGCAGTCATTTCATTCATGCAGGAGACACCACATCAAACAGTAGCAGTGATCATGGAAGACATGATCTATCTTTCAGTTTAGTTTTTTCTGTGGTGTAATGAGCTGTCATAATAAAAGGCTATAGATTTTTATCCACAAGAAAACTCAGGCTACAAAGACACAGAAACAACACCTTACAGGTCATTGCATGCGTCTCCCTGACTTCATTTCAGACAACCTAGGCTAGTCTGTGTGAATCAAGCGCATCGCAGGCATTGAGAACTATCCATTCATTTGAGAGTGTATGATCTAAAATAGTAACTGAAGAACAAGAGCCCTTGCAACTCTACTTACAAATTACAGAGGTGAGAAAAATAAAATGGATAATTAATATAGGCCTCTGAATATCAGGTCACTGATTTCTGCCCCTTGAGTCCATAGAATTAGATTTCACATTGTTATACTTTTACCTTCTCTTAGAAGGAGCAAAGATAATTAGAATTCATATTGAAAGAATTATGGAACATCTTGAGTTTATAAGCTAATGTCTGGTTTCATGCCTGGCAAAGAGAATTAGGCTTGTCCTTCCAAAGTCTTAAGGGAGATCTTGAAATCTGAGGACTAGAAACAAATGTATCTCAAGTTTATTTGACAGAAGTTATATTATACATTCTTTTTTCAGAAAGGTGTAATCCTGTAGAGATAGAGCTGAACATTTGGCATTCATCAGGCCTGTATAACAATATGGCCCATCCAGTTATCTGTTAGCCTAAGACAAGTAAACAGGAATATTCAGGCTGGCAAACATCCAGAAATCCCTCACTGTTTCAAAAGGAAGCAAGCAAAAGATCATCCACAACAAATCAATCATTTAAGAACTGCTGAATAAATAGCAGTGAGGTTCTTGTTGCAGGGAGTGGGGTAAAGGGTGTGTTATATAGTTAAAAATGCAATCCATTGACTTCCTGGTAATTAATTGTAATATAGTGGAAAGAAGAACACTATATCAAATTCTTATTGTACTTTATAGTTTTTTAAACTCTTACACATGTATTATCTCAATTATCTTGGAGGCAGAAGAAATAGATTCTATTTTTAGTTCTTGCATAATGCTGTGATATTAGGGAAGCCTTCTTCTCTACCCTCTCTGAGCAAACTCAGATATAACCTGATTTTTTTTCAAAACCTTCCTCAATTCTTATTCTGCTCTAGACACTATCCACTTACTCTTCTTCCCTTCATAACCAAGCCTCCCAAAATAATGCCTACACTTGCTGGTTTGCTCTTCAGAAAAATACAATCAGGCCTTAATACCATCAGCCTCTGTCATCATCCTGAAATTATTTATAAATGGCAACCAATAAACTCTCAATTGCCAAAGACAATATACTTTTACTAGTCCCTGTTTACCCGATCTTTCTCTGGCCTTTGATTCTGACCACTTTTTTTTTTTTATGACAACTCTTTTTGTCCTTGACTTCTAACCTTGTCTCTGTTATCTCCTCCTACCTTCTCAGTCTTCCTTGTAGCCCTCCCTGCTTCCGCCTGTACCCTCAGGCTTAGCCCTTGAGTCTCTTCTCTTCTCACTCTGCACTTTCACCTTAGGTTACTTCACCGATACTCAACAGAAGCAAAGTTTTCTACCTCCTATATATTCTACTGACCCCTCAAACTCAAAGTGTTTAGAAAGCTTGCTCCATGGGAAAGTTATCAGGTAGAATGCTACCAAAAGCTTGCTCCATGGGAAAGCTTGCTCCATGGGAAAAACTTGCTCCATGGGAAAGTTATCAGTTAGGTAGAATGCTGATGAGAGATCAAATGAGAATCAACCGAAATGCCTATCAATGATAGACTGGAAAAAGAAAATGTAGTACATATACTCCATAGAATACTATGCAGCCATGAAAAGGTATGATAACATGTTCTCCGCAGGGATGTGGATTGAGCTGGAAGCCATTATCCTCAGCAAACTAACACAGGAACAGAAAACCAAACACTGCCCGTTCTCATTTATAAATGGGAGCTGAATGATGAGAACACATGGACACATGGTGGGGAACAACACACACTGGGGCCTATCAGGGGTGGGGGTTGGGGGAGGGAGAGCATCAGGAAGAATAGTTAAGGTATGCTGGGCTTAATACCTGGGTGATTGGTTGATCTGTGCAGCAAACCACCAAGACATACATTTACCTATGTAACAAACCTGCACATCCTATACATATACCCTAGGAACTTAAAATAAAAGTTGAAGGTGAAAAAAAAAAAAAGAAATGAGACTAGAGAAGTAGCCACTGAATTTGGCAACACAGAGGCTCCTGGAGAACTTAACAAGAGCACATTCTGTGAAATGAGAGCCACGGAAGCCATGTTGCATTGGATAGAAGAAGTAGTAGACAACTGTCAAAAGAAGTTTTTCTGATAATGGGAGTACGGAAATACACTAATAGCTAAAGGGTGACTTGTGGGGCAAAGGGAAGAATTTTTTAAAACAGGAGAGACTGGAGTCATGTTTGGCTACTGAAAGGAATGATTAGGTAGAAAAAGAGGTATTGATATTGGAAAAGAAAGAAGGATGGAAAGAATAAAGATGAGAGAGGTTGGGATCCAGAGCCAAGTGGAGAGTTGGTTGCTAATGGGGACATTCCTGTGATAACAGGAGGGAAGACAGAGAGAGTGGGTACCATCATGACTGGTATATGAGGCATTGAGAATATGGAAATATGTTTCTTCTGATGGTTTCTGTTTTCTAGTGAATAATGCTGTAAGGATGTAGAAGATATAAGGATAGAGAAGATATTAAAAAGTTGTTTCAGAGAGTGGGAAGGAGAGTTTACTAGGAGAATGGAGTAGGATTACAGGGCCATGCTTAGGGCTCATTTGATATTTGTAATCATTAGATTCAGCATGGAAAAGACAATCATGCTCCACAGGAATTAGAAAGACAATTGCACTTTAAGGCACAGAATTGCTTCCATGGTTCTTTACCTACTTGGTGTGAGATCGTGGGCCAGTCCCTCAACCTTCGTGAACATCTGTTTTCCGTGTGCAAATTGAGACAGTATACCTAGTTCGCAAGGTTTTATTAAGAATTAGATTAAGGCCAGCTCTGTGCTTTCAGTAGGCAATGAATCATGATGGTGACAAGAGTGCCTGTTCCATTTAGCTGGCAAACAATGTTAGAATTACTGATTAGCCAGTGAAATGGAGAAATTGGCACAGGGCTTCATTGCTCTTACCCTCATAATATATTGGATACAAGGAAAAAGCTTACATGAATTATTCCAGGAATACTGAAATATCCATAAACCACCTAGCTCAGCGACCTTAAATCAAATAACTTTAAAGGACTTTGGAAAGTTAGTCACCTTAATTTACTCTTACTCACCACAGACTGATTAGTTGACTACATGGACACTCAAAGAACTGAGCCATTCAGGTGAAGTGGCCATGAAGTAGTGCAGGTTGTTCGCAGAGTACTGTGGGACTTCCATGGACTAGATTGCACTTAGCACTTTCCCTAGGAAACATGCTCAAAGACACCCACTTATTATAAAATGTTCCCTTAACTACCAATGATAACATTGTGATGATTTTTATGAGACTATTTGAATCCTCGAGAGTCTAGTAGCTTTGTCCTCAAGGGTAACTAACCTAAACTTGCATTCAGACTGTGAAGTATATTAACAAATATGCCACAGCATTTTAAAATGTAAATCTATGTGTTTCAAATCTGCATCTTTTATCCTTTAGCATGTGTTGACAGTCTAAACTAGAAAGTAGATAAGCCTTTGTTAAGGAGTTCTCAGGAGAATCCTTTTGAATGGATCCCAGGAGGGTTATCCATTCATTCCTAAGGGAACACCTATTAAGTACCTATATACTCATCTAACTGTGCTAAATGTGGTAGAAACTACAAAGAGCCATAGTACAGCATCTGCTTAAAGATCCAACAGTCTACTCAGGGAGCTAAGACTAGCATACTTAACAGCAAATAGCAAATCACATTCAAATGTTAATAAAAGCCAACAATGTAAGTGTTTTCACAATATAAAATGTAACTATTGGAGAAATTAGTGTTAGAAATCTATGACTGGCTGCGCACAGTGGCTTGCACCTGTAATCCCAGCCAGTTTGGAAGGCTGAATCAGGAGCATTGCCTGAGACCAGGAGTTGAAGACCAGTCTGAGCAACACAGTGAGACTCCTATCTTGAAAGAAAGAAAGAAAGAAAAAGAAAGAAAGAAAGAAAGAAAGAAAGAAAGAAAGAAAGAAAGAAAGAAAGAAAGAAAGGAGGGAGGGAGGGAGGGAGGGAGGGAGGGAGGGAGGGAAGGTAGGGAAAGAGAGAAAGGAGAGAAGGGGAGAAGGAGAGAGAGAGAAAGAGAAGAAAGAAGGAAGAAAGGAAAGGAAAGAGAGGAAGAAGAAAGAAAGAGAGAAGGAAGGAAGGAAAGAAAGAGAAGGAAGGAAGGAAAGAAAAACAAAGAGAAAAAGAAAGAAAGAAAGAAAGATTGATTAGCTGGGCATGGTGGCCTATAGTCCCAGCAGCTTGAGAGGCTGAGGCGCAAGGATTGCTTAAGCTCAAGAGTTCAAGGCTTCAGTGAACTCTGAGCACACCACTGCATTCTAGCCTGGGAAACTGAGTGAAACTCTGTTTCAGAAAAATAGAGAGAGAGAGGTTGAGGGAGGGAGGGAGGGAGACAGAGAGAAAAAGAAAAAAGAGAGAGAAAGAAAAAGAAAGAGAGAAAGGGAGAAAGGGAGAGACAAAGAAAGAAGAAAGCAAGCTGAATATGATGGAGATGGAAGAGATATCTATGAGCTGGAGTGATGGTGAAATCTCTGGAGGAAGTGGGCTTGAGTGTATTTATGTAAGCAGTAAAGAACGGGGTGAAGGACATAACAGTGAATGGAACAATGAACAAAGATGGTGAGATGTCAAAATGCATGTAGTGTTTGAAGAGCAAAAGAGCTACGGATCTATTGACAACCCTAGGGGTCATGTAATGCCTCTCTGAGTGGAAGTGTTACCTGTCTCCTGAAACTGTGCTTCAGACACTATACATGCACCATATGAGAAGACAGCTTAATGACCCGTCACTGTGCCCAGATAGGCTCACCCAGATGACAGCACACACGTGCACATCACACAGACAGCAAAGGCGGGTGAGTATGGAAACAGCTGTCTGAGACTAATTAACCATCTATTCCAGATAATGCTGAAGAAAATGAAGTTATTTGTGTTACATTAGGTATCTCTCCAAACAAGCCCATCTTCCTGAGGGCTAGTACATTTTCTGAAAACCAACAGCAAATCTGTTTTCAATAGTTTCATATCATCTGGAATATCCTCCTATCCTCCAAAATGATTTATTCACCTATTAGAGCTTCTGCTTCTTAAAAGATATTCTGTGTTCTCAGTTGCAATAGCTAAAGCAATAATCCTCACTTTCACCTTGGAATAATGACCACTGCCAAGAAAACCCATCAACCTTCTCATCAATAAAACTCAGTTTGTCTGAAATGTTCCAAGAATTCAAACAAAGAAACATTTGCTTAGTTTCCACTTTCATATGCCAGATGTTATGCTAGGGCTTCTAAATACAAACATTGATCATAGTAATGATGCTAATAATAATAATAATAAACACATTTGCTTACATTTCAGGCACCACTATTCTAAGTGTTTTACATCTATTAACAATTTTAATTATTTTCAAATGATAATATACTCTGTCCCTCCTCTCACAAAGCTCACAGCACTGTAACTGATTGGAATTAAAATGGAGTGAATCAGGCAAGGCTCCACAGAAGAGGTCAGGTTTACCTCTTGATAGATTAGAAAAATTTGCAAGCTGAAAGGGCTGAGTGATAGGAACAGCTTTCAGGCAAGCGGAACAGCATATAATTAGTATGGAAGCACAGAAAAAGCATGGCACACAGGGGTTATTCAGTAGTTGAGCCCAGTTAGTGGGCAGGGGAAGAAATGAAAAGAGGAAATACATAACACCATTTAAAAAAAATGAAAAGAGGAAATACATAAAACCAAGGAGGTTTTTACCAAACAGGGGCCAGGCGATGCAAAAGTCCATTTTTATTCTGCGCCAACTCAGATCTCCACAGCCCTCTCTGTGTAACTGAGAATGGATAGGTTTGTTTATTTCTGTCTTTTGATGTGTGTGAATCTCTGCTTTCCTTCCCCTCCACACCCTCAGCCCTGTTTAGTTTGAAGTACTTTGAGGAAAGGACATTGCAGTTCTCCTCTCTCTTACTCGTGCAGAACCTCCCAGTGAGCAGTCAATGTCGTTGACTGACTGGGTAATCGTTGGCCCCTGGTTGTAGGTGATTATCTGTGCTGCCTGACAAGGCCTAGCGTCCAGGGATGGTAATTACATTGGCATCAGTGGTGACTTCTGGTGTCAAAGATCCTGTTAGAAAGCGTTTTATTGATACTAATTCAGAAGACAGTTCTGTAGCACAGAGAAAACAGTGCACTTTAGAAGCTGTAATCAGAGCTTCCCATTTCAATGGCAGTATTTGGAGCTGAAGTCTAGATGCTAAAAATTAAGGCTTCTCTGCTTCCTGTTACCGCACAACCAAGACAATGACAGCACTAAATAGGGTCTTCTCTTGTGTCCTTGAAAGCACTCTTGGAAACGAGAATGAGGAAGGAGCTTAGCAAGTGAATGAGTAGATGCCTGTGACTGGTTAGCCGTTTGATTGATAACCTCACCTTCTTCCAAAACAGGTGGTCTACATAGACACAGGAACAATGATGCCAAGGACAACTTAACTACACTGTAGCAAGGAGAGTAAAATTGACAGAAAGGAGCACACTTTAAAAAAAATGAAATAATACATATATAATTTTCAAGCATTCAAACAAATATACAAATAAAACTTTAATACAAACCATTTCCTGCATTCTTCTCCCTGTTCCCAGCCCCACTCTCCAAAAGCAAATACTTTCAATATTTCTGTGCTTAGTCCTTCTGGTGGTTATCTCCATATAACATGCAAATGCCCTTAATTTTGGCTTTATCAACTTTAGATATTATTTACTGACATTCTGATGTGAGAGATGAGGATTTACATTGTCAATACTATCATCTCTTCTCTCTCCTAATTCCTCTACCCACACTACAGTTGCAAACTGAATCTTAGCCCACAAATTCAAGTGCGACAAAATATAATTTTTTTGTGTGTGTGTTTCAAGTCAACTTAGTTTTTACTCCATGGCAAAGCCAGCATGAAATTCCATTGCCATCTGGATTGGCTTCTCCTGTTGTCACCCCATAATACTAGAGACCTTAGTGCTGCCAGGCACACAGGGAAATCTGTACTGTATGGTGGTCCCTGCTGAAGTCCTCAGCATCCAAGCTTGCATTGGGACCTGAAAGTATTTCTCTGCTTCTATGCCAACTCGTGGGGTGTGGGAAGCCGTATCAAGAATGAAAACCCCATACCTGGGTCCTGAGAGGCAGGGCACCCATGATAATGATGGTTACACCCATTTGCACAGTTACTGGGAACATTAGAGTTATCCTAGAACTTACCTTTTTTAATCTTGTTTAATCTTTAACCCTGTTTAATCTTTCCTGTCATCTCTGATTACTTTTCCTTCATCTTGCATTTCCTATCTTTACTTTATCCTTAAGATTTTCATAGTCTCCATCATACTATCTGTTTTTCTGATCTACATTTTTCCTGGGACCCATCTCCTTAGTCTTCCTGTCCGAAGCTGGGCTGTTCTCTGAGACTGCCACACATTAATCCTTAGTCTTCCTGTCCGAAGCTGGACCTGTTCTCTGAGACTGCCACACATTCATCATTTTGGGACTCTCTTCATTGCAGTCCTCCATTGAATCCACTGTTTCTTGGATGCTTTCCTCCCTGTGTCATTTTTCATATTGCCAGAGCACACATTCAAATAACTGTTTATAAAAGAAACAGCTGAGAAATACATGAAAGATTAATTTCTAACCCTTTGTGAATCTAAAAATGCCCATATTCTGCCCCTGTGGTTGATTAATAGCGTGGCTTAGTATGTCATTCAAGGCCGGATGTAATTTTTCTGAGTATGGAAGACAATGCTCTCTTGTCTTACAGTGTTTGATGTGTTTGATGAGGAGTCTGACGTTGTTTCTTTTATCGGTGACCTTTCTCCCTCTCTGGAAGTTTCAGGATCTTCTCTTTATCCTCAGTGTCCTGATGTGTCACTAAGATGTGACTGAGTGGGTGTCTTTTTCATCCTGTTCCACACTTGGTAGGCACTTTAAATATAAAGGTACATTTTGGGAAATTCCCTTCTATTATTTCTTTGATCATTTCTATCTATCTCTTCGTTTCAATTGCCTTTTTTGTGAAATCTTCCTAGGCAGGTGTTGGATTTCTTCCATCATTCCTCCATGTCTTTTATCCTTGTGCTCACATTTACCAACTCTTTGTATTTTCATCTTACACTCTAGGAGATTGCTTTCAATGTTTAAATAGATTTTTAAAATTTTGGCAATAATATTTTCAATTTCTCAAGGCTCTTTTTCTCTATTCCTTTTTTGGCACCCTTTTCTTTTTCCTCTGATGTATTGTTTTGAACCTGTTAGAAACACCAGTTAGAGGTTAGTTATTTTTATATTGAGATTATTGGAATTGTCTTTTGAGTTAGTTTTTCTGCTGTGCATTATTTCCCATTTGATCTTTGTCGCTCGTGCTAAAAGCTATCCTCTAATGACTGTAGTTTGTGATTTTCTGTTCATATTTCAGGAAGAGGCAATGGAAAAGCAAACTGGAAATTCTGTGTGCATTTTTTTTTAATTTCCAGGTTTTGTGTTGTGGTGAGCAGAATGTCCCTATAATGATCAGGGTGTCCCAAACACCACTGTACTAGTTGCTCCAGCTCTCCCCAGAAAGGCTTTTTAAAATGTCTTTAGAGAGTTAGCCTTACTTCCTTTTTGACCTGAGAATGGAGGGTAAATGCCTGGTGTGTGTGTGTGTGTGTGTGTGTGTGTGTGTGTGTGTGTGTGTGTGTGTGTGTGAGAGAGAGAGAGAGAGACAGAAAGGGATAGAGACAGAGAGAAACAGAGAGAGAAAGAGAGATTGGGGTGGGGATATGTGTGTTACAGGCAGGTGGGCAGCTGTTCAATACACAGACCTTTAAATTCATCCTCATTTTCTACTCACTTCTCTATCTCCTCCTCCATCCCATCTCCATTCTCTCAGACTGAAACTTCCGAGGTTCTGATGGGCAACTTGGGCTCTTTTTTTGATTCAGGACCCTCTGCAAACACACTAGCCCAAAGCTACCTCTGCCCCACTGCATCATCTTTCCACGCTCTTTCTGACTTCTGGAAATTTATTGAAATCTCCCAGATCCATATAGCTTTTCTCCAATTATCCTCATTATTGTTAGATCATGAATTCTTTTTTTAGCTTTTTTTACTGGGATCTAAGAGGAGAAAAAAGATAAACCAATGGGCTCAGTACACATCTTGAAATAGAAGTACAGTAACACGTTCCTTCTTTATTCATTAGATGATACCAAGTGAGGAAAAAAATCGTTGTCTATAAAAAGCAGTAGTAATATCATCAAGCCACAGTTCCAGATATTTCTTCCCTAGAGGGTAGCACAGTGGAGATGATTAAGGAGGTAGATTCTGCCTAGATTCAAATTCCAGCCCTGAAACTTACGAGGTATATTACCTTAAGAAAATTACTTAATGTCTCTGTGCTTCAGTTTCCACATGTGGAAACCGTCACGGTAACAACATGCTAATTCCATTGGGTTGAGTTGAAGTTTATATGATTCCATTCATGTCAGGCACTTTGGAACAACAAGTTCAGGCGCTAGTTATCATCGTTGCTATTATTGTCCCAATTTCAGGAAAAGGAGGCATGAAGTAGAGCCTCTGCAGTAACTTGACATCTTCTAAGATTGCAAAGAGACAGCCCGGAGTAAATAGGCTTATGGGCATCTCTAGTTGGGCCACAACTTCTTAGCTTTTCTTGCCTTGGACTTCTGAAGGAAGTGATGACACAGACATTCAGTCAAAAAATATTCGTGGACCATTATAAACATGATTGTGGGTTTAGAACATAATTTCTGCAGCAACCCCTTTCACTGAAGAGAGAGAAAAGAAATGAGAAGTTATGATGCCAACAATATTGTGGCTGTAAAGGAGAGAGAATGAGTCAACACCACAGGCTTCTTGAAAAGCACAGACAGGGAGGTTATTTAAAAGGAAAGGATGGTTCTTCTTATTTTTTATGAAGGGGTTAACACTAAATATTGCCATGGTACTATGTACTTAGGGACGTAGTCACATGATGCTGGCTGGGCATGGTGGCTCACGCCTGTAATCCCAGCACTTTGGGAGGCCGAGGCAGGTGGATCACCTGAGGTCAGGAGTTTGAGACCAGCCTGACCAACATGGTGAAACCCTGTCTCTACTAAAAATACAAAAAAATAGCTGGGCGTGGTGGCATGTTCCTGTAATCCCAGCTACTTGGGAGGCTGAGGCGGAAGAATTGCTTGAACCTGGGAGGCAGAGGTTGCAGTGAGCCGAGATCGCACCACTGTACTCCAGCCTGGGCGACAGAGCAATACTCTGTCTCAAAAAAAAAAAAAGAAAGAAAGAAAAAGAAAAAAAAGAAAAAAAAAAACCATGTTGCCATATACTTAAGAGATATGGAAAATTGAAATAAATACAAAAATCAAATATATGACAAGGCACAGTTTTCAATGAATTTTAAGTTTCCAGCTCCAAGACCCATTTGAAGTACCATTCCTCAACCTCATACAATGGTTAAAAGAAAAATTCCTACCTTACCTGCTATATGAGTGGCCACTTTATGTGCTTTATTTAAACTTGATCCTCACAACAACTTTTTGAGGTGGATATTGATAACACTATATTAATAGACAAGCAAAAAGAAGACTAAGGCTCAGAGAAGATAAGTAACACTTGGCTGATAAGTAAGGACAATAGTTAATTTACAAGCCCAGATCTGTTAATATTACTTTTGTTTTTCATGTATGTATATTATTGTTAAACTCTCAAGCCCCCCTTTTTTTGGCCACTATGTTTGTTGACTTTCACTACTCACCTTCAATATAAAGTCACCTATTCCCAGTTTTATACCTAACGTAATCCCTCAATCAACCACTATATATAGGATTCTTCATTACTTTTTTTTTTTTTTGAAGGCGGGGACAAGGTCTCGCTATGTTGTCTAAGCCGGTCTCAAACTCCTGGGCTCAAGCAGTCCTCTCATCTCAGCCTCCCAAAGTTCTGGGATTACAGGTGTGAGCCACTTCACCCGGCCCAGGATTCTCTATTACTTTTTATAACTCTTTCCTATTTCTTCCTCCTAGCTGATTTTTCTGATCAAAGTGATCCCCGCTTGCCAATGCACCTTCCTTTCGAGCCTCGTGGTCCTTTCTTCTCAGGGCTTCTCACCTGGCTTCTTTCTCCCCACCTTTCTACAGCCTCCAGAGAGGCCCACATTTCACCTCCTCCTCCCAGCCCCAACACGAGTTGCAGTTCAGCATTTTTGCTTCCCACCAACATTTTCTGTTGCCATGGAAACCATGAGGCGGTGCTGGAAGGAGGGGGAGTCTTGGAGGCAGTCACTGCTGGCCTGGGGGTGGGAAGGAGTTGGTAGGCAGCTGGGGGAGGGGAGGAGCAGAAGAAGAGAGGCTAGAAAACAGAGCATCAGACACCAACCAGAGACTGATGGAGAAAGGGACTTCTCAACTCCCTCCGAGGGATCAGGAGAGGCAGGGGGAGAGCAGCCCAGCACCCGGCTGGCTTAGCAGCTGCATCTTTCCCATGGCTGAACAGAAGGAGGCTGAGTAGGCGGCCCCCTGTGGTGACGGAGCCCGGTTCCCAGGCTGCTTGTAATCTGTCCTTAATTTGCCACAGAGGAAGTTAACTTTATGTAGCTAAGAAAAAGAAAGGCTCAGGGGAGCCATCATCACAGAAAATAAATATGTTCCCATTATAAATGAAGTTACAGGATAATTTACAGTCTCAGAAGATGAGGAGATAGGAGGAGACAGGGAGAAATGGCCTGTATCTATTGAAAAGTTTAGGCTAAAAATTAGGAAAAATAACTTTACAGGAACGGTTGGTTGTTCTGCATAAACAACTGAGACAAAGAAGACAGAGCATTTTCACTGGCAGATAATTTAGTTGATGCCTCCCAGACACTTACTATTTGTGCTTGGCCAAAGTCCTGGGACCCTCAGACTTTGTCATGAAATTTGAAGAGTGAGGCTTCAGCATATATTGCTCAATCAGTTTTGTGCCAAGGGGAAGACATGACTAAGAACTGGAATCAAACAGGAAGAACTGAAAGTGAAAAGTCATCTTAATAAGCATTAAGTAAGTTAAGAAAGCAAAACTAAAGAGACTCATGAAATCTCGTGCAAGATAATAATTCATTGCTTAAACCAAGTGTTTGTTGGGTGTTCATTGTGTGCCAGGGACTGTCCTGGCCCCTGGATGTTGGGAGAGCAGGTGGACAGGCAGAAGGAAGAATAAAGCAAAGACGAGTAGGCAACAAACAGCCACTGGTTTTCTGGAGCTACAGACCAAGTGGAAGAGAGAGGTTCACTAACAAATCATTACAAGGCAATATAGTAGAAGTTTCCAGCACAGATGTATTTCAGATGCTGTGGCGTGTCATAGAAGTCTTGTTTAACTCTGTGGGAATCAGGGATGATGTCACAGAAGTGGTCTTTGAACCAGTCCTTAAAGGATGAGTTGAAGGGGTCAACAGGTACAGAAGCCCAGGAAGAATATCTGGGCAGAGGAAATAGCATGTACCAAGGGGCATGAAGACACAATAGTGCAGAGTATGTTGAGAAGACAAAGTGGTGTTACTGGAGTTCAGTGTTTGCATGTGAGGAATGGAAGAAAGAGGCAAGAAACAAGGTTAGAAAGATAAATTAGGATCAGCACCTCAAATGCCATCCTGTGAGGCATTTGAACTTAATCCGTTCAAAATGTGGGGAGTAAGCACACTGACATGTCAGGATTTGTTTATTAATACTCTGACTTTGATGGCACTATAGAGGATGAGTAGAGAGGGAAGAAGGACACAGGAAGAGGAGCTTATTAGCTGATGTGGCTATAGTGATGGACAGAGAAGAGTCCGGGATATTGCAGCAGAAAAAGGAATAAAACATAGTAATCCTTGACTTCAGGAGTGAGAGAAAGGGAGGAATTAAGGATGGCTGAGGGAGGCTTATAAGGATGAATTCAGCCTAAGCAAGTAAAAATTCCTTTTACAAAAATATACATGATGCCACCTAATCTGGATTCACATGCTATTTCTTCAAGAGCTGCAGAAGAAAAAAAATCAATTAAATTTTACTCTCCCAGCTTCCCAACCAAATGGTTCCTAAATATAAGACTCATCTTTCATGTTTCACAAAACAAAATCATATGTTAAGAAATAAAAGTGGAAGAAATTGCTGGATTACTTTTAAGTTATTAAGCAAATGGCAACCATCAGTATACCTTGATGTGCCATTTAAACACATTGTACCATGGCAAATGGCAAAGATCATAAAATAGCATTGGTAAAACTAGACACCAAACTGCTAAAATTGATATAACTGTACAGAAGACAAAAAAAAAGATTATTGTGTTCCTCTTAAAATTGACCATAACTAAAATTTTAAATAAGGGACCAACCTATTACTCATGATTTACTCAAATAATAAATACAGAAAGAAATACTGGATAAGCATTCATCCCGTTCTTGTGCACTGATAAGTTTAAAATGTTTTAAACTTATCATTTTTTGATACAATCATCACTTAAAATCCCAATGTTATACTGAACATCTTTTCAAATGTTGAAGAGATGAATGGTAATAGATAGTCTTAAATGGAAAGATCAATACCATTTTGATAGCTTCTTCCCCTATTTATCCAGGCAGTATTACCTTGTTTATCTCCATATCCAAGATATAAAGACTTTAAAGTTTTAACCCAGTTTTTCAGTCTCTGTCTAGACTGACAGCAAGGTGGAGGATCTCTGATCTCCATTTTCATGCTGAATTTCAGCATACTCTCAACTTACCACAAATGAGATCATGCTCTACCTCAAGACTGAGCCTTGGCCTACACACTTAAGACCAAATCAGACCCAAAGTGGCATGTATTTAAATTCTAACTCACCTTTTGTGACTGCACCTCAAATAACTCTTGCTGCTGATCTAGTCTTGTGGTGCTGCCTCACTTCTGGTAATTCTGACAGGCCCTGTCCCATTCCTGAGCCTCAGTCTTGCCCCACCCTCCATGCTACATGTCACATTTCTTTTTATCAAAGGTTTTAGCCAATGGTTTGCTTTGGGCTGAATAACTGAGACCTGCTATGCATTGACAGATGTATACCCTTCCCTCTGGAACTCTGAGTGATGCCTGACCCAGAATCCTCTGTGCCTTGTGGGAAGGGAACACCATCCACAGGCATACATTTGAATGCTTCTTTATCTTGGGCTACCAGTTGGAACTATCTACTTTATGCTCTGCCATTGCTGAATGCTACTTGGACACCATGCTTTACCCTCAGACTGGACCTCCTCTATCTGCTACTGCAACTCAATTTGTTCCTTGGCTCTTGTTTCATCCCAGTCCAGTAGAAGGGAGACCCTTTCCTGGCCCTGAAACGGCCCCACCTGCTCCATCCTCCTGCATGTAGAATTAGACATAGGCCATTCTACTCACAATCATCCTCCAAGCTTCCAGTCAAAGAGTGGCTCTATTCTCCAGGATGTTCTGTCTTTTGGCTTTTTCCATAAACTCAAATTCAGTTTCTCCAGACTTTTTGCCACAGAATTCCACTTCTTCTAGGCCTCAGAACTTTTCTTGTTTTCTTGGATCTCATCTCTATATTCTCTCTCCTTTCTACCACAAACAGTGACAGGATTGGATTACTTCTACTCAACAGACTGGAAAATTTCTCATAATGCTATACCACAGGCTGCTCCTGAGTATCTGTGAACCAGGTCAGAAACATCAAGTGTTGAGGATTTATTTCAACCAATTTGAGAGGAATGTACAGATGAACAGACAAGTTTCTGTTTATTGGCTGGAATCCCTGGAGCCATTCAAACAGGTTCAAATTAGCCATCAGTGTGGCTAAGGGCTCCACCTCAATTCTATGTGCAGCACACACAGCATTCTAATAGGAAATAATGAACTCTTAGAGGAAGGCATCCTTCTGTACTGCCTGATAGTCTGATTCAGAATCAGGCAACTCATTCATGGTCCGTGTCCTAATTTCATCACCCATGCAGCAACAGGACACTAGCAATACTGTCTTTTCATATGGCAGGCCACAATGTTATTTATAGAAGGTCAGAGTTTGAACTAGGCCTTTTCAGAATCCATTACAGTATGCAGCTACTGTGTAGTTTTTAACCAGTTTTCATCTATAAAATAAATACTTAACAATACTTTCAAGAAAGTATGTGCCGCACTTAGAATTGAGATGAAGCCATTAGCCACGCTGAGGGCTAATATGAATCTGTTTGAATGGCTCCAGGGATTCTAGTCAATAAACTTTCTTGAAACGATTATAAGTATTTATTTTACAGATAAAGAAGAAATTGATTCAAAGAAGTTAAACAACTTGCCCAAGGTCGTTCAACCAACTGGTTTAAGAACTTAGAATTTTCTGTGTAGGTGATGTTCGTTTTTAGTTTTCAATTTCTGGTTTGCACATTGTGTCTTTTATAATACATTTTATGTATCTTTTCAAAATAAATTGTGTTCATCCTTGTCTCAGCAAAAAAGGATTACATTTTATTTAAAAAAGTCTAATTTGTGGAGGCAAATGGCAGATGCAATCAAAACAGAAATTCTCCCCAAGCATTTGCTGATCGAAGTACAGCACAGAGTTGGAGACCTTGAAGACACCCCAACACCCATGTGAGGGATTATCAAGTCTAAAAAATGTCTAGAGACAAAGAAAACAGGCTGAGTTTTCCCAAAACTACACGGCCCTTGGTGCAGCCAAGTTTCTAAGGCACTCCTTATAGATTTGGTATTGCCAGTGATTTCCTTCCCAGAGGAAAACAATTCCTTACTGAAGGCAACCCTCTCAGGGTGGTGTATTGTGTTTAAAGCGAACATTACACTTTTATAAGTTTTCACTGGATACAGCATTATGTACCTTTTGCTTTTTTGATTCTAAAGTTTTTTTTCCCACTGGAAATTCATAGCTGTTTTCTCTTTGTGAATGCTGATAAATGATGACAGTCTATTTAGATCATTGTTACCATCTCAGAATCTGGAAGCATCATTCCTGTCAGGCTTTAAAAAAAAAAGTAATCGGGCAGATGAGAGAAGTACCTGAGAAAGGGATGTTGTTAAACGGAGGACTACTTTGAGAGTCCAGTTGCCTTTGCCACCTCAGCGAGCATCTCCAGGGCAGGTCCTCTCCTACATGAAACTTTTCCCACCATATTCAGCCTCCCAAATTCAACGTGATATTTTATAGGCAAATTATTCAGTCTGCTGAGGTGGGAGTTTGCCTGTGGGCTTACTGAGGATGCCTTGGAGGATTGATATTTTTTCAGCAGAAAGTTGCAATTCTACTTCTCAAGAAATAACCTCTTTTTACAGCACATGTCAAATATGTGGATTCTAAGTTCTAATAATCTCCCAAGGTTAGTTTTTTTTAAATTCAAGGTTTCCATCATGACTCAAATCTTAGCTGAATATTCCATTTTTTCCAAAATGTTAATTGATCGGTTACCAGTATACATTTGGTACCACCATCCACTAGCCCTGTTAACATTTTGCTTGGACCAAAAGTGGGTAGACTCTTAATCGATAAGAAGGGAATATAGAGATCATGTAGAGTAACTTCTTTGTTTTTAGAAATAAGGAAATCAAGGCACAGATCATTTATATTTTCTAAAAGTCTTACAGCAACTCCAAAACTCCTCTTGGAAATAAGTAGAGTGCAAAGAAAATTAAAAAATAAATGTCGAACTGGCGTAGAAGAGTCCAGGCCTCCTGAAACTTGGTTCTGTGTCTTTCCCCTTCCCCTGCTTTGTGACAGGATACAAGGATGCAATCAAAGTCATGAGATAAAACATGACATATCTTCGCCATGCATAGGTTTTACTCAGTGATTCAGAGCAGGGTAAGGTGGGGGGAGGGGGAGACTCTATTATTTCTATATGAAAGAAATGAATATTTTACGGAATTGCACAGAAAATTTGCTAAACTGTTAAATTGAAATACTAGACTTAAAGGAAACTTTATGTTTGCAACTTGAAACTTCAAGTTACACCCTCAGACTACCCTACCCCCTTTCTTCCTCTGCCATCCAGGGAAGCTCATTCTCATCCCTCTGATAGTGGGAGCATTTGAGTGGGAAAAATTGAAAAGCACTGTATGACACTGTGAAACTTCCTGCGTAGAGGGATTAACCTAAAAGCAGATACCTAGACCAGCCATGTTCGCTTCTCCCAAAACTCCAAAAACTATTCATAATGTTTTTATTAAGCCCATAAAGTCTGGAACCATGTGAATGACAACCACATGTTCCAATTAATTTTCACTGAATTTCTCAAACCATTCTATGGAAAAACAAATACATCATACCAAGAACTCTGTGTTTTGGGGGTTTGGTGTTTTTTTTCTTAAGTCTCTTAGGTAGTATCAAAAAGTGTTCTAGCATTGTATTATTAGTCTTTCCTATCTTTTATTTTTTGAGCGTTTGTGACATCCTATAGAGATCAGGTCTATTTTTTTTTTCTTTTTATAGACAGAAATATCTGGCTGCTTTCAAATATTTTTGAAAGTATCAGGTATTTATCAGACCTTAATTTTTTTTAAGAAAAGGGCCCAGATTCTTCTTCTTATCCACCCACGCTACCTGTTAGGAATCTGTTTATCAGCATCCTCGCTTCCAGGATAAAACTAAATATGGGAAACCTAGGAGTTATCCTTGAGCCTCCCTCTTCTTTACCTTACTTCAAGTCAACCAATCACCAGGATTGCTGATTTACCTAGCACACAGTTCTCAAATCTATCACCTCGACTTTATCTGTGCAGCCACAGCACCAATTCATGCCCAGAACTCTTGCCTAAATCAGTCTCATCAGTAGTACAGCCCAGAACATGTCAATGCATGATGGAAATGAAGGTCTTGAATCTAGGCTTCTAATGACATGGCAGCCCAAGATTCAGCATGCTGTAATGAAAAGATCCCAGAAAAGAGCCCTGGGTACATTTCTCTGACATTACCATCACTGCATTGAACGTGAATTATTAATTAGAGAAAATGCTTATTCTCCCTCCCAAAGAAATGACTTCTTTGATAATGGGAACCATGTTTTATTCATTTCTGTGTTCCTAGTACTTAGCTGTGTATTTGGCACATGGTAGATGTTTGCTTAACTTTTTGGAATGAATGAATGAAATTTCCCACATTTAAACTATGTGGCCCCTCTTGTCTACTCAAAGGCTTCACTACCCCTGCTCTCACGCACATCATCAATTTTCCCCTCTCTGTCGATTATCCTCATCAGCATGCAAACATGTCACAATAAGTCCTCATTTGAATTTTTAAAATTCTGTTTACCCTACATTACCCCCAGTTACTGTCCAATTTTTCAGCTCACTTTATAGCAAAACCTCCCAAAAGATCTTGTAATCACCATCTTCACCTCTATTCTCTCTTTAACAGGAAATTTTTCTCTTTTCCACCCTACTAAAAGTGATCTAACTACAGTCATCAGTGACTTTCCCATTGCCGAATTTGTCAATTCTCAGCCCTCATTTTATATGACCTATCATCAGCATTTGACTTAACTGATAAATTCCTTCATATTGAATTAATTTTCTTCCAATACCCCCATTATCTCTTGGTTTTTCCATCTTGCAGGCCATTCCTTCTCATTCTCTCCTTTTGGATGCCCCTCCCCTATCTTTCCCAAGTCTAACATTGTATTACCCAAAGGCTCAGTTCTTTGTGTTCTATTCTCTATCATTTTTACTTCCTAGGTGTCCTTATTCAGACCCGTGGCTTACATTACATCTATAAACTGATGACTCTTACAGTTGTATCTTTAGCCCAGACATCTCTCCTGAACTCTGAAATCTATAAAGAGATTTTATTATTTACATTTAGTTGCCTAGATGAAAGTATCCACTTAGATGTCTCACAGAAATCTCAACATTAAGGCATCCACAACTCCATTCTGCCTTACACACATACACACACACACACACATGCACACAAATAAGTTTGTGCATGCTTTTATTTTTCAGTCTTCCCCAGGGCGGAAATGCTGTCTTCATTTTTCTAGTGCTCAAGAGAAAAACTTCACATTTATTTCATCAGCAAATCCCACTGGCACTACCTCTAAAAACATCCAGAGTCTGATTATTTCTTAAATCCTTGGCACCTGCTCTAAGCTGTCATCACCTCTCCTCTGTTTAATTGCAATAACCTCCTAACAGATCCCCTTTCCTTCTTGAGCCCCTACGTAGAGTCTCTGGATCCAAAGCAATTTTTCCTAAAGTAGATGTCAGATTATATTACCCCTTTACTCAGAACTCTGCATTCGTTTCCTGTCTCACTCAGAATAAAATCTAAAATCCCTTACAGTGGTTTCCAAGACCCTGCATGGACAGATCATCTCTTCCTGTCTGATTTCATCACCTTCTGTTCTTCCCTTGAGCACTCCACTCCAATTGTGATGGTTACAATTGAGTGTCAACTTCATTGGGTTGAAGGATGCAATGTATTGTTCCTGGGTGTGTTTGTGAGGGTGTTGCCAAAGTCAGTGGGTTGGGAGAGGCAGACCCACCCTCAATCTGGGTGGGCACCATCTAATCAACTTCCAGTGTGGCTGGGATAAAAGCAGGCAGGGGAACGTGAAAGGACTAGACTGGCTGAGTCTTCTGGCCTCCATCTTTCTCCTGTACTATGCTTCCTGCCCTCATACATCAGACTCCAGATTCGTCGGCTTTTGGACTCTTGCACTTATACCAGTGATTTGCCAGGGGCTCTCGGGCCTTAGGCCACAGACTGAAAGCTGCACTATCTACCTTCCTACTTTTGAGGTTTGGGGACTTGGACTGGTTTCCTGGCTCCTCAGCTTGCAGGTGGCCTATTGTGGGACTTCACCTTATGATCTTGTGAGTCAATACTCCTTAATAAACTCCCCTTCATATATTCATCTATCCACTTAGTTCTGTCCCTTTAGAGAACCCTGACTAATACCCCAGTCATACAGGTCTCCTGGCTGGTCCTGATCCGGCCAAGCACACTCTCACCTCAGAGCTTGTGCCCTGCTAACCTTCTGTTTAAAACGTTCTTCCATGACTTAGCTACAGCTTTTCTTATTCAATTCATCGAAATCTCTGCTCTAATGTCACCATATCAAGAGGCACTTTCTCCTCACCCTAACACAGCACCTGTCTCCTTTCCCTGCTTTGTCTTCATTGTTCTCACTCTACATGTATTTCTACATGTATATTAATTTGTTGCTTAGTCAGCATCTGTCTCCCTTCTTGCCCCTCAAACCAGACTATAGACATCACTAAAACTGGCATCTTAATTATTTTTGTTTTTTTGGGGTTTTTTTGTTGGTTTTTTGTTGTTGTTGTTTTGTTGGTTTATATACATGTTTATATATATATATATATTTTTTTTTTAATTTTACTGATTTATTTCTAGCTCCTAGAACAGAACCTGGCACATGGCAGACATTCAATAAATATTTTTAAATGAATGAATGAATGAACAAGTCGCCTTGGCAAAGGACACATGGATAGAATTTTCTTGCTAATGCATACTTTTGAACCCTCTACCTTGGCTTTACTAGTACCATGCTTTAAATAATTGAGCTAATGAGCCCAGACAAGATAATGATATTTCTTATTAAAAGATGTAAGAATGCAGAGTGCCAAGGCTGCTGAGAGGACTGCTGGTTGTTATAGCAACTCTGAAAGCCAGGCAAGTTGGCTGCCAGCAAGCGTTTATGAAAACATGTTTATGGAGCTTCCTAAACATTTTTCTGAATTGATTAGACATGTATTTTGTTTGTTGTCTCATATTAGGAGTTATTTACCTTGCATACACAGTAAGTTAAGGCACCCTGCAACATACCCTAGAAGGGAATTGTATTAGTTACTCGAAACACCTACATCTCTGCATCATCCAACCAAAAGCTGAGTGGCAGTTAAGAGAAAAACTGCTGATTAGAAATATTTGAAGATTCATGTAAAAACCAGAAAATGGCTTTTGATAGAGTTTCAGTTAAGCAAATCAAATAGTCCTAATAAAATTTTATGTTTTGTTTCTTAAGGAAATTTCTCCCATTCTCTCTAGCTTGATTTTCTTTTCCAAATTCTTCTATTCAACATACTCTTAATTAATATTTTTAGTGACCTTAAGTATGGGAGGGCAGTCACATTTATCTATTAAGTCTCATCTATAAATTCAAATATATTATTTTTCCATATATTATTTTATTAACATTTTCACAAAATCGATCATTATCCCCATTTTGCCTAAGGCTTAAGGAGACTGATTTTCTCAGGATCACCAAGTGATAGAAATGGCACTCAAACCCTCATCTATCTGACTCCAAATAGTGTATTTCCACTGTTTCACACAATTTTTAAAATAATACTTCAGGAATTATCCCACTTGCCTGCAGAATCCAGAGTGCTTTTGCTAGGACATTCCTAAAACCTTACCAACTGTTCATTGAGTCTGAGGATGGTTTTAAGAACTCCAAGGTCAAAGACATTGTCCCCAACACCCGTATCAGCTCAGCAGTGACTTTCAATAAGCAAACCACAAAGGAAAACAGTTACCCTTAGGCTTTGTGGTTCATTGAGTTAAATTCAGTTCATTTGCCAGCATCTCCATGAAGGGAACAAAAGGATAATTCTTTTCATTCACCTCTTGATGGCCCTTAGCAACACTCAGTGAGCAGCCACTGTTCATCCCGTGGCTATGGTTATTATTAACTTTCCTCTCCACTGCCAGGATACATCGCAGCGCATCCTACTGATCCTGCTTCCACAAAGTTCTCAACAAATAAACTGGGTCAGGCCATATGCCACATTTTTTTCTCTTGACATCTTGCCTTCCTCTTTTTTCACCTGTATGTATGAAATGCAAGACCTTTAATGCAGAAATAAATACTCAAAAGTGTTTGAGTGAACATCAAACCTCAAGTACCTTAAGTAACATAATTTCCTTTAATGCTGTTTCCCTATAGTGTTGATAAGAAATGTTGATACCAATTTTATTTAGTATATTTGGGGGGAAAATACACACACACACACACACACACACACACACACACACATACCTACATACACACACTGTTAAAACAGTTCTTCAGGCCTTCATTACCTCTAATTCTAGATCATCACATTAACATTCCAACTCAACTCTTCAGCCTCTGTCTTTTCTCTCTAATGTCCATCCTACACACTACCCTGGATTTACCTTATAAGCATAGCTATAATCCTACTAGTCCCCAAATTAAAACCTCTAACTATGACTCAATACATATGACCAAAAAAAAAAAAAGTCTAAATTTTGGAGGCTGGCATATAGGGTTATCCTCTTTGGATAGACCCAACTGATTTTTAATTTATCTCCTATCAGATCCCTTTAAATCTCAAATTAGGTTAGTCATCATTCTCTTAATATGCGATACGCTTTACTAGCCCTGTACTTTTTCTAAGCCTCTCTTTTCTTCTCCCATTATGCAATGTCCAGGAGCAATGAGTTCCATTCCTAGGATTTTAATTATCACCAATGCCCAGATAATTTCAAAACCTCTAAGTTCTCTCTCCTTAACATCAGGCCTGTTTTTCCACGTGGATGCCCCCCAGGGACCTCAAATCCACTGCTCTTCCCAAATCTGCTGCTTCTCCTGCAGTTCCCATGTCAGTAAATGGCATCACTATTTTTTCAGTCATTTAAGCCAGAAATCTGAATGTCAGCGTTGTCTCCATCTTCTCCTTATGGCATTTTCACACCCAGCTTTGTACTGTTTGTGACTTGATAATATTTCTTTTCATCTCAATAAGAATTTAAGTGAGGTCAAGAATTTATCATTGAATATCTGGTTTCTAAACCAATGCCTTGCATATAACAAGTTCTTAACAGTTTTCTGGCCCAAAGAAACAATAAATTCATTACTTATGTATTGATTATATTCACAGATGTTTTTAATTATTGGTGGATTCAAGTGTGCAAATGAATGAGATCAAACAAGAAAAGAAACATACTGAAATAATGGCATGTGTAGTTCTATAGAGCAAGTCCTCAAGTTACACCATTTCCTGTAATGCTGTTTCCTTATGATGTTGATAAGAAAAAAAATTGACTCCCAGCCCGGGTCACTGTCTGCGTGGAGTTTGCTTGTTCTCCCCATGACTGCATGGGTTTTCTCCAGGCACTCCGGTTTCCTTCCACGGCCCAAGGATGTGCTTAATGCTAGGTGAATTGGCAAGTCTACATGGTCCCAGTCTGAGTGAGTGCGAATGTGGGTGTGAGTATGCCCTGCGATGGGAGGGTGTCCCGTCCAGGGTGCGTTCCCACCTGGTGCCCTGAGTTGCCGGGACAGGCGACCTTGAACTGGAATAATTGGGTAAATCATCATCTTCCTTTTCATTAATATTTCTTAAATGTATGTATAGCTCCCATTTATTTTGATGTTTAATATTAGAAGTATTTGCTTCTTTATTTAGAAGTTTGGTGATTACTTTCTTTGACCAGAAATATACCATAGGAACTGAACTCTTGTTTATATTGATTTGACTGTGGTCAAATTGGTTTCTTTATACATAGTTTCAATTACAGTTGCAATCTCCAAGATCTTATCCATGACATTAAGTGAGGACTTGCTGAATTTAAGAAAATCTACTGAGAGAAAAGCAAAGCATTCAAGTCAGACCTTGACTCACTGCACCTGTGTGTCAATTTCAACTTGTAAGTAGGTAGGGCTGACAATGGAAGGGATTCTGCAAAAATGTCAGCAGGTGATGCTTCACATGGAAGGATGCTTTAATAGCTCTACTCTTACCAGCAGCAGCCCCCACAGAACAAAGAAATCAAGAATTTGGGAGGCTTATGAAGGAATGAACCAAAGTTCAGCAATATATTAGTATATTAGTTCAATGGTTGGATGCTTAATTTAGTTTCCCATGGCTGCTGTAACAAATTACCATGAACTTGCTGGCTAAAAAAAACATTTATCTTCTCTCCAAGTTTTGGAGAACAGGAATTCAAAATAAGTATCACTTGGGCAAAATCAAGGTGTCAGCAGGGGCTCATTCCCTCCAGAAGCTCTAGAGGGTAATATGTTCCTTACCTCTTCTAGCATCTGGCGGCTGTCAGCATACCCTGATTTGTGCCCACATCACTCCAATTTCTGCCTCTGTGGTCACAATGCCTCCTCCTCTTTTGTCTGTCAAAGCTCCCTTTCCATCTATTTTATAAGATACATGTGTTTGTATTTAGGGCCCATCCAGATAATCCATGGTAATCTCCCCATCTCAGGATCCTTAAGTTAATCACAACTGCAAGTTCCTGTCTCCTAATAAGGCATAATTTACAGGTTCCAGGGATTAGGATCTGATACCTTTGGGGGCTCTTATTCACCCTGCTGAAGCAGAAGTTCTGCCTGAGTGCTGGTGTGAAGTAAACTCAGTGCATGTTGGTTGCTGTTACTGTTTTGCTGCTATTGTTGTTACCCCGAGACCAAAAACTGATCCAATACTTCTGAACATACATAAGAGAAGCTCAGGAAATTCGTTACTCCTGCCAGCCCTTGAGTCCTAATAGAAGATCAGTGAATTTCAAATCAAATATTTGTCAAAAATGGCTGATCTTGTATTGTTAAAGTCGCCTGCAGTCATTTTTGACTGCTCATTCATTTTCTTCTATCCTTTCTTTGTGTATATGTGCAGTTACTTTTGATAGTGAGCTAGAAATATGCATAGTACTTGATTTGAGCATATGAATAGAAGATTATCTGCAGTCTGGTGGGTGGGTGGGCTCACAGCATTGCAGCACATAATATTATATTTTAGTTTGGTAAATGGAATATTAACTTCATTCCCAAAACCTCTTTATGAAAGTGAAAAGGTTTGAGTTAGCGACTGGATTTAGAACACCAGGCGCTGTACAGTCACTCTTTCAGGAAAGGGTGCTATATAAAGCTGCACAATAAAAGATTATACTGCATCAAAATGTTCTCATATGCAGTGTAACCAATTCCATTCCTTTGTGAGATATGCCAATGTACAGAAGAAAATTTAAAACTTTTTAGTTTTATAAAGTCATTTATATTCTTGCTTCCATTGTGGACAAGGTAATAGAATTTTAATAATCCAAACCCAATTTATTATATGGTACATTTATATTTTCCCAACAACCACTAGATCAATATTTTGTAATAAGAATAGATATTTTCAAATTTAACTCTTTCTAGAATTTAGCGTTTTTGCATACAGTCTCAGCATCCATCCACTTAGAGTTTGGGATTTTCTCTGCAAAGATTGTTCTATCCTGCTACTTTAATCATTTTTATTGAAAAATCTTTTGTATTTAAATAAATGATAAAGGGGATATCACCACTGATCCCACAGAAATACAAGCTACCATCAGAAAATGCTATAAATACCTCTATGCATATAAACTAGAAAATCTAGAAGAAATGGATAAATCCCTGGACACATAAACCCTCCCAAGACTAAACCAGGAAGAAGTTGAATCCCTGAATAGACCAATAACAATTTCTGAAATTGAGGCAGTAATTAATAGCCTAGCAACCAACACAAGCCCAGGACCAGACAGATTCACAGCCGAATTCTACCAGATGTGCAAAGAGAAGCTGGTACCATTCCTTCTGAAACTATTTCAAACAATAGAAAAAGAGGGACTCCTCCCTAACTCATTTTATGAGGCCAGCCTCATCCTGATACCAAAATCTGGCAGAGACCCAACAAGAAAATAAAATTTCAGGCCAATATTCCTGATGAATATCGAGGCTAAAATCCTCAATAAAATACAGGCAAACTGAATCCAGCAGCACATCAAAAAGCTTATCCACCACAATCAAATCAGCTTCCTCCCTAGGATGCAAGGTTGGTTCAACATACACAAATCAATAAACATAATCCATCACATAAACAGAACCAATGACAAAAACCATATGATTATCTCAGTAGGTACAGAAAAGGCCTTCAACAAAATTCAACAGCCCTTCATGCTAAAAACTCAATAAGCTAGGTATTGATGGAACTTATCTCAAAATAATAAGAGCTATTTATGACAAACCCACAGCCCATATCATACTGAATGGGCAAAAACTGGAAGCATTCCCTTAGAAAATGGGCACAAGACAAGGATGCCCTCTCTCACCACTCCTATTCAACATAGTGTTGGAAGTTCTGGCCAGGGCAATCAGGCAAGACAAAGAAATAAAGCGTATTCAGATAGGAAGAGAGGAAGTCAAACTGTCTGTTTGCAGATGACATGATTATATATTTAGAAAACCCCATCATCTCAGCCCAAAATCTCTTTACACTGATAAGCAACTTCAGCAAAGTCTCAGGATACAAAATCAATGTGCAAATATCACAAGCATTCCTATACACCAATAATAGACAAACAGAGAGCCAAATCATGAGTGAACTCCCATTCACAATTGCTACAAACAGAATAAAATATCTAGGAATATAAGTTACAAGGGATGTGAAGGACCTCTTCAAGGAGAACTACAAACCACTGCTCAAGGAAATCAGAGAGGACACAAACAAATGGAAAAGCATTCCATGTTCATGGAGAGGAAGAATCAATATAGTGAAAATGACTATATGGCTCAAAGTAATTTATGGATTCAATGCTATCCCCATTAAGCTACTATTGACTTTCTTCACAGAATTAGAAAAAAACTACTTTAAATTTCATATGGAACAAAAAAAAGAGCCCATATAGCCAAGACACTCATAAGCAAAATCTTTTTTATTTAAATGTTTATTTTTTTTAAATCTACTGTGAAGAAGCAACAAAGATAGGCATAAAGATAACGAAAAAGACAGGTCCTAACCCAAGAAGGTCAAAATATCATGGGCAAAACATTTATGTAACAGTAATAGTCACTAAATTTTACTGATTAGTTACTCCATGCCAAGCACTAGATGCCTTATATGTACTAGTTAATAAAATGATCACCACAATCCTATGATGTAAAATGCTGTTATTATCCAGGTGTTTTCAGATGGTGAATGAGGCTTAGAGAAACTCAGTGACTGCTCCCAATAAGTAGATTCAGATATTCTGAATCTATCCTGAGCCAACACCCTGAGGCAGCTATAGTGTCCCCAGTATAGAAGACCCAAACAAGGTAGCACCAATGAGGAAGGAATTGATTTTCCTTCTCAGACCAGGGACTAGCCAAAGAAGTTCTTAGGTTGTGTCTTTAAGGGTAGCAACATTTAGGAGTGCTTGCTATGTGTCAGATATTATCCTAGCACTTTACGCACATAAAATTCACTAATCCTTGCAGCAATCCTACACAATAGAAACTATTGGTATCCCCAGTTTAATGATGAGGAAATTGAAGGACAGAGAGATTAAGTAATCTATCCAAGACCACACAGCTAGGAAATAGTAGAGCCAGGATTCCACACAGGCAATCCAGCTTAAGAGCATCTTTTTTTTTTTTTTTTTTTTTTGAGACGGAGTCTCGCTCTTGTTGCCTAGGCTGGAGTGCAATGGTGCAATCTCGGCTCACTGCAACCTCTGCCTCCTGGGTTCAAGTGATTCTCCTGCCTCAGCCTCCCAAGTAGCTGGGATTACAGGCATGCGCCACCACAGCTGGCTAATTTTGTATTTTTTAAGTAGAGACAGAGTTTCACCATGTTAGTCAGGCTGGTCTCAAACTCCTCACCTCAAGTGATCCACCCACCTCAGCCTCCCAAAGTGCTGGGATTACAGGTGTGAGCCACTGCACCCAGCCAAGAACATCATTTTTTTTTTAACTTTTATTTTAGGTTGTGGGGTACATATGCAGGTTTGTTACATAGGTAAACTAGTGTCACGAGGGTTTGTTGTACAGATTATTTTGTCACCCAGGTACTAAGCCTAGTACCCAATAGTTATTTTTTCTGCTCTTCTCCCTTCTCCCAACCATCACCCTCAAGGAGGCCCAAGTATCTGTTATTCTCTTCTTTGTGTTCATGAGTTCTCATAATTTAGCTCCCACTTACAAATGAGAACATGTGGTATTTGGTTTTCTGTTCCTGCATTAGTTTGCTAAGGATAATGGCCTCCAGCTCCATCATGTTCCCACAAAAGACATGATCTTGTTCTTTTTTGTGGCTGCATGGTATTCCATGGTGTAAATTTACCACATTTTCTTCATTCCATCTGTCATTGATGGGCATTTAAGTTGATTCTGTTTTTGCTATTGTGAATACTGCTGCAGTAAACATCGCATGCATGTGTCTTTATGGGAGGATGATTTATATTCCTCTGGGTATATACCCAGTAACAGGATTGCTGAGTCAAATGGTAGTTCTGCTTTTAGCTCTTTAAGGAATTACCGTACTGCTTTCCACAATGGTTGAACAAATTTATGATCCCATCGTGTGTAAGTGCTGCCTTTTCTCTGCAACCTCACCAGCGTCTGTTATTTTTTTACTTTTTAATAATAGCCATTTTGATTGGTGTGAGATGGTATCTTATTGTGGTTTTGATTTGCATTTTCTCTAATGATCAGTGATAATGAGCTTTTTTTCATATGATTCTTGGCTCCATGTATGTCTTCTTTAGAAAAGTATCGGTTTATATCCTTTGCCACTTTTTAATGGAGTTATTTGTTTATTTCTTGTGAATTTAAGTTCTTTTTTTTTTTGAGACAGAGTCTCGCTCTGTCACCAAGGCTGGAGTACAGTGGTACGGTCTCGGCTCACTGCAACCTCCATCTCCCAGGTTCAAGCAATTCTTCTGCCTCAGCCTCCTGAGTAGCTGGGATTGCAGGCCCATGCCACCACGCCCAGCTAATTTTTGTATTTTTAGTAGAGATGGGGCTTCAATATGTTGGCCAAGCTGGTCTCAAACTTCTGACCTCAAGTGATGCACCAGCCTCCGCCTCCCAAAGTGCTCAGATTACAGGCATGAGCCACCATGCCCACCCTGTTTAAATTCTTTATAGATGCTGTATATTAGACTTCTGTCAGATGCATAGTTTGCAAATATTTTCTTCCATTCTGTAGTTGTCTATTTACTCTGTTGATAGTTTCTTTTGCTATGCAGAAGAAAAGCATCATGATTAGCCTCTGGGCTAACGAGCTGAACAAATGTCAATCGTTAGCATTTTGAAGTCACAGTTGTTAATTTAAAGAGTTTGATTCAAGTATTCCATGGTTAAACAATCATCATAGACACAAATATTTTCCAATAGAATTCTCATAAAGGTTATGAGAATCTGTATGATTTAACTCTCTGATTTTCAATTTCCTAATTGGTGAAATGAAAATGATCATATCCACCTACTCTGAGGTTATCACAAAGTTTCATTATAAACATATATGAGTTCCTTACAAATTGCAAAGTGTTGTGCAAAAGTATTACAAAGCTGTTATTACTCCACTAACTAGGAATACAGGAAGAAAGCTTAAAAGTCCAAAAGTGTGTGTAGGGGAAGCTAAAACCTAGAGTATATGGAAAGGAATGACTATAGGTATAACTAAAGATCACCTTTTAGAGGATCTTGATTACCATTCTAAAAAGTTTCTTAATTAGAATATACAAATCAATACAAAATCTCTGGCCAGAAGAGTTATACACTCCTAGTTATCCTTTAAAAATAAGAGTTTCACCAGTAAGGTGGAATGGGAGACCCTGGAAAGAGAGGAAGTTCAGTCAAGGGCCTTCTCTGAGAGTCTACTAGTGAAAGGGTGGGGGTTGGATCAAATCATGCTATTGGATGAAGAGAAAGGCACAAGTCCAAGACATTGCAGAGGTGAAATAAACCTGACTCTATGATGTGGAAAGAGACATAAAGATAACTTAGAAGTTTTGTCTTGGCAATTTAATATGTTTCAGGAAGGGGAATTGAATCGTATATATTTAGTCCACTCTTTAAAAGATGTTTATTGAGTACCTGCTAATGCTAACACTGCTTCAGGTATCCCTATTTTATGTCATCATTTTTCATCCTCTTTGACAACTCATTCATTAATTAATACATTTAAGAAGTATTTTGAACACTGTGTTTCGTGCCAGATACTAATGAAGAAACCCCTAGATGGTGTAACTGACCCTAAGTCATATCAAACGGCAGAGTCTGGCATCTCACCCTGACCATCTGCCTCTTTCTGCCACTTCCCATTCGTTCAGGTCAGATACTGAGTTTCATTGAGGACACGTTAAGTTTAGGGATTCTGTGGGATGTTGGAAATGCTGATTTTATGCCCAAGAAAAAAAACGAAGATGCAGAATTAGTATCACCCTATATTGGCAATGGCTCAAGGCTTATCCAGTTCTAAAACACTGCATTAAAGAGGGACTTGAAACATATTCTCAAGATACATTTTAAAGAGCCAATAAAGTTGGGAAATAATATAATGCATACTCGAAGTTCCATATAAGGTTTTATTTTACTACTTGCCTAGGCAGAAAATTATCTGCATTATCTGTGAGCCCTTTGGTGCTGAGGATTGTGTCTTATTTATCTTTGTAACCCATTATCTGTAGCAATGCTTGATATAGAAAGAGCAACTAATAAATGTTTGATGAATTAATGAATGAAAGAGAAACAATGAAAGAATAAAGCAAACAGGACGACATGGAAAGAGCACATGGCTGGGAGTGGAAAGAATTAAATTGCCCATGATATATCCATGACCTCTATTTCCACTTTATTAAAATAGTGGATCATAATGCCAGCTGTACTTACCTCATGGGGTTTGTGGGTGTCAGATGAGTTCAGTTTAACAAGCAACAAGCATTTATGGTGTATCTGTTATGTACCTGGTACATATTATGTACAGTACCTGATACATAACAGATCCATACATACTGTGCCAGGATCAGGGACCTTCCAAGAATGAATAACATGATCCCTACTTTCAAGGAACTCACAATGGAAAAATAAATGTCACTAATAACAACAACAACAAAAAAGACAAGATGTTGATCAGTGGGAGAAAGAGATAAGCATCTATTTGTGCATCTAGTATCAGAAAAGCCTTAGGAAAGGAAGGTGTAATGGGAGATATAAAATGTATGAAGCATCACCCAAATATAAAATACTAATATTCTCAAACTAGTAGTTATTTATCACAGATACATTTACATTATTTTAATTCAGACATTCCAGGGTCTAACCTATGCATCTAAGAACATTTTGATAATACCCATGAATTCTTAACACAGGCATGAGGAAAGTGTGATTCTGATGCCAGAAGCCTCAAGTTGAAGTTTCAGCTTCACTGTGGAGTTGCTTTTGCCACCTTACACAGCACATTGCACGGGCCTTTACTTCCTCTTCTATAAAATGGGGATGATTATATCTGTCCTGCCTAATGAGAATTGAAGCAGATATATGAAAGCAATTTACAAATTTCAGAATGCCATATAATATGTCATCTAGGGAAAAACGCTAACCTTTGTGAACATGCTTTTATTAGAAGTTTAAGGCTGTAATTGCTCAGTATTTCTGGTAAATCAATCAAATGGTAATATATCCTGAATCTATATCTGAAGCTTATTGTCAAAATTATCCTCAAGCGTGATGATCTGATGCTATTGACACAAGGCATATGAGATCATATTACTGCCACCATCGCCTTGTTGCCATGGTAACCATAGCAGGCTGGCAAGAAAGCTCCCTGAGAGTTGAATTGGAAAGAACAAGAAAACTCAGCCCACTTCCTGCATTAAATGAATTACAAGTACGTGTAAAGAAAGAAAAGAAAATTGCTAACCCTTAATCAACTGCTTTTATTTTTTATACTTATAAGGAATACAGAGCCGTGTAGGGGACCTCGCTTTCCCACACACTGGGGTTCAGCACTTTCATGAGGTTGGAAGGTGGCATTTAGGTATTGGCTATGAAAAAAAAAAACACCTTAAAATACACATTAGCTTATATAATAGTCTTCTCTCTCAGGCTTGTGCAGTATTAAGCGGCAGCTGAGTCAAGCCTCTTTCATTTCTCTGGATGCAAAGCCAAAATAGAAAGCTATGAGGACACTAACAAAAGTATCCTTCAAGCCTGAGAAATAGAAATTATACTCTTAAAAATACCTTTTAATATTATATAAGCCAAATAGTGAGGACCTGGGAAATAAGTTCTGACCTGGAAATAAGACTTGCTTTTTCTTTAGCTTTGCAGGTCTCTGATACCATTAGAAAATGGAATTTTTAATAAAATTGTTCAACTTGAAAGTAAATTTCGTGGAGGCAGAAGGAGCATTCTGCCATTCTATAGTCAGGTTTTAAAATTCATTGTTCTTTGGTAAAAATTTGCTGAGTTCTGGCTCCATGCCAGGTGCTGAGGACACCAGGTGGAATATAAGCCATGGTTATTGTCCTGATTGCCTTCCAGGGGGCACAGATGTGCGGGCAGATAGCTTCGATGCAGTGTGATAAGGGCAGTGATGGATAGTGGTTTGTGTAAATGCTCCTGGAGCACAGAGGAAGGCCATCTTAATTAGAATGGAGAGCAGAAAAGGCATCCTGGAGAAGGAGATGCCTGAGTCAAGTCTAGAAAGAAACATAATGGGGCAATCAATACAGTGAAGCAATGGCAATTTTAGTAGTTTTTATCAGCTTTTTCCCTTCTTGAAATACTTCAAGTTACAGGAAGTTATCAAACAAAAAAAAGTACAAATTCATAACACGCTTAGATACACCCAGCATCCTTATTAATGACAAAAGCCATGTTTCTGAAAGAACATTTAGTGTTCTAATATTTCTCAGAAACGCTTTTATTTTTCAAACCAAGCAATAGAGAAACTTCCTGCTTCATATTAATATATAAAAACACAGTGAATTTTCATTCTTTGCTTTTAAGCTCGACCTAGTGGCACAAAAGAAATGAGCATTAAAAGGGTAAATGAATAAATGACCTAGAATGATGATAAATATTTTAGAACTCTTCAAAATATAATTCTCCAATCAGTGCTACCACTTCTGTCTCCACAGCAGAAAATGTCAGTTTTCATCCAACTCTTGGCATGGTTTCTTGGCTTCCTTTGATATCAGGCAAGATGTATTTCTATGATAGAATTTATTCCCAACTGCAGTAGGCTTATCTGATTTTATAGTGGCAATTCTGCACCTTCTTAAAAATCTAATTTATTTTACCGTGGGCTGATAGCACCACTCAGTAAAGGATAATTGACCAGTACTCCTGAAGTTAGGAGTTAAAATCCACTCATTGAACTCACACCTTGACTTGCAGTTTCTCATCTATCTTACAACACCTAGCCAGGTTTCAGCTTTGCTATCAGAGAACTTTAAAAGCAATGTAGAAATACCACCTAGATAACTAGTAAAGATGTGGGCATCTACTCTGGGCCCAGAGTTGGCTCTCTTTCTTATATTTATATTTGTGGTCATAAACCCTACATCTAATTTCAAGTTCTGTCACTAATTAGCTCTTTGAGTTTTGGCTGGTGTTCCCTTCTCTGGGCCTATGTTGAGTTTTGGCCACGGTTACCTTCTCTGAGCTTTCCTTTCCTCATCTTAAAGCAAGATGTTAGTACTGCACAGAGGTGCTGTGAGGGTTAAATGAGATTGGTGAATATCAAACTGTTTCCCCACTGTAAGAGGCTGTAGATGGAAACATCTAATGATGCTTTAGTGTATTGGTTAAGATGACATAGTATGTTGGGTAAGTGCATAAAGACAAATGCTAGATTTAAATGCCAGCTCTAGAATTTCCCAGCTAGGTGACCTTAGTCACACCTTACTTCTCTGTGCCTCAGCTTTTCCTTTTTAAAGTGGGGATAAATGAATAAATAGTAAATAACATTATTATCACTTATATGTATTTTGAACCCTGCGAAGTAGGCAACATTATCTCCATTTCATAGAGGAGGAAATTGAGGGTGAAGAAATTATTCTTCATATCTTACAGATGAAGAATCCAAGAACCCTAGGAGATAACTTCCTCAAGCTTATAGCTAGGAAATTATGGACCAGACCTCTGTCTTGGGTGTGTCTGTCTCCAAAGCCCATGTCCTGTTCTGCCATACTCTGCTGCATCTAGCTCAGGGCCTGGCACGTAATGAAAGCCCACCCATTCATTCCTTTATGTTTATTTCACTGCTGTTATATGTAATAGGCAAGGTAACTAGTAGCCAGCTAAGCCCACAATAGGAATTGCTCTACTTGATGAACCAATTAACTTCCTTTGTCATTTAATAAAAACAGGCATCCTGAGAGAATAGGACAGAAGCTAGCAAGTGCTGATGGTTGAATAACAGTACAGAAAGGTCCAGAGCCTGGGAACATTCTACAGCTCAGTGTGAGTTCCCTGACCAGCCAGGGAGCAACCTTGAGGGCAGGTATCAGAGCGAGAAGAGAAAGAAGCTGAAGATGGACCATCAGTTCACATTTAAGCTTTAATTCCACCTGCATGACAGAAGGCATTTGCTGCTCGATGACAGCTATGACTTCTTTGAGGCCATTTACTTCCCTTCCTCATTCCCTGTGAGTGATCAGTACCATGTATCTCACCTCCCTTTCTCTTTTGTCCATTCCATGTCTCTCGAGTTCTCATCTTTGCTCTCTCAACTTCCGAAATGCCCTAAAGAAGAACCCTATTATGCCCATAAAGTGTCCTACTGAAAGCTTTTTCTTTTCTCCTTTTCCCTTTTTCTGTCAAACACCTTTACAATTATCTCTGTATCCTCTTCTCTGTTCTAAACTCTGTTTCATACTTTTTCTCGGCAACCATTTCTTTAGTCACCTACCTTCTTATCTGTTCTCTTTTTAGCTCAAATCCTGTGTTCATAAATAAAATTGTCAATCTTTTATGAAACAAAACAGAACAAGCACTACCTTCTTTATCTATTTATAATTGGTTTTACTGTCTCTATTATTTTCACTAATATTAGTACCCAATTCAGTGACTATGATTGCTGAATGTTATTTATGAACCCCATTCTTTCTTCAGGGCCCCAATTCCTGATGGCAACTTTTCCAGATCCATTCATGCTTTCATTCATTCATTTATACGTTCTTCAAATATTAATTGACTACTATGTGTTAGTTACTGTGCTGACTACTGGGGACATTAGGTGGACAGATGGTTTCTATCCTCAAGGTACATAGTCTAGTTGGACAGAGAGAGAACTGAACCACTGGCTAAAATGCATTGTGATCACTGCATGGAGGTTTGCACAAAGTGCATTTTCTGTCATTCGGCTTATCTTCACAAGCTGAATCTTCTGTACCTCTTTCAGCATCATCACCTACTTTGATGGTTCACTGGTAAAGAGTGACTGGAGTAGGAATCATAGGGATTAAAGATGCTGCTCTTGCAGTAATGTAGCTATGTTACCAGGATAAGGTCATTTGAGCCTCACATCTCTTAATCTGTAAGAAAATGAACCTATTCTTTATTCTTTATGTTCTTCCTGGGAGGCCCAGGGAAAGTTTCAGTGAGAAATACACAAAGATATAGATATCCTGGATTTTAAAGATTGAGATAAGTGTAATGTCGCTATGGTTTAAAAAAATCTTTGTTTTAATTATTGTGTGTGTTTATTTCTCTCTTCGTCTAGCACTTCTGTTCTCTAGATATCTGTGTTAGTTATCTACTCAGACCTCCCTGTGTCTTTCTGGGAGTACTTCTTGCAGGAATTCATCTCATTATTGCAGCCTGACAGAGGAAGGAACTGAATTGCAAGAAAATTGTGGCAAACCTACAAGTGAGCCTGTGTTACAACTCACTTAAGTGACTGAATCTGCATCCCAGGCCGGGCGATTTCTGGATAGCTCGGTCTTGATGCAAGGCTAATCTTTTTTAGTTACTAGTTTCCACTGAATCCTCTGAGTAGAAAGATTATTAAGACTGCATAAGGCATTTCTGTTCTCATTATCCTCTACTTTGGCCTAATGTTCCAAAAAGGAATGCCAGATTTTCTTTTTATAGAAATGGATACCCCAAAGACAGTCCTTGTGATGTTACAGGCTGTTGAGTATGTCTATCTAACATTTTAATTTGCACTTCATTTGTAAGTCTGAGGCAGCATGGTGGAGGTTTCTACTTAATCATCTGGCATTCAGATTGGCTTCTCTGTGCAGGAGTGTATCAGTTTCCCATTCTCATCACTTCTACACGGCACCGCAACCCAAAGAGTGAGGGTGTAGCTGCTCCCCTTCAAAAATAAGAAATGGCTCTTAGAGGCACGTGTAAAAGTGGGGTGATGGGGTCACTGTCCATTAGATATTACTGTATTTGCTATATTAATTTATAAATTATATTACATCTTAATATTAAAGATGCATGTATTTTATATTTATTATTAATTTATATATTTTCACTATATTAATTGTTTTTATATCTTGAGTTTACTGTAATTACTTCTGCTGCAGCATCCGTCATTCATCCATCATTGTGGTGTAATGGAGTAGGGAGGGGAAACATTGCAGCTAGAGCAGACGTCTGGACCATAGTTCTTGCTCCAACCATTATTCTCAAGATAGTCAGGACCAAGACACTTAACCTATCAAGCTTTATTATTCTGTGAGGTATTATAACTGAAAGCTAAATGGAAAAAAATGATCTACAGAATATAAATCATGATTCTGACTAGTGTTATCAATTCGTAACCAAATTTTAAGACAACCTAAAAGACAACTTTTTTGAAGCACAATAAGGCAACTATGATTAACAATTTCTTGTGTATTCCAAAATGATGAAAAGAGTAGAATTGGAGTGTTCCTTACACAAAGAAATGATAAATGCTTGAGATGATGGATACTGATTTGATCATTACACTTTGTATGCTTGTATCAAGATATCACATATATCCCATAAATAGGTATAACTATTAAGTACCCATTTAAAAAAAGACACCTTTAGAAACCGACAACTTTAAAAGCACTTCTTGCCCAACTTTATCACACATATTATTTCTGTTGTATGAGTATATAAGCTTAGCACTCTTAAAACATTATCTTTCAAGACGAAATTCAAAACATGATTTAGAAGAATACATGGCTGTAGGCCACTCAAGTGTAGAAGGACAAGAATCCTCTGACCCTTGTCCTAACCCTGGATTTTAACAAGAAGCACATAGCAGCATCTCAGCTATGAGAACTTCTAATCTGTGACTTTTTAGCTATTCCAAATTTTTTTCCACTATGCCATGATGTCGGCTGATGATGCTGAAGTAGACTGTGGTTGCGAAGATACTAGAATAATGGGAAATTTCTTTATCTTGCAAATTAGGCTGCCAGTAGTAATTGATCTCCTTGTGCCTCTTGGAAAAATCGTCCTCAGATAGTACCAATGAGCATTTCTATTGAAGTAGAGATCTGAGCCCTTGCAGAGATCCCTAGTAAAGGATCTGTCAGGGAGGGTTTTTCACTCCATGTCACAGACTGTCTAAGGGATATGTATTTGCTTGTGCAGAGCTATATTCCTAGAAACCACTCTTCTTGTTGGAGACCAGCTTCAAAATTGGGTCTTGACCTGAATCAGCCTCTTCAAAATCAGGTCACTGCCAGTTCTCTCACTCCTTAACTACAAACTACATGAGAACAAGGACTATGCCTGATTTCCTTAACCCCTCTGTCTCTACTGCATAATATGGTACCAGGCAGTAGGAAGTAAAATTTTGTTTTAGTTTTAGTTTTTTTTTTTTTTTTTTTTTGAGACAGAGTCTCACTTTGTTGCCCAGGCTGGAGTGCAATGGCATGATCTCGGCTCACTGCAAGCCCTGCCTCCCGAGTTCACGCTATTCTCCTGCCTCAGCCTACCGAGTAGCTGGGACTACAGGCACCCGCCACAACGCCTGGCTAATTTTTTGTATTTTTTAGTAGAGATGGGGTTTCACCATATTAGCCAGGATGGTCTCAATCTCCTGACCTTGTGATCCGCCCGCCTCGGCCTCCCAAAAAATTTTGTTTTTAATAAATGCCCCAGAGCAAGGGAATTAGTATTTCCTGTGACATTGGGTTGTCTGCAGAACACTAAAGCTACAACTCCTAAGACTTTCTGACATAGAATCTGGCTTTCTGATGTTGTCGTGTTTTTGCTGTCACTTTTGCTTTCTAATTCTGAGAAGTTTACTGTT
Organism: Homo sapiens; assembly: GCF_000001405.40. Classification (NCBI taxonomy): domain Eukaryota; kingdom Metazoa; phylum Chordata; class Mammalia; order Primates; family Hominidae; genus Homo; species Homo sapiens. Next base: position 99,105,345 of record NC_000012.12, on the reverse strand, counting down.
CCTGCCCCACAGGAACTTATCAACTGAAGATGCTAGTGTGTACACATGAAAAAACGGGTACCCAAGCAGATATTTTGCATGTCCTTGGGGGGCAGGATAGAAAGGTGAAATCTGAACTGTCTTCATGTTGTCCAGAGTGTTAATTGCATAACAGTCCTCAAAAAATATAATAACTAATTTCTACTGAATTTAATAGCATAAAGAACAAAATACTTTTCTAGATGGTCTCCCATTATTTCTTTCGTCTGGATGGATCTAGCACTTTATGTCCAGCTATTTGAAGATTCAAATTTCAAAATGTTCAGATTTACAAATAAAACCCCACAAAACCATGTTCATTTAACAAATATTTACTGAATGTCTACTGTATGCCAGGTGCTGTGCTCAACCTGGGGATAAAATACTGAACAAATTACCGCAAGGTAGTCTGGTCTGTCTTTATAGAGCTGGCAGAGAAACACATAAGTAGGTGATTCTGTGGACCACTTAGCAAAATCTGCTAACCCAGTGCAGGGGCATCAAGCAACAACTCTTAGAGGAAGTGATAAACAGAACTAGGAAGGTCAAAGTGAGGTAAAGAGACAGTAGTCAGAGGAGGTAAAGAGAGAGAGGAAGAATTCCAGGTATAGAGAAGGACGTTCCAAAGGCCAAGGAGTAAGAGGATGTACAACCTTCAGGGAACTCCAGGTAATACCATTCAATTCCACAAGGATTTATTTGGCATCCACTATTTGCCTAACCCTCTACCAAGTGCAACGATGCCTATTCACATTGTCTTGCTCTGAAGGATATATGGGCTCATAGGATGATCAAAACTTGAGACCTGAAGTAATAAGAGAAGAACAAATAGCCGATCATATAGAATAAAGTGCCAAAATCGGGCCTAGAGGATCCTAAGTGGTGAAATGGAACAGATCTCAATATTGCCTAAGGCCAGTCTAGAGGAATGTGTTACACGATATGTAATAAGCTATAGTTATTACTACTATTTACCATTTAATGTCTTTTAAAAAGTAAGATTAGCAAATAACTTCTGGACACTTATTCTTGTGCACCACAACCTCACTCCCCCAACATACACATACACGCATATACACTCAATATCTCATCTGTAACCAACTTGCCCTCACTTGATCTTTATTATCTGTCATCTACACTATTGCAAAAGCCCCCTCATAGATCTGCCTACCCTCAATCTCATTCTTTTCAAATTCATCCTTCATCCTTCTCTGAGCATTATCTTTTCAAAACACATATCTATTAATATCCTCTGCCCTAAGTTCTGCAAGAAACCTAGCAGAATACAGTCCAATTTTATCAGCATGTCATTCAAGCCCTCTCATTCTCTGATTGCCACACTGGATTGGCACCCTTGGAAGACAGAGACTGTGTTTTGTTTTATTTATCTTTATATATCTCTAATTGCTAGCAAGTATATAGTAAGTATTAGATTAAATTGGTATACTTGAGAGAATGTAAATATATCTCTGCATGTGTATTCATCTCTATCTAGCTAGCTAACTCCTAAATTCTTGTCCTCCAGGAGCTTACAATTTATTAATTGTAGTAGGTAGGTATTATGTATAATGTATTGTCATACTAGAGCAGGTGCAAAAAACATTTACTTGCCCTTAAGGGGTTTAATAGTTTCATAGAGGAATGATATAAAAATGAGTCAAAAAGTTGAAGAAGATGAAAAGAAGATGAGATAGGAAAGGGTATCATGACGATTGATAGGTTGATTGAATCCCTTCCTTGTTTTAAGAAGTATTTAAATTAGCTTATAAGATAACATAAAAGACATCAAGTAATTTAAAAATGTATATGTAAGATGAAAGTGAGACATAGATAAGGGATATCAATTGAGTTGGACCTTGAAAGATCAGTAGAATTTTTAATATTGCAGGAAAAAATGAGACCAAGAAGAGTATATAAATCAAGATAGGAGAGATGTCGAAGGAGTTCATGATGGGTAACCTCAAACTAGTCAAAATAGCAAGGAATTGTGTAAGACTGAGGGGCGTCAAGGTAAGACTAGAGACTTGGGGAATTGTTATGAGGGAGTTTTTATAGGAATCCCCAAGAAAGAGAATTGCTATGCAATTGACACAGTGGCATTGACCTCAGCTTGAGGAATTGTCACATGCCAAGGATAGCAGAAGTATCAGCAGTGAAGGGCTTCAGGAGTAAGGATTCTACACCTCACCCATCCTTGCTTCCCTCTTCCAGGCCCTTTATCTCACCCCAGGCCTACCCCTCCTACCTCCAGCAGTTTTCCTTTCCCTCTCCTGTGGATCCAACTTCCCTCTCCACTAGTGCTTTACCTGCTGCCTGCAAACTTGCTTAAGTGTCTCCTTTTTTTTTTCAATTATTGTTTTAAGAGACAGGGTTTCAACCTGCTCTGAGCGTTATGTTTTCAAAACACATATCTATCGGTCGCCTAGGTTGGGGTGCAGTGATGTGATCATAGCTCACTGCAGCTTCAACCTCCTGACCTCAAAAAATTTTCCCTCCCATCTCAGCCTCCCAGGTGGCCACCACTACAGTGTGAACCACCATGCCCAGCTAAGAGTCTCCTATTCTTTTTAGTTTTTTATTTTTTGAGACAGGATCTTACTCTGTCACCCAACCTGGAGTGCAGTGGTATGATCACAGTTTACTGCAACCTCTGCCTCCCAGGATCAAATGATGTTCCCACATCAGCCCCCGGAGTAGCCGGGACTACAGGTGCATGCCACCATGCCCAGCTAACTTTTTTATTTTTTGTAGAGATGGGGTTTTCCTATGTTGCCTAGGCTGTTCTCGAACTCATGGGCTCAAGCAATCTGCCTATCTTAGCCTCCCAAAAAGCTGGGATTACGGGCATGACCCAGTGCACCCAGTCACCTCCTATTCTTACGAGTGAAAAAAAGAAGAAGAAGAAGAAGAAGAAAATAAAGCAACTTCCTGTGATCCTGTTCCTTCTCCAGCTGTGCTGCACATTTTCTCCTCCCTTACTCATTCAGATTTCTCAAAACAATCGTCTACATTCATTGTCTCCACCCCTTTTGTCTCACAATCCTCTAATCTGGCTTTTGTACCCATAATGGAAAACTCCTCCTGGGGTCCTCATGAGCTGCTGTATTTTACCAAACCAAAGGGCCTTTTCCACTTCCATTAAGACTTCTCTGCCATATTTAACAGTTGGTTCATATCCTTATTCATGAAACTCGTTACCCTCTTGGCATCTGACACGACACACTCTCCCTCTTTTCCTCATTAACTTCATCTTTTCCTTCTTTCTCTCATGGCATTTCCCCTTTCTTCTCAGTGCTGCATTTATCCATTTCATACAGCTACCACCTCAGCCCTGATCATCCCCAAATCTACAACATTAGCCTGAACCTCTCCCCAAACTTCAGCCTCCTCTCACTGTCTGCTAACATCCCCTCCTTCCAGTTCCACAGGCCCCTAAGCATGTCCCAAACAGAACACAGCCCCTCAAGGCTGAGCGCAGGGGCTCATACCTGTAATCCCAGCACCTTGGGAGGCTGAGGTGGGTGGATCACCTGAGATCAGGAGTTCAAGACCAGCCTGGACAACATGGTGAAACCCTGTCTTTACTAAAAATACAAAAATTAGCTGGGCATGGTGGCTCACATCCATAATCCCAGCTATTCAGTAGGCTGAGGCACAATAATTGCTTGAACCCGGGAGGTGGAGGTTGCAGTGAGCCGAGATCATGCCATTGCACTCCAGCCTGGGTAATAGAGTGAGACTCTGTCTCAAAAACAAGAACAAAACACTGTACCTCCAAACCCTCTACCTCCTCTGAAAGTCTATTTCTCACCTGACTCCTTAACCATCAGTTACCCAAACAAGAGCGCTGACAGTTATTCTTAACACTTGTCTTCTACCAATACCTATATTTAATCAATAATCAAGTTCAGTCAGTTTTGGCTCTATAGTATTTCTTTAATACATCACCATTCCTGCTGCTGCTGTCCTAGTCCAGATCTTCATTGTCTCTTGTATTATGGCTGCAAGAGCTCTTTAAATGGGCTTCCAACCTCCAGTTTTAGCCCTTCAAATCCACACTTCAGATAGCCACTGGAGTTTGCTCTCTACATTGTAAATCCAGCCATCTCCCTTCCAGGCATAAAACAACTTGCCAACTGCCCAGAACCACAGGATGAAGCCCACTTCACATCATCGCTTACAAGGCTGGCTACCTGGTCTCTCCCTCCCTGTTTCTTCCACCTGGTTAACTGTAAACTGCTTTCTGGTTTTCACTCTCACTATACCGTTTCTTTTCTCATTGCCCTTGTTCATGCTGCAACCGATCCACGCAGTGCCTTCTCTCTCTTGCTTCAAGCATTGCCTGTATTCTGGTTAACTTTTCCTCATCATTTAGCAGGTAGCAGAGATGTTCCGCTTCCCAAAATGTCTTTCCTGATCCAAAGCTGTGTACTTCAGGAATCTTTTCTCTGTACAGCCATAATCATTGTATGTGCTGCATCAAAAAAATAGTCTCTTTGACCAGGCACAGTGGCTGACGCCTGTAATCCCAGCACTTTAGGAGTCTGAGGCGGGTGGATCATTTGAGGTCAGGAGTTTGAGACCAGCGTGGCCAACATGGCAAAACCCAATCTTTACTAAAAATACAAAACTTAGCTGGGCGTGATGGCATGTGCCTGTAATCCCAGCTATTCAGGAGGCTGAAGCAGGAGAATCACTGGAACCTGGAGGGTGGAGGTTGCAATGAGCCAAGATCATGCCACTGCACTCCAGCCTGGGTGACATAGCAAGACTCTGTCTCAAAACAATAATAAAAATAATCTCTTTATATGCCTTCTGATCCCACCTCCACCTTACCCCTCCCCCAGTGACTTTGAGCTTCTTTAGGAGAGAGACTGCCTCAATCACTTTTGAATTCTCCATACTTAAAGTGTGGGCAGCATGATAGCACTTCAGTAAATGTTGTGAAATGATAGTGTGAGTGAAGGAGGGAATGATTGAATGGGTGAATGAATAAGTCAATGAATAAAGAAGCCCCAGAAGTCTAGGCAAGTTCAGTGTTTCCTGTTGCCCTCATAATTTTTAAGGCAACCTCTAGAACTAAAACTAAAAATGGAAATGATCTCTAATTAACATCTAGTGAAGCATCATCCTTGTTAGGGTTAAATGACCTCAGTAGTTTCCAAGGGAATGGCTCCCATTACTCCTTTTCTACCCACTTGGAAAGGTAAAGATAAAGCCACAGATCATTGGATGGTAAGCTATTCTTAAGTCAGTCCAACTATGTTGCTTAACTGAGCTTACCAACTACAAGCAGAGCTGCTGCAAATATACCTGTGAAGTGAAGCAAGGACCAGGTGATTATGCAAACCTTACATCCTGGGAGCGCAGCCAGCTACATAATCTGTGGAGCTCAGTCCAAAATGAAAATGTGGGGCCCCCTATTCAAAAGGCAGGGGAAAGAGTGCCATTAAAAATACGTACAAACCTTTTTCCTTCCTTTTGTGGTCTCTCTTTAGACTTGTCATGGTGTTTTTTGTTTACTATTTAATGTTCTGTGTAAAGAAACATTAAAATTTTATGTTATTAGCATGAATTTTGTCATTCATTTTTATATTGTGCAATGTTACTTTTAGATGAAAATATTAAAGCATTTAACTCCTATGAAGGAATACCAAATTCCCCAGTTTATATTTTGTGTTTTTATCCAAAGGATGCCTTGATCTGGTCAAAAAAGACAAATACAGGCCAAACCCAGGACGGTTAGAAGGAGGGAGAATGCTCCAGGCATGGAGCTAGCCAAAGGAGCATTCCAAGGCACAAGACACTTGTAGTGAGAGTGCAGCCCCATGCAAGCACCCTGGACCGTGCCTCCTATGCAGGGCACAGGTGCCCCACTGCCAGGCCCCCAACACTCTCCTGACTACCACAGTGTCCTGGATAGAGCAGGGTCCCAGAAAATCTAACCAGGCATCTCTTTTATCCAGTGCCACATTACCTCCATCCATAGCAGACAGGGGACCCCCACCCCGCAAAGGATTTTTAAATCTCTTCATCAGGACATGCTTGATATCTGGATTGGGATAGCTTCTGGCTGGTCACCCATTTGATTTGGAATGCTGCTACCTGTTAGGGCAGGGATGGGCGATGCCATGCTCGGCCCCAAGGTGCCATGGGTTTGAGTGACCCACCCAAGCCCTCCCTCTGCCGGCACCCAGACTCCTGCTAGGAGTGAAGGATGGCAGCAATTTTAGGACTCAACAGAGAAAGGGAGGTTGGGCAGGACTAAAGATAGAGAGACCAATGAAGAGGGTCTCTGGCAGAACCCATCCTGGAGATGCAGCAGGAAGCAAGACCTCCCATGATCTAAGGTGCCAAGCCCAGCGCATGCTCCGTTGTCCCTTCAGACTTCACTTATAACACACAAACTCAAAGAAAAAAATTAGGAAGAACTTCAAAACAGCAACCACAGAAATTAAACCCCAAATGCAGGGCCTGTAGAGTATGGGACCCTGTGGGATGCCAGATCAAGTGACTTTCCCAAGGCCACAAAGCTAAGTAAATGGCAGAGCTGGGGGTGGGGGGGGGAACCCTGAATTTTTCTGCCATCACACATGCTGCCTCTTTCAGAATAGACTATTTCCAGCAAAAACAACATGAAACTAGAAGATTTACAGTGCTATGTTCTAAAAAAAAAAAAAAAAAAAAAAAAAAAAAAAAAAAAAAAAAGTAGTTCCTAGCAGGCATGCTTTATTTTTAGCAATTTTACTTTAGAGTTTATAAAGCAACTTCATAAACATTATGTCACCATATCCTTAAAAGATAAGCATTAGTGTTATCCCCATTGTACGGACAAAGAAAGAGGATTGCTGATCCTGAGTCACACTGCTATTAAAGTGCAGAGCTGTAAGGTGAACCCAGGAGCACTCAATTCCTTTTCTTTTTATTAATAATCCTCAATCCCTGGGTAGAAATTGTAGGAAAGGAGGTTCATGGAGACGACTGGGCTGGCAGAGAAAGACTCCATCCATCAGATCTCTGAGGCAATTCCATGCAGAAGACACTTGTCAAAGCTATGGGAAGCCAGTGGGGTGAGGGGAATTTGATTCCAACACCCATCTTCATTTCCAAAGCAGCTCTGCCACTTACTGTGTGATCTCAGCCAAGTTCCTAGTAATCTTTATGCTTCCATTTTCTCATCTGTAAAATGGGGATGATAATAGCGATATCTATTTTATAGAATTGTTCAGAGGATAAAAGCACAGTGTCTGGCCTGCAGTTAACTCTCAATGAATAGCCGTTATTGTTATTGTTAGTAATAATTTTGTTGGTGAAATTAGATGACTAAGCCCAGGTCTCCTTGCTCCCTCACCATTATGTAAGTGCACCTCTCAATACTGAACACTTATCTGAAGAAAATGACATTTCCCCCAAAGCAAGAAGAATTAATTATTCTTCAGGCAATAGGAGTGTATGAGTAGATGTACTCCTTGTTAGAACCTCCAGAACAGATGCCGTGTTAAAAGGGAACATCTGGTCTAGCCCTTTCATGGCTCAGTTGAGAAAATTAAGACCTAAGGGAGTTAAATTACCTTTTCAGATTTATACAGTTAATTAGTGATAAGCCAGGACTCCTAATCCCGTGCTCATTTCTAATGACTGTTGCTTCTGTTAGACAAACACAACTCTATTACTATCATTGATTTGAAGTATACTTCTGATTTTTTATAATGTCACATGATTATGAAGAACTGTATATTCTTTTTATTTTGGTTGTTATAATCAACCTTATGATCATTATAATTATTATACTTTGAATAATGATTTAAATTTATTTATGCTCCTTGTACACATAAATTGAAGGATATACCAGTATTATTTTCATGGTATGTTCTCTTTTTCCTGCCGGATAGGAAATATTTTCGAGCCATATGGGATCCTAATTCTCTGAATGCTTTTAGATTATCAGATGTCTCAACTGACAGTCCTGGATGAAAATCAAATCATGAGAATTTGCAAAACTGAAAAAAAAATTAAGAACATTTTGGTGTTATGGTGTACCAGCAATTCCATCTTTATCTTTCTTTCAATTAGGGGGGAAAAACACATCAGGCATCCTGCATATTAGAATTTCCAGCTCAAAATTTCAGTGCTTTTCCTATAAACTTACTTAGTGATCTTTAGACTAAATGTTTTTTAATAAATCTAAAAAACTCATGTTTTTACTTACAGATTCATTCTTTCAAGCTTTTATTTTATTCAACACTTAGCAAACAGATGTTAGGGGAGATGCAAAGATGCTTCAGGCATGATCCTTTCTCCCAAGAAGTTTGCTGTCCAGTAAAGGAAACAAGACATATAATACCAAGTAGAAAGAAACATGAAATTCTATAGCTGTTTATCACCTCTTTAACCTAGATAGAGTGTGCCCCCTTTTAATAATGCACCATTTAATTAAATATGAGGGACTTCATGATGCTTTTAGTACCAGTTGAATATTCTGGAAACAAAACTCAGAACCTTTAACTTGAAAAACTAGACAGGAGGACATTTAATTACATTCACTGTGAGAATGCATGTCCCTCCGTTTCTTTCCCCTGTATTTCTTTCAGGTTGAGTAATATTATTCAGTGAAGAAAATGGAGTTAAAAAATGAGAATATCCTTCATGATATAGATGCTATACAAAGGACAAGGATATTTGTGTCCCTGATACAAATTTTCCCTTCATATACAACCCAAGGACAATTAGTGGCCCTAGCCAGTCCCAGAACAGTTCAAAGAGCTCTTCTTAGTGGAGCTCTTACTCAGCTTTTAGTTTAGCCCTTCGTGGGGTTAGCCTCCTGCCTGTCTGCCCACAGCGATCATCTCCTCACACTTAATCCCATTGTTGTGATGTGAGCAAGTTTTCCCATCACCGAATTTTAAACTCGAAAAAGCCAAAACAAAGTTTTCAATGTGGAAAAATTTTTTTTTTTCCTGAAGACATCTTAAGAAAAATGTCTTCAAGACCAAAACCAAAACTAAAAATAAATGTGGGGAAAAGTCAGGAATATTCTATCAGTCAACTCTTTCAATAATCGCCATTCACTGCCCACCAAAGGCATTCCAGATTACAAAGGACCTAAATAAAAACTCTGACTTCTCAAGAGTTCCTGGAAGAGCTACACACTAAGGTCAACCTAACATACCCCTAAATGTTCTTATTGTTTCTGCCCTGTTATGATTATAATGTGTTTGGATTTCAAGAGTAACATTTTTTCCTGTAGAATACCAGGTTTATGTAAAACTGTACTTCCTTTAGAACCATAACTTCATACAATCTCTGGACACCTGTCATCTTCAATTATAAGCTGAAACCCACTCCCAGATTTAGAACCTGTTAGTCCCATGAGCACTTTGGCAATTTTGCATCCGTTTTAGTTTTTAATAGAAACCAAAATCCAGAGTAAAGAAATTCCTTCAAGTCATCTTTTTATGAGAAATTCACAACGTTAAGTCAAAATGAGAAGAGGCAATGCTATAATTGACACACAAACACACACACCCCAACTTGGATCTGATAACTTTCATTCTTCCTAGTATCCCTTCTCTGCTATTCTTTATGTTATCATACCCCTGTCTGCCTAAAATAAATAGTAAATATCCTGTTGCCTCCATTATAACCTCTATTAATTACATGCCACAGTACACATCCCCATCATTATTTTCACTGACAGATAAACACTAGTCAGAGCAACTTAGATGCAAAAGATGGAGAGAGCTTTAAATAACGTTTTTTATGCAGAACTAACCCTTCCATGGCCTATCCTTGCCTGCCTCCAGGTATCCAATGGAGATATCTATCATTGGAGGTCCAAGGACTGTGGGCCCATCGCTGTCACCTTCTCTGAACTGTTTAGCCACTCATCCTGAGGAGAGTCCTTTCTTATGGGCACAGAAGGGTAGCAGGTGAATTTTTCCCTTTTCATTAGGAAAGCAAAAGCTTTTCCAGAAGTTCCCCAATGACAACTTCTGTCACATGTTCAACCATTGCTTTAAAGGGAAGCTGAGAACTTTAGCTTATCCAGCCTCTGCAGTGGGAGGTAGTGAGAGGGAAAGGACTCAGCCTCCCAGCAATGTCTGCCACGACCAAGAAACAGAATTGCTGGGTCCATGGAGTCTGAACATTTTCATTTTCGTAGGTACTGCTAAATCTTTATTCATAGTTGTATCCACATAGAACCTTTATCAAAGACTATTCTGATTTCATCCTTGTCATATGGCTTTTCTCTTTGATTCAAATAAAAGATGCATTTGGCTTGGAGACTTGACCCCCCCCCCAGTGAGACCCATTCCCATAGTCTCCCAAAAGGTCATATTTCATCACATTTCCTTTAGATTATTTATGTTTCTAGGCTGTTATTTCAATTTTGATTGTCGAGCTCAACTTCCATACCTCCCAATTTCTCCATCCATTCTCCACACCGAATCCAGAGTATATTTGAAGATGCAAATTAGTATATTTCCTTCAATGTTTCCCATTGCACTTGGAATACAATCAAAGTCCTTATCAGAGTCTGCAAGTCTCTGTATTGTCTTATTTCCTGCGTTTCTTTCCCAGGTCTTCGTCCCCCTCAGTCACTAAATTTTATTCTTAGTAGGCTTCTGTTTGTTCCTAAAACATGCCTCACCTTTTTCCTCACCTCAGTGCCTTTGCACCTGCTGTTATTTCTGCCTGGAATGTCCTTGTAACAGCTCTTCTCACAGTTAGGCTGCTCCTTCTAATCCCCTCAGGTCTTAATTACATGTCACTTTCTCAGAGAGACTTTCCTCACCAGTCTTTCTAACATAGATCTCCGTTGTTATTTATTTGTTTATTTTTTATTTTAGAACTCCATTGATTCCCTTTATGTCAGTTTTACTACCTGTGTGACCTTAGACTAATTATCAGCTTTTCTGTGCCTTCAATTCTTAGTCTATTATCTGTAAATAAGGATAATAATTGTATATACTAACATCAGAATTTATCATGAACAACAAACAAGACAAAGTGCTTAATAGTCCCTACTAATACAGTAAATACTTGGTATATAGTAAAACTTTGCTAAATAATTATTTATCTATTTTTTTATTCCACTGTTTCCCTTTTTCTCCACTAGACTGTAAATTCTAAAGGTAGAGGGACCTTGTCTGTCCTGATCTCATTGTATCTCACAACCACAGCCCAGTGCCTGGCACATAATAAATGCTCAAAAAATATTTATTGAACAAACAAATGCTGACTACATGAATGAATGACAATGCCTGCCTCAGTGGTAGCTCTGGACTGGACTCTGCCAGCTCATTTCCAGATTTCAGTGACCTCCTGTCTAAGGCAGCCAGATTAAGTGAATAAAAATACATGATGCCACTTAAATTTGAATTTCTGTATTTTATCAGGAAATTCTACTCCCTTCACCACTACCTTCACCCTTAAGAATAAACACTTCCTCTCATTTCCTCCCTCCCTTTCTCTTCCTCTTTGCTCCTTTCCTCTTGTTTGGCTATTTCTGAATGTAGTTCTCAGTGTCAAGAGACCCCATCATCCTTAAATCTGGGGATGTCTGTTCTTTGAAGACAACCATATCTTTGAAGAATTAACGAATCTCCTTTTTGACAGGTCTACACTTCTCAGAGGGCTAAATTATCCACCTTCACCATCACAGGCTCCTTAGCCTGGATAGCCTTCTCAGGAGACTGCAACTCACTCTCTTTTCTCTGGATTCAGAATACATGCAGTGTGGGACACAAATGTCCTTAGCTTGTCCCCAGACATCCTCTGCTTTCGTTCATTTGTAGACACCCTCCTTCTTAAATCTGGCTTTGATACAGACCTAAAAGAAAAACACCCAAATACGATGTTGGCCCTGAGAACTTCATTTTCCCAGTTGACCAGTCAGGTCGTTTGACAAGGCACTGCAGAAGAGCTGAATCTCTCACAACAACCTAATGCCATGCTGATACTTCCTGCCTCACAGCAGGAAACATGGCAAGTTAGTTAGTGCTTTAGCCACAAACACCTTGGGTCACTTTGATTAACATGTTTGGTTCTGGAATACACTAAGGTAGTTTAGAAGGAGAACTAACCAGTTGACCTTTCAGAAGATAAATAATTTATGTGAAATTCAATGTGTTGGAGAAACTCTGGCAGTCACTCCCTATGGTCTGTAAATATAGATGTAAGCTTGTGTGTGTGAAAATAGGGTCATGGGAGTAACTTCTTGGTAACGTTACATATCTATGGACCGGAATCTCCATCCAGAAAATGTCCCCTACTAAACATTTGGTTCTTTTTATGTAGTGAAGGAAGCATCAGCATCAGAGTCTGACCAAATAAAACACAGATCCCAGATCCATCCTATACTTATCTTGTGAACTTGACTCCATAGTGTCACATCTCTGAGACTCAGTTTCCTCCTCTATAAGATGAAAATAATACCACCTATGTTACAAGAGTGCTGTAAGGTTTATAAATAAGGTGGGTGAAGTACCTGCTACACAGTGAATGTAATGGCTGGTAATCTTTTTAGGTACTTCTTTCTGCGTCATTATATGTGGCTGTGTTGGGAATACCCAGGAGCAAATTCTTTTTGCTTCTCCTGCAGAGGAGCCCTTCCTTTTGGAGCTCTGCATCAGCATCTACAGTGACAGGGCATTTGCAAGAGCTTGATGAACGTACAAGGGCGCCATGTTCCCTGCCTGTTCGGAGCAAGGTGTCCAAACTCACCTAACCCTGTCTCACTTTTCTCTTGTGAGGCACTGGGAAACGTTCAGCATATTAGACAGAAGAACAACACTCAGATATCTGCCAAGATTATGTACAGCCTACCCAAGGAAGTTTTTTTTTTTTTTTTTTTTCAGCTTCACAGCTTGTGATTACAAAAGGACACAGGACAGCTGCTAACTGTTTTCCTTTCATCTCCGCTTCTGGCACGTTCTTCTTCAGATAGCTCTCCTGCAACACTTGGTCTGTACCACAGTGGGAGCTAAAAGAGTAGGACAGAGGTGCCACCCCAACCCCAGCCGCACCCCCTGCTCAGACTCAGCTGCTGGGAAAGACCATTTAAAGCATTTAATATCCTCCCTACCTCTCTGGGGATGGTGTCAACCCAGTGAGACACCACACTTCAAAAGAGAAGTTGAAGCTTTGTGGGTAGTTAGGGAACGTTTAGACTAGAAACTAGAAACCCCCCAGGTCCCTGCCAAGCCTGATTCCAGGATTCAGTGAACAGAAAGGACTGGAGCAAAGCAGGGAAGATTAGGCCAGACAGCTCTCCAAGTTCTCTTCCATAGAGAGGGTTCATTGTTGCTTCGGTACTGTGAAATCAAACATAAATGCATTGGAACACTCGCTTTCAAATGTGAATTTCAGATGACTCTGAAGTAAAAATATAAATGGTGTGGATCTAACCATGTTTTTTTAACTCAACCTTTTATCTCCTGCATGATTCCTGCTAGAGGTAGTATAGGGTAAGTCTTGAGAAAGTCTCCTATCAGCTATGGGAACAAGCTACCTACCTCATAGGAGTTATTGTGAGAATTAAATAAAGTAATATATGGAAGGTATTTAGAACAGTGCCTGACACAGTAAGTGTGCTATTTACTTTACACTAATGAACACCAACTGCTATCAGTGTGAAAGTTGAAGGAAGACAGTAGGTATTCATCAGCTTTATATTTATACAGATATATGCATCTGGAGAGAAGTAAGAGCATACAAAAAAGTTTTGTTCACATCAACTTTTCTTCTTACTTGAAGGAGCTCTGGGTTAGCATCCTTAAAAATGAAGAATAGGCTCCTTCTCTCATAGCTATAAAATTTTTGACCAAAGGCAGTACAAATTACTGTATAAATTATTTTGCACTCTTTTACAAATACACATAATTCTAAAACCTACATGAACACATCTCAAGTGAATTACATTTATAATTTATGATATCACCAAATCCTGCTCGATACTTTAACAAATAAATACCTGGTTACTTAAATTCCTTCTCTTTCTCTGTAGCTTGACAACAGATGTTTCAAAGGGGAATTGGGTTTCAAAAATAAAGAGGAAAAAATCGGTGACAGAAAATTCATTGTAATCATGGTAGCTGTTAAATATATAATGCTAAACTATATCTTAACCTTAAGATATAATTTATTAAAATACACAGCTTGCACATATAAGATGATGTCTTATTGGTCAGTGATGTAATATTTTTTGAATCAATAGTCCACATAGTCTGAAGAATCCAGAAAGCTTTCTTCATAAGCTAAAAACATGAAAATTTACTTAAGTTGTATGCAAGAAATTTTATTGCGGTAGACAGAATATGTTTAAATGGAGGATTAGGGTAGAGGGATTTTTTAGTGTACTATAGAATTTTCTTCCACTGCCATTTCATTAATGTGAGAGAGGAAGTTAAAGTTGGAAGAAGCACATCATCCATTATCTGATCAGTTATAGTCACCCGTGTTTCTATATGATAAGCTAAATAAAGCTTTGTTCCAACACTGACAGAGGAATAATAAATCTGGTATTTAGCACAATAACCATTATCATAATCATGCAGAGAAGACATGCATTGGGTTTACTTGTAAATTGATATCAAATTGACTCAAAGCTTTTATAGAAGCAGAGAGGTAGCATTGTTATTCCAAGAAAATTATGTACAGTTTCATGCTACCATGCTATTTATGTTATAAAAGGCTAAATATTAAAAGCAAACTAAAGTACATGTTTTTCTATGTGTAAGTTTGTAAGATCTTGCTGTCATTCTATTATACAGTGATTCTATTTTAAATATTTAAGGTCACATAAATTGTGGAGAAGAATCTAATTTAGCTAATTATAGAGCAAAAACAAGTTTCCCCAATCAACAGTATCATCTTGATTTTTTTAGTCTTGGACTGGATGAAGGAAGAGAATAAATAACATTATCCAACTCAAGTTTATATTAAGAATAAGCCAGTTCCCTGTGGTCCTTAAATATATTTTCCTAACATTTTCTACAATATATAATATGAAGGAAAGCTTGCTAAATGAATAAGATATCGTATTAAGTTTAAAAAACTACAAGAAATTTTAAATGCAGAGTTTGGAGAGACAGAGCCATCAGTACAGATATTTTTGAGATGTTTTTGGTAAATAGCTGTTTTACTTCTAATGAATAATTAAATACAAAACACTGCTTTTCATTCTATTTGGGCATCCTAACAGTTTATCACAGCTGAAGAAGTTCAGTACCTAAGATATTCTCCCCGTGGTCAAAGAAACTTCCACTTTCAGCTATTAGTGCATAAAACATTAGGTGACTTTTTCCATTCCATGATTTAAGAGATCAATAAAGACACCCTGCATTAGACATTTCTTGACAGGCAAAGAACAGCTATTCTAAAAATACTGCATTTGGGTCTTTGATCATTCTAGAAAGTCATTAACTAAACAACTTTATTTATTGATTATTGTTATTTAAACACCTTATGCAGTGTGATTGGTGGATGCTAAGAAAGTCAAAAATAATTTAGTGATTGGACTTGTCATTTTCATAGCATAGATTTATAGCCCCACCATAAAGAAATGTTGCTGAAAGTAGAACAACCTTCTAATTTCTTTTGGTGACTGAAGAATTAAAAGAGAATTTGCTAAAGATCCTAAACTTAATGTTCATGAACTTTGACTAAGAGGCACATGAATAACTACATCCTGAGAAAAACTCATGAGTATTTTTGAGTCCCTGATTTGATTCCCTGCTACTGCCCCATTTTTGTGATTTGACTAAAGTTTCAATGTCTCTAACTGTAGAGTAGCACTGTCTAATGGAACTTGCTACAATGATGGCGATGTTCTGTATCTTTGTTGTCCAATATGGTGGCCATCACCTACATATGGCAAGTAAATTCTTGAAATCAAGATTTAAAAGAATCAACTATATTTGGCAATTGAGGGGTCATTCTTAACATTTGACAGAGAAGTTCTATGGAGTTGATGGGGGGGAACAGCTTATTCTGGTGGGTTGAGGAGGAAAATGGGAGATGAAAACATGGGACTGGAGTGTACTGGGTAGGAAAGGAGATTGAGAGTGCAGTGTAGTAGATGACTAAACAGAAGATGGACATGACGGAGCTCTGCCCCCAAATCATTGACCTAAAAGTTATGTGAAAAAAAAAAATGATGGAGGAGGAAGAAAGCTAGAGTTGTGTTCAGTTTTTATTGAGAAAAATGAGCGGTTGCTCACGCCTGTAATCCCAGCACTTTGGGAGGCCGAGGCAGATGGATCACCTGAGGTCAGGAGTTCGAGACCACCCTGGCCAACATGATGAAACCCTGTTAGCCAGGCATGGTGACGGGCACCTGTAATCCCAGCTACTTGGGAGGCTGAGGCATGAGAATCACTGGAACACAGGAGACAGAGGTTGCAGTGAGCCAGGATCGTGCCATTGCACTCCAGCCTGGGCAACAACAGTGAAACTCCATCTCAAAAAAAAAAAAAAAAAAAAAAAACAGAAGTTAAACTGAGATTTGCTAGCATTTAGTAAAGGCAAGTGATAAAGTGAGAATTAATTCCAGCTCCCTAGGAAGAATGGGAATGTTTATTGTCTTTGATGGCACAACTGTCACCCAGGTGCCAAAGAAATGGTTAGATAGTTATAAGGTTTGAAACATTTTGTTTTTCCCTGAAAAGCTATAAGAATCCGTACTACTACAAAAATAAGTTACCTTATAATTTCCTTTAATAAGAAATTTTATAAGTCCATCATACCAAGATTGATTTGTCAAAAAAAAATATATATTCTTGAATTTCTCTTTAATCACTTCTTAAAGCTAATTTTAGGTTACAAATTCTGAAACACTGAAACATAATTTCAAAATATACAATCTATATTTATATATAATGATACCAACCAAAAATCAAACATGGCTGAAATCATAGCATTTTGAAACTGAATACATATTCATTAAACTGCTTCATTTGGTGGGTGAGGACCAGGAAGCCTACAAAGAATGTATGACTTAGCCAAGTTTGCCCCGCCATGATCCAAACCCAGTTCTGCAGACTCCAAGTCCCCTAGTGTTTGGACAAAAGGCTGGCTGAATGATGTACTAGGATATTTTTGGCATCCCTATGTATTATAGAAAAAGATAAAATAGAAAATTTCTAACAGCATGCCTCACTGGGGACAGTAAATCCTTTCCTTTCCATTTCCCAATTAGTGCCATTTCCCCTTTGACACATTTTCACTATTTTTCTTGTGCTTCCCATAATTTTGGTTCATTTTTCAAAAATGTTTGGCAATTATCCTATATGCTAGGAAATTTGGCTCAAAAAGATGTTCTTATGTACTCAACACCTTCTTTAAAAATATCTAACTTCCCTATAATTCTTCAAAAGGACTCCTCTCTTACTGAGATACAGAAAATAGCATATTGGAGGTGTAGAGGAAGAACAGTGATCTTTAGGATTTAATTTACCAAAACATTTCAGTATTCAAACACTGAAATCCAGTTGTCAGGATTACCTAGAGATAGTAGCTATGCACACTATGGGATATTCGTATGCTTTCTGTTTCTGCAAAAAAACCAGGTCCTCTATTCTACATGGGCTGAAGTTGTGGGTTGGTAAGTTAGGACCTGGAAAACCTGGTAATGTTCTAGCACAAAGATGACGAAAGATTTTTTCTTAAGGGCCAGGTAACTCCTCAAAGAGTAAAAGTCAGAATGGTATCACATATCTCGCTCATGCCATACTAGTCCATTTCTGGAAATAATAACGCTTTCTCTAAATGAAGTCATTTGTATTCTCAGCCATGCTCTGTTGTGTGCACTGAGTAATTTCTTGAGAGCAATATTTCCTGTGGCATGTTGCCAAGACTGGCTTTATTTGTTTTTCATTAGGCTTTTCATTATCATGCTGCTGAATACCTGGATCATTCTGCTTCCTCCGAGATGGCTGGTGTTGCTTAAGCATAAGAATGACACTATGAGTAGGTGGAATGCTTTTGTCCAGTGAATGCCCGTTTTAAATCCCTAGCTGTTGTGCCATTCCAGTGGCTTTAATCCTTCTAAGCACAGCCAGTTATCCATTTATAGCATAGTCTGATATTATTAAGTTGTTTACATGCATCTATTCTGTCCCTGTCCAGGGAAAGATGTTAGTCTCACTTTGCGCCCCACCAGGGCTGTTCTTCCTCCTTTATTATGGCAGGAAAAGGCATCAAGTTCCACTCACTGCCCAAGCCTTGAATTTTTGTGTATTCCACATTTCTGCATCATTCCACATGTTCAATCTCCACGTCAAACTTCCTGATAGTTTGCAAATCCACCTGCTTCTTTTTGCTCCTGTGACTACTACGTTAGTCTATGCCCACAGCGCCTCTAGAAAACAACCACAGTGGTCTCCATGCCCCAGAATCACCCTTTCAAATTCATTCTCCTTTGCTTTGAGTGTCTAATGGTACTCATCACTAAATAAATGGATATTCTGTCATTTCTATTCTTGCGTTTTTGTGTTACACATAAGTAGGACAGAGTTTGATTTGTCAAAAAAAATAGTGATCTGAATTCTTGAACCTCTATAGACGCCTCAATTTAAAGAGAAACTCTGTCTTACAAACCGTGAAAGATTAAAATCTAGGGATAAAATGAGCAATATGTAAACTTCTGCATTCAAATATTAATCACAGGTTTAAAATAACCATTGAAATCAGAATTTTAGGACTGAACTGGTCCTTGGACATTGTGGGCTCAACTTTATCATTTTATAGGTAGGGAAACTGAGGCCCAGCCCCAGAAATCAAAATAATGTTTCTAAATTTGGAATCTCAGCATGTAACTCTCTTTCTTAAAAGCTGTCCATGGCTACCCATTATGGTCAGGATAAAGTCTGAAGCCCTCAGCATGGCATGCAATATCTGTATGGTCTGCCCTCTGCTTACTCATTCAGCCTTACCGTTTGCTCCTCTCTCCATATTATCCCAGAACATGATGCTTCCAAGTATACTACATTCCTTCTTACTCACAGGTCTTTGCACATAATTTCCCCATTGTCCTTCCTCTTTTAGGTGCTATGCCTTAACCACCCATTTTTCCTATATCTGATTAGATGTCCTTTTCTCTGAAAAAATACCCTGGATTCCCTCTGGACTCCTAAGCAAGTGTCACCATCATAGCACAGTCTCAGCATCCTACCTAACTGCCTTTGAACAGTCCCTTTCCATCACGGGACTGGAAGGAATAAAGGCAGTTGTGGGTAGGGCCCTGCATCATATTCATCATTCAATCTTCATATCGTGATCTGGTGTCTGGCATTCAATAATTTTTTTAACTTTTATTTTATGTTCAAGAGTACACATGCAGTTTGTTACGTAGGTAAACTTGTGTCATGGGGCTTTGTTGTACAGATTATTTCATCACCCAGGTGTTAAGCCTAGTACTGATGAGTTATTTTTCCTGATCCTCTCCCTCCTCCATCCTCCACCCTCCAACAGGCGCCAGCGTGTATTATTCCCCTCTACGTCCGTGTGTTCTCATCATTTAGCTCCTACTTATAAGCGAGAACATGTGGTGTTTGGTTTTCTGTTCCTGCATTAGTTTGCTAAGGATAATGACCTCCAGCTCCATCCATGTCCCTGCAAATGACATGATCTCATTCTTTTCTATGGCTGCACAGTATTCCATGGTGTATATGTACCACATTTTCTTTATCTAGGCTATCACTGATGGGCATTTAGGTTGATTCTATGTGTTTGCTATTGTGACTCAATATTTTGAAATTAAGTATTAACTCTCACTTTTAACCTGCCTAATATATGTCAATTTTTCTATCAGCCTTCCGCACAAAATCTGTCATCAAGGGGGGAAAAATGATTCATTCATATCAATGTGTAAGTCACTGATAATCTTAAATGGCAACTCTTACTAGAAGCATTCACATTTTTACAGAAACAAAGTTTTTTTTTTTGGATCTTTTTTTATTTATTTATTTTTATTTTATTATTATTATACTTTAAGTTTTAGGGTACATGTGCACAATGTGCAGAAACAAAGTTTTAAGTCACACGAATGAATCTCCAGTGCAGATAACCCCATGTGGATATAAGCCACGATAGATATTTGTGAGGGGAGGGGAGCTTTCTCCTAGACTTCACATCAGTAACAAGGTGACCGACTCTGCCCTCACCCTCACGGAAGAATGACTCTATGTCTTTGTTCATAAAAATCAGGTCACTCACTGGTTTTCTCTGTATTAAATAAATCCTTGTTATTTATCCACAGTATAAATGCTTGATTTAACTTGTAACATTTCTGTTTTGTTTCAGGGAAGCAATGTTATGGAAGATCAGGATTTGTTGGAAATTGGAATCCTTAATTCTGGGCACAGACAAAGAATTCTACAGGCAATCCAGCTCCTTCCAAAGGTGAGCAATACTTTTATTGCCCTAGTCCTGTGTACGGTTCCCAGTGATTTTGAGTCCAGGCATGCAAGGAGTATTTGTATTTAGTACAGTAGTTCTACATATTGATGCAACCTCAAGAGCAGATCTTCTTAGGTCCAACTGCACATTCAGACTTATGAGACTACTATGGGCCACACTTGGCTTGAGGTTTTATTGTTTTTTTGTTTTGAGACAAGGTCTCTCTCTGTCACCCAGTCTGGAGTGCAATGGTATGATCTAGGCTCACTGCAACTTCCACCTCCTGGGTTCAAGCAATTCTCCTGCTTCATCTTCCTGAGTAGCTGGGGTTATGGGTACACACCACCATGCCTGGCTAATTTTTGTGTGTGTATGTATTTTTAGTAGAGATGGGATTTTGCCATGTTGGCCAGGCTGGTCTTGAACTCCTGACTTCAGGTGATCCACCCACCTCGGCCTTCCAGACTTCTGGGATTACAGGCATGAACCCTTAGCTTGAGATTTACCTAGAAAAATGTGATACAGAAAACACTGCTGGCCACCAGGGAAGCTTCAGATTTTCTCTTCAGTGAGAGTCCTAATATCAGTACAAATATCAGTTCTGGCCCCCCAGGTGGCAGCTCAGGTTCAAGAAGACTAGATTCATATTGGGTGGGTGCAGGAATGGCCCTGGCTTAAAAGCCTCCTGCCCCATAAGAGACGATATCTCCTGCAACAACTCCATAGACTTATCCTCCATGGTCCCTACAAGGGACCTAATTACACGAGTCATTACTCAGGGAAGTCCAAAGTATCACATCCCCATCATGTATTTATAGTTCATGTATAGGCCCTCCTAGTCCAGATGCAATTTACCAACCAGGCATCATTTTTACTGTAAGCAGTGTGTTACCTAGCAACAGAGTTGACCTCCTGTTTCCAGATAAGGTGTCAAAGTAGCCTAAAGGAAGAGGCAAAATCTGAGCATGAATCTTTCAGATATGTGGGATTTTAATTGATAAGGAAAGGAAAATGCATTTCAGATCTATGGCCATACCAACCTGAACGTGCCCGATCTCGTCTGATCTCGGAAGCTAAGCAAGTTCGGGTCTGGTTAGTACTTGGATGGGAAAAGGCATTTCAGGAGGCCCCAGGAACCATATAAAAACAAATTTGGTTCAGGCAACAAATTGCTGGAAGTATGAGGGAAATAGACATTTAAAATCCAATGGGATTTGTACAACAATGCAAATGTACTTCATGCCACTGAAATATACACCTAAAAATGGCGATGATGGTAAGTTTTATGTTATGTGTATTTCATAACATATTCATGCAATTCAAAAAATAATTTTAAAAAGAGGAAGAAAATTCAAGGTGATTAAAACAATTGAGAAGTGTGTAGTCAGAGATAAAGCAGAAAAAGTAGGTTGGGTCAGTGTGTGTCAGGCTGAGGAATTTGAAATTTATTCTGTAGGCACTGGGGAATGGACATGACTGGACTACTTTAGGCCAGTTAATTCTAGAGGCAGTGTACAAGTGGGATTAGAAGGAGGGAAAGTTGAAGTTGGGTCATCTGTTTGCAAAAAGACTGTGGGGCAGATTGGAGGCAGGTGGCAGATGAACTGTAATAGATACACCTGGATATTTGAGATTGTCCTAGGTTTTGTACTCTCCTATCCTCCTATTCTTTCTAGAGAGGCTATACTTTCTCCCTCCCTAAGTGGGAAAAGTAAATATTAGCCACTATTTCTAAGGAAATTGTCTGATGAAATTTCCCAACTGACAGTGAATTGAATTTCTACTGATAGACACTTACTCCTTTTGCAAATTCACTGAGCCAAATATACAAAGGAGTTTAATCACATAATTTTCTACACTAAATGGAAAAGAATAAAACATCCTTAGAACCAATTCAGGAAGTAATTCCTATGAGCATATTGTTCACCTCTCTGCTTGTGTATGTTTACTTAAAATATTACCTTCTCAGCAAGTTTTGTTGTTCTCACTTTCAGCAATGGCTTCCATACTGCTGTATCTATAGCACCTAGCACAGTGCCTGGTTCATAAAAATAGATAAGCACTCAACAAATCCATGAATGACTACTTGCTTTGTCACATGCTGCCATTCATTTAAAGTTCAACTCAGATATTATCATATCATATCACTTCCTTTGTGCAACTTCCTTCAAAATGGAACCGCTCCTTACCATCTAAGTAATTATCAACCTAGTCCTCACCAACCACCTCTATCTAGATGGACTACCACAGTGCATTCCAGTCTGTCATCCTTGGTTAGACTACATGAATCAAGTTCTCATTGTTCTCCTCTATCCTGGACTATTCACAGATGCTTAACCTCTGTCCAGGTTACCTTCTTACCCCTCTATAATTGAATTTCTATACAGTATCTGGAATGATCCTTCTAAAATATAAATCAGGTCATGCTATACCCTGCTTCAATTCTCCAGTGAATTTCCTTCCCACTTAGAATAAAGTCTTTATCCTGTCCTACAAAGGTCCCACTACCTAGAAAGCCCTTCCTTCAGAACTTCATACACTTGCTCCTATACATTGTCAAATCTCTATTCGAATGTGACATCTTCACAGGGGCCTTCATGAGCTAAAATTCACATCCTTCCCTTACCATCACTGTTCTTGCTATTGCTCTGCTTTATTTTTCTTCATGCCACTTAGTGTGATCTGAAGTTATATTATTTATTTGCTTTTTTTCTTCATTATTTTCCATCTCACCCTCAGGAAGCAAGGTCCATAAGGTCAGGGACCTTGACTGTCTTATTCTCTTTTCTATATATCCAGCCTCTAGAATAGCACCTGTCACATAGTAGGTACCCAAGTAATACTTGTGGTATGAGAAAATACACTGACCTTCCCTTTCCTCTGAGATTTTATGGCCCTGTCCTTGTTCCTATCTCAAGGTACTAATAACATTCAGCCACTTCTATGCTATAAACATCCTGAGGGCAGAGACAGTGCAACATCCTTGAATTTCCCATGATGCTTAACCCAATACATAGACATTCTTTTAAGAATGAATGAGTGAGTGACTGAGTGAATGAATATTTTCCTCACATGTCATTCAAATGTATATTTTTAATCAGAGCACCTCAATTTTAAGATATATCTGTAATCCTGTACACACCACTTGATAATGCAAAACAAGAGAAACTGAACGTAGAATTATTTGAAGAATAAATGAAGTGTTTATTTCTAATACAGAATATCATTCTCATTAGAGAAAATAATATAAGAGAAACAATACAAAATTAAGCTTCTATAGAGAGGCTGATGCAGAAGAGCTCACTCTGCACACAAATTAGTAGAGAGTATATAAAAACATCCAGACGCACATTGAGCAGCACAAATAGAATGTTGTAATGCCACAAATTGATGCTTTGCCTTCTTAGGTAATGAGCCCGATCTTCAGATGGTTAATAGTGTCATTTTATTGCCAGCACATTCATCTGCATTCACTTTAACTTTGCACTGCCAGAAAACGGACAAAATGTCTCTTCATTTTGTTTATACAATTTCAGTCTTCAGAATATTTGTATTCTTCATCTGTCATGAGAAGAAATATTCCATGATTGCTACCTGGGATCCTTTAATTAACATATTGTGTTGTGGAATTAGTGAGATTGTTCCTAAACAGAGAAAAGGTGCTTTGCTCAGTACAATCTTGATGTGTTAGCACACTTCAAAGCATATTTTTCATGCTTTTATTTGTATATGTTGTGTCAAGCTTCAAAGAAAAAAGTTTATTCCTTTTGTAAGAATAGCTATTCTTTAATATGTCTTTTTTAATACTGAAATATTCACCAATGCGAAGATTTACATCTTCTCAACTACATTTGATACATTCAACACATAGAATGCATCTTTCTCGCTGTCTTTTGCAATGCTTGACCTTTTGTAAAGCTTAATTATCCGTTTTCACCCAGAGTCTACTTCCCTCACCAACCCCAACTCTGTCTTTTCTCAGCTCTAAAAGCTTTCCTGGACTTCTTGAAGATCAAATTTCACCTTTTTCCCTTTTTATGAAAGGAAACAAACCCAAAGTTCCACAAGAAAATGGCTTTTTTTCTACTGTCCTAGAAATGTTAAGTTTATTGTGCTTTTTCTGTCTCTTTGGACACAGGGATATTACCTGATTACTTATTTTCAACATAAAACTTAGTTTTTTCCAGAAAAGAATTGTATGTGGCCAAGTCTTTGGATAATCCTCTAATACATTTTCCTTTTTAAAAGGGCATAAACGCTTCTGTCCTTTGATAATATAACACCTGAAGGTCAGGCATTCAAAGGATTTTCATTTTAAAGGTTTGCAGGACTTTGTGTCAAGGCTCATATCGCATCTGCTCTCTTCATATCCCTCAACCTGAGTTGACAGTATATTTCAGCACATAAGCAACTTTTATATTGTATGCTCACGCTGTTTTTCAATATTTCTTCTTCTAATGCTTTCCAGTTTTATAATACCTTTTGGAATTACTTAGTAGTTGTCTATACTCAACGTCTCCCCATTTCCTTTGCTCCACTAATCCCTCAAGGGCTTGAGTTGTTTCTCTGCTGCGACCTCCTACAACCAGTGCTAAGGTCACCAGTAAGCAGAAGATCAGAAATTCCATAAGCCCTTTGTTATCTCCACCCTACTTTGACTTCAGCAGACTCTGATACTATTGACAATTATTGTTATCAACCAAACTGGGTTCATTTGCCTGCACACAATTGCGGCCAAACACTGAAGCGCTGGATTTTGTAGAGAGAAAGGTTTATTGCAAGGCGGCCAAGCAAGGAGGCAGGAATCCAGTTCAAATCCGTCGCCCTGTACCAGCCTTAAAGCGGTATATTTAAGGGAGAGATTCTGGGGGCGGGGCTTCCCGGTTGGTTAGTGATTGGCAGAAAGGAATGGGAAGTTTGGAAAGTCCGTTGAGCATGCGCAGTTGTCCCTTCGTGCTTTTCCGTGGGTTGCCTGTGCAAATTCATGGGGAACTGGTCTGAAACATGACGTGGAAATTCAGGCTGTGACATCAAAACGTCACCCCCCAGGAGAGCGAGTCTATTCTGTGCCATTCTGACTCCAGTCAGCCTTATTGGTTCCAGCCAGTTTCAGCCAGTCAGCCAGTTTTGTTGCAAGCAGAGAGAATTATAACAAGCTGTTTCTTCGTCTGTCTTCTTGCAAGGCAAGCTCAAGGATTCTTGTTAACCCCATGGGGCAAATTTTCACTATTAACATTGTCTTCTTTCGGCTTCCACAATACGTAGTTACTCTCTGCATCTCTGCTGTTGTCTCTCTGCCTACTCATTCTCCTCGGTTAAATCCTGGAGTTCCTCAAAACTCAAACCCAAAAATATTTGATGACTAGTAAATATTGTTATCACAGGACTCTTGATCTTAGTGCGACGTCTGGTATTCACTTTTGTTCATTGCTACTGTTACTTTACTACATAATGAACACCTGAATTTTAGTGGCCCTTTACTTCTGAGTTCTGCTCAGTTTAACCAATATTTATTGGAGCTACATATATTTATTTTTTTCACTGAATGGCACTGAGAACCTCTGAATGAATGGATTAAATTACCCCCTTCTCTATCCTCAGTTTGAGGCTTTGGCTAAAAAAATTTTTGCTGTTATTCCAATAGATGATTTATATTCTGTATTGTTAAAGAACAAATTACCCCAAATTTTAGTGGCATATAACAACATTTATTATCTCCCAATTTCTGTGGGTCAGGAATCCAGGTACAATGTTGATTGGGTCCTCTGTCTCTGGATCTTTCAGACAGCTACAGCTGTCTCAAGACTCAAGTCAAGAGGATCTACTTCCTAACTCACTCACATGGTTGTAGGCAGGATTCAGGCTCTTAGGGATTTTCGGACTGAGGCCTCAGTGCCTCACACACTGTTGGCTGAGGCCTCCCTTAGTTCCTTGTCACCACATAGAGCATCTCACAACATGCAGCTAGCTTCAACAGAACAAGCAAGTGAGAAGACAAGAAAGTGCTAGCAAGATGGAAGTCACAGTCTTTTGCTACCTAATCACACAAGTGACATCCCATCTTTTTGCCATTTTCTATTCATTACAATCAAGTCACCAGATTCAGTTCATACATAATAGAGGTGTTTACACAAGGGCGTGAATACCAGACGGTGGGGACCATGGGGTAGGGCGGGCAGGGTGGGGTACATCTTAGAAGTTGGCCAGGTACATTTTATAATGATCTACTTTACAGCCTAGTTTCCATTGTCCACATTTGTAGTTAAAATGGAATAATCCGTCAAAAACTACAAGGAAAAAAACACCCTTTATTTCCTTGGGCCATCTTCCTGGGACTGTATTGTTCACAGTCAGATGATTTAAGAGCCACCTTTGCTACTGCCACTCAAAAAAGAGGCACATGTCTCTGGTCTGTAGAGTTAGGTATAATGTAGCATGATATAAGATAATACAGAAGTTAGGGACACTAGATATTTGCAAATTGTACATAATCACTTCATAACCTGAACATCACTGATCTAAGTGATATACACAAATCAGTAATCCCATAAAACAGCACAGTTTCTTAAAATGTATTTATTCTTCATTGTTGCCTCATTACTGAAAAGAGTATTTTACCATATATATTAGGTCAGTGAGTCTACTAAACTCTATTGGACAAAACTTGAAGAATGTTAGCAAATAAAACGGGTTCTAATAAACTAACATAGCTAGAAAGTTACAAGTGGTCATTTAATTTTAGGCCTGAACGAAGAAAATAGATCAAAGCAACAGTTGGCCCCCTCAAAATGGTGTGGGCAGAGATTGTAGGGATTGAAAACTCAAACACTTTTAAAGAAAAGACAATATGGAGTGGTGGAAACTGTGGCACACTGGAGAGCAGAAGTCCTGCCCCTCCTCACCCCCCAAAAAAACTGTGGGTTTCTTTCATAAACACTTTGTTAACAAAACAAAGCATTGGGGGCCAGATTTGGTTATAGGTGTCACTCTGCTACCCCTATGTCATAGATGAAGAGAATCACTCTAGAAATGTCTTAATATGATGAGATCACAGGTTATTTCAGCCTTTGAAAGGAGTATTAGGAATGTGACATTCTTTCAAAGAAGTTACATCTGAATTTTAAGGACCTTGAAAGAACTAGAGTCTTTAAGAGAACAGAGACATTCTATGAAGATAATTTTAAGGACCTTGAAAGAACTAGCATCTTCAAGAGAACAGAGTCATTCTCTTAAAGACGCTAGTGCTCTCTAAGTCCTTAACATTCAGATGTTTATTGATTCTAGGCTTGATGGTTGACGCAGATGTGTGTACGCTTTAGCGGAAAAGTGTACAACCAATGTTATTTCTTTAAAAGTCTAGAAAGGAAGGTTCAGTCTTATTTCCCTGTCACTTAGAAAAATGATAGAAACTTGTTCTTATTTCTTCTGGTATTTTTCAGAAGGGCAATGACAAAATATAGCCCACAGGCATAGATGCTCTCATGGTACCTTTTGACAGGGCGACTTATTTTCATTCTCCCATCCCATCACTCACTCTCCATCTACCCTCATTCTTTTCACTTGCATTTCTTTTTATTCTTTTTATTGCATGTCTTAAACTCACTGCCACTCAGTGTTGGCCTACCACCCAGTGGACATCAGTTAAAGATACACGGTCAAAGAGAATCTCACACCCACATACGTGCACTGTTAGCATGGAGGTCCTAACCTAAAGTAAATACATGACGGGACCCAGTCTCACCGAAGGCACAGAATATTCTATTTCCTATAGGTCCAGTCCTTAGTAAGACAGGCTGTGGTATTCCCAGGGTTCTTACAAGCTCCACTCAGTTCTGAAAATGTCTTGTGGGGTTTTTTTTGTTTTGCTTTTTGTATTTTTGTTTTTTGTTTTTTTGCCGGGGGTGCAAAACAGATATGCTCAGTGCTCAGGGGTTGGCAAACTTTTTCTGTGAAAAGCCATATCATAAATATTTTATACTCTGCTGGCCATATGTCCTATATTGTGGTTACTCAACCCTGTTGCAGAGTGAAAATAGCCATAGATGATTCAGAAATGAATGAGTGTGGCTGTGTTCCAAATAACTTTATTTAAAAAAACAGGCAATAGACCAGGCTTAGACTGTAGGCATAGTTTACTGACCCGTAACTTATCAATAAATATCCAGCTAGATTAAGAACTTTTCCATACTTCTGAGAATCTTCTAAACAGGGAAGAACTCAGATCAGAAATATAGCCTACTTTATCAGACTAGTGAAAGGCCCCAGGGTAACCCAAGCCTCCTGATGTCATCCCAGAGAAATGTGTATAATTAACAGGGATGACATTGGCTATATGTCTTTTAGAAAAGGAGTCAGCCCCTTTGACCATCTTCATGGGACTATATGCTATTCAGTGTTCAGCACTTATTTCAATCAATAGACAGGTGTTTATTGAATATGCTGTACTCACAGATCTGACCCCAAAACTGTGATTCTTACAGAGTTCTGTTTCTGTGCCGCAATACTCTCTTTACTTTCCTTACTTTTTCTAATATTGTTTCATTAGCTGCTTATACTTAGTCTATTTTATACATTGATATTCCCTAAAATTCAGCCTTAATTCTCTCATCTTCTTCCTTCCCTTACCCTCCTGAGGCGCCTTCATTTGCCTGCATAGCTTCTGCTATCACCTTCATATGAGCAACTGTCAACCCTCGTCTGGGTTTGGAGCTCTTTCTGCCTTCAGAACGCCTACATCTGAACACAGCTGAAGTCCATTTCTTTTAAAAAACCCAGCCTCTATTCTATTATATTTATCTTTATTCATTCATTCTGAAAATAACTGTGAGTGCTTACTATATACTAGTCATTTCCCTTAGCACTAGGGTTACAGTAATGAGTAATATAGATGAAGCCCTTGCCCTCATAAAATGTGTATTCTAATGAGAAAAATTGATTTTTATATAGAGATACCTTTGAAATGATATTTCATTATATATACATGCTATATTGTATAACATTAACATATTATATTCCTATTATAACCTATTATATACAATATGATATATATTTTATAATACAAATGTATAGTATATATAATATAAAACATATATTATATATACGATAATACATTTTTTGTTGTATATTATATATGTTATACAATAATAGATATAATAATAGATATAATGTTATATAATTATATACAATAGACAAATGTCATTAAAAGACACAAGATGCTGATAATATACTCAGGAGGAGCAGTTGACTTGCTGAAAGACTGTAAAAGATCACCTTTTTAAGAAAGAAATCATTGGTGCCATTGGATGAGAAAGGAAGAAAGAGTAATCAATGTTAAGGTCAAAAACCTAAGTTATTTGGGCTATATAAATGTTGAAGTGACAGCAAGTCATTCAGATCCCTTTTATTATTCCTTAGCCTGGCACACAGTATGATCAGGGTAATGAACCTAGCCACTGTAACAAACAGCTCCAAATTCTCAGTGGTTTAACACTGTTAAATTTATTTCTCACACATGCTAAGTCCAGTGTGGGTCAGGCAGCTCTCCTCCAACCAGTAATTCAGGGACCCTGGCTTCTTCCATCATGGACCCTTCCATCCTGGAGTTCTTTGTGGGCTGCCATGACAGCAGGGTAGAGAGGAACATAGAAGATCACTTGGGATGTTCTATTGCCAGGACAGGAAATGCATCACTTACTTTAAATCACATTTGATTCACCAGGATTCAGGTTCATAGCCCTCATTAAACTGCAAATTAGGCCAAGAAGTATTATCTCTCTTCCTAGGAATATGTGATAGAATTCCTGAGAATCTAGTCATTCTGTGCCAGAAACATCATCTCCTTCTGTACCTTAACTCTCATCCTTCTTCCCATGGGTAACT
Source organism: Homo sapiens (assembly GCF_000001405.40). Lineage (NCBI taxonomy): Eukaryota > Metazoa > Chordata > Mammalia > Primates > Hominidae > Homo > Homo sapiens. The sequence goes on along the minus strand of NC_000012.12, from coordinate 99,075,048 downwards.
CCTATTCATTCCTTAATACTTAAGCCTTGGAGAAATCTTTACAACATCTTCTCTCTGGGATAGATGATTTAACCCTTCTGTGTTCCCATTACACCTCATAAAAACCACCTGTTGACTAATTTGTCTCTTACTCAAGATTAGGATCTTGGCCATGTTCATCTTCCTTTCCTAGGTATGGAGCACACAGATCATGAACATAGTAATGCCCAGTTAATATTTATTAGACTGGACTGAGCCAAACAAAAATGCTGATTAGAGGTCAGTTCTGAATGGGTCAGGTTAGGATGCTCAAAGATATTTCCAAACTGAGTGCCTTTATTTTTAAATGTTTTACAAAGGGATAAGGCATGTCCTTCATGTAAGCATGACAGCACTGGCGGCCTGCATTTCCTAGGGTGAGATTCATGCTTCCTGTTTACAAGTGATGACCAATAACTAGTCTGTTCTACGGGGTCACATCGAGAGAAGGAATGGCCATTGTTCATGAAGCTCTTTGCACCCTTTGAAATGACAAAGCCCCATATGTACAAAATGCAAAATCGCAATAACTGTATGGGCTGGATAGATTTTTAAACAACTGCTGGGCGTGAGAGCACGCAATTCAAACATACTTACCCATGCTCTGCTCCAAGTTTTTTGTGCAGTTTCACAAAGCAAGATGGCTACTACATTCTTCCCAAGCTAAAGAGGCAGAACTTTTTAGTGTTTTTTTTTTTTTTAAGAATTTATCTTGGAATCGTTTATTATGTAGACCACAGAGCTGAAATATCACTTTTACTCCTAATCTCCTTCTGATATTTACAGAGAAATAGGGAAGGAATTAGGCAGGAAAATAGGTTCTGATCTATTGCTATCCCCAGCAGCCGTCATCCTTCAATTCTGAGAAGTTCACCCCCATTTAATAAAGAACAGTGGCTCCCTTGGAGTTATCCTGCAATCTGTAGTGAGAGAAATAGGGCTTTAGATATCTGAGCACTTTCCCTTCCTTACATAATTCGTCAAAGAATAATCACAGTTTAGAGCTGGAAGGGACCTTTAAATCTCCAGCTCTTCCTCTCACTGGAGTCATTTCACAGGTGAGGAAACTAAGTCCCAGTCCTATTAAATGACTTGCCCCAAGGAAGATTGCTCCTTAGTAACTGAACTGGAACTAAATCCCAGATATCTGTGCTCATGACAATTGCCTCCTGAGTGAATATGGTGCTATATCAGAGACCCAAGGCTGTGAGTTGCTTGTGTGTTTGTGAAAGAAACTGAAAAGGGACAGGAAATGAAAGAACCAATTGACTAAAAGCAAGAACAGGAATCATTTATAAAATCGGCCTTCCTTTTACATTTCAGGCTTAAAAGGCAGTTTTTGCAGCCTCCATGGACCACTGAACTCCCTTCTCAAGGCTAGAAGGAAGGGTTGCAGCAGGAATCCAAGAGCTCTAGAAATACAAGAAAAAGACAAATATGAAAAAGAAGAAAAGCAGATATAGGCCATGTGAGCTGTCCAGCAGCCACCGGGGTCATTCACTTATTTATCCTTGAAGGTAGCCTGAGAGAAGCTTCACTGATAGCATACTGTGCTGTTTCAATAAGTAAAATAATCTTAATTTATTTTCCTTCTTAATCTGGGTAGAGAGGAAGGAAAAATAGGCAAGATGGAAGGTCATTCTCTAAGAGAGCAAAGACACATCTTTAGAGCATTAAACTCCAGGGAAATGACATTTTTATGGGATTAATCTAGGAAGCAGCATAATGGAATGGTTGGGAACATGGTCAGACTATCCGAGTTTGAATCTTGGCTCCATTCTTTGCCTAATTGTCTGACCATGGGCAAGTTTCTAAATCTTTCTGTGCCTGGTTCCTCACCTTTAGAATGGATGTAATGATTTCACCTTCTCTGTAGAATTAAATGGGTCAATATTTGTAAAGCACATAAAATGGAGTTTTCCAAAGCATATGTGCTATATTAGTGTCTATTAAATACACTTTTAAAAAGAAGGTTTGAAGCTGAACCAAGAAAAAAGGTAGGGTTCATTTGGCCCATTAATTGTATTGAAAATTACGACTCCAGGCATAAACGGTAAGCAAAATGTATCTCCTTTTATTTATTCATTCAATAGATATTTTTAAACCACTTACTGCATGCCAGGCACTGTACTAGCTATTGAGAATTTGGTGTTAGGAAGCAAGACTTACAAGGTCACTGTCCTCGTGCAGCTTAAATTCTAGTGAGGGACCCAGAAAAAAAGAAGTAAAACTATATAATTTCAGGTAATGATAAATGCTATGGAGAACTATTAAGCAAGAAATGGACAGAAAATGATGGGAATCTGTGAATGCTGTTTTAGGTGGATAAACTAGAATTCATACTGAGGCGGCTTAACAGAGGTTCTTAACCACCCCACTGTATTGTCTAAACGCTGTACTTCAAAGCACCCTAAGGATACTAAGGGGATAATGAGATGAGTAAGCTAAATAATCCACTTAAGTCATCTTTAAGGAACTTGCAATCTTGCAGGGGCTCAAAAAATAACTCTCTTGAGCTTTTAGTTAAATCTAATTTAATCCCAGTTTAGCCACCTACTGCTTGTGTCACCTTGGCCAAGTTACTTAAATTCTCTAATCCCAGTGTCCTTATCTATAAAACAATAGATAATAGTGGAACTTATCACATTAGGTCATTGTGAGATATAAATACAAAAATGCATATGAAGTTTCTGACATTTAGAGGAACTCAATATTAGTTATGACCACTTGCATTTGTTCAATAAATTCTCCCTAAATTAACAAAAATCAATACATTTTTGATGTTGCTTTTGCCTGGAGCCAAGAAGTAACAGAAAAGAACTCAATTACTGACCTAAGAGAGTCCGTGACTAAAAATGCCCATGACTGCATTGCATAGTGAACATTCTACTCTGAGCTAGTGGGTTTCTCACAGTGCAGTTATTCATTTTCTAGATAAGAAACTGGCAAAACTTTCCAATTTGATTGTCATCTACTAAACTGATAATTTTGAAATGTATTTAAAGATTATTGTTTAGTCCATCAGAAGCTAGAAGAGAAGGTGTTTAAAGTCATAACTCATGCCTCCCTATTTAAGAGATTAAATGGGCAGAGCACGGTGGCTCATACCTGTAATCCCAGCACTTTGGGAGGCCGAGGCAGGCAGATCACGAGGTCAGGAGTTCAAGACCACCCTGGCCAATATGTTGAAACCCCGTCTCTACTAAAAATAGCAAAAGTAGCCTGGCATGGTGGCGCGCACCTTAGTTTCAGCTACTTGGGTGCCTGAGGCGGGAGAATCACTTGAACCCGGGAGGTGGAGCTTGCAGTGAGCCAAGATCCCGCCACTGCACTCCAGCCTGGGCAACAGAGTGAGACTCCATCTCAAAAAACAAAAAAAAAAAAAAGAGAGAGATTAAATGAATAAGCCTAATACAGAGAGATCTTCCTGTCTGCATCTCTTAGAAGCAAGGACTCAATATAAATATACATAGCATAGAATGGAATGGAAGTGAACTGAGAAGCTGAGCAGTCAGATCTTGACAGTGTAGTTCCATTTAGTTGCTAAAGGCATTGTGATTTCACAGAAAAGCAGAACTGTGTGCATTTACACGAAAACTGTAAAACAGCATATTCGCCATTTTGAATAAGGCATTGTCACCTGCCTTTACCATACAATTGAAATAAGTGCTAACTTAATTGTTGAATAGAATTTGGCTATATTTCTTATTTTCCATCAATGGCATTCAAGTGAGATATTTCTGTTCAAGTTATGTCTGCAAATGAATTGAGCATTTACTTATGTCCCAAGACACAGTGCAAGGAGAAAAATAAGATGAAATTACACAGTATCTGCCTTCAAGAAGATTTTAGTCTAGCAAAGGAAGTCAGACCAATATGCAAATGATCTTAATATAGTACAAGTCAGAACATGAAACAAGCTATAATAGGAGTAAAAATAACAAGTTTTGTACGTTAAGTAAAAGGGAAGGTCTCTTCTGTTCAGGGAATCAGGAGTAGGTTCCTGGAGAAGGAGACAGATGAATCAAAAAGCCATTCCTATGTACCTTTAAAACTTACCTGTTGTGGCTGGGCGTGTTGGCTTATGCCTGTAATCCTAGCACTTTGGGAGGCCAAGGCAGGAGGATCGCGTGAGGGAAGGACTTCAAGACAAGGCTGGGCAACATAGTGAGACCCTGTCTCTCCAAAAAAATTAAAAAATTAGCCAGGCATGGTGGTACACACCTATACTCCTAGCTACTCAGGAGCTTTGCTTAAGCTCAGCAGTTAGAGAGCAGAGAGCTATGATCCCACCACTGCACTCCAGTCTGGACAGCAGAATGAGACCCTGTCTCTAAAAAAACAAATAATACATAGATCAAAGTTAAAAAAGAAAACTTCTTTGTTGTGGAAGTTTGTGATAACTCATGACACTCCAAGCAAAAAGTGATCCAAAGCATATGTTTAGCTAACAGGCAGATAGAGATGCTATTTTTTCTCATTCGTAATAACCATCCTCTGGTTATTACAGCTGAAATACAGCTAGTGCCATCAATCCAGCTATAAATTTCATTCATCACTTTGTCCTTCAAGCTATAATGAGTCAAATATTTCAAACCCAAACAAATACCTATAGTGAGCTTAATGAAGCAGGCTAAACAAGTGACATAGTTACTATTCTTCCTTCCCTAAGCTAAGCACTGTTTCATTACGTGGTATTTCTTTGTGGTTATTTTTGTGGGGGATGAGGAGGGGCGGTAATCAATGAGATTTTCTACTTCAAACCAGTAGTCCTTCCACCTATCCTTTGGCTTTGGGTTCTAGCCTGATGGTTGGTCTTCTGTGGATCCATAGTGAACTCTATCTAAAGAATACACGTTCCCCAAGATGTTCCTCAGCATGCCAGAAAGACATTCTGGGCCAAACCCCTATGTTAATAGCAATCACTTAAATAGAAAATTGCCTACGTGCCAGGCACTATTCTAAGTACTTCAGATTAACTCTAAATTAACACATTTAAATCTCAAAATTAAATCCCTATTTTGCAGGTGAAGAAATTAAAGCTCAAAGAAGTTAAGTAACTTGCCTGAGGTCACACCACTAGTAAGTGTCAGAGTCAGGATTGAAACTGGCCAGGCTGGCTCCAGAGTCTATGCCCTTAACTGCTTTCCTCTACTTCCTATTACTGGAGTGCCCCGTCTCTGTACTCTGTGGAATCACCCATCAATTTACTCATCTTGGGGAAAAAATGACTGGCCATTTTTACTATTTCACACAAGTCTATTGCTTTGTATTTTAGTAAATAGACATTCAGTTAATAGATAACTACTGCCCTTATCAAAGGAAACGAGTACCCAAGAAACTGCAAGATTCCTCTTTCATGTCTTCAAGAGGAAATACATTTTAGCTTTACTTGTTGTTCCATGAATTCATGAAGGTATAAGTGCTAAATGGATACACTTTAAATGATTTCTAAGGTTATAATTTATGAATCACAGAGTCCTGACAGGTTAAAAGCTTTTTCTTCAATGCATTATATTAGTTTTAACCCTCAACCCCTTCTTTACTTGGAAGCTACTGCTTGGTGGCAAAGGATTGTATTTACAATTTTCTAAATACTAAGAGGTAAATGTATCATAAGAAAGTTTTGAATGTGAAATTTTCCCCACAGATGTACAAGAGATTATTTCAGTAAATATAGAGAGATCAATTTCCCTGCCTGTCACCTCTGGGACTCAATTACATTATCATGCACTTCAGCCAGATCACTTTTCTGAGTGCCACGTGATGTAGACATAAAGTAACAATTACCTTGTGTCCCGAGACCCAGCAGGCTCAGAGGTAGATGAAAGGAAGCTAGAGCAACTCCAGAGGCATAACGTCTGCAAACACCCACACGGCCATGCACAGACATTCATTAGCAAATTGCTCATTGTCCATCCATTCAATCAGACTGTCTATTCATTTCAGCTCTATGCTAAGTCCAGAGATGGGAATGGAAACATGGAGAAGACTTGGTCCCTGCCTCAAGGAGTTCTGCCTGCATTTTAGACAGAGATAGATATGTCAAAAACTAGAATACTATGTGGAAAATGCTACAAGAGGAGAGAAGAGCTAAATGCATGGGGATCAGGGAAAGCTTTTTGGGCAGGTGGATGGTGCTTGAACTGAATCTCAAAGAATGAACAGGTGTTTTTAGCCAACTAGGACATTGAAGGAGTCACTTCAGACAGAGGATGCTGCCTGTGCCTGCTAGGACTAGGACTAGGACTAGGGACAATAAAGAGAAATGGATGTCCATATTCACCCTCCCTTTCTCTCTCTCTGTCTCTCTCTCTCTCTCTCTCTGCCCCCCACCCCTCCCACCTGCATCCCTCTCTCTGACAAACATGTACACACAAGCACACATACAATCACTTACTTCACCATATATTAACCCCAAGAGAAACTATAAAAGAAATTCACCCAAATGTTTCCAATCCACTCTAGCATTTTTTTCTAGAACTTATAAAAACTGGCACTTATCTTTGTATACAGTCATGTGCCATATAACAACATTTGGGTCAGTGATGAACCACATATATAAGAGGTCCCATAAGATTATAATAGAGCTGAAAAATTTCCATCACCTAGTAATTTATGTTAAGTTGCCTACAGTTTTCAGTACAGTAACATGCTGGACAAGTTTATAGACTAGGAGCAATAGCTTAGATGGTTAGCAGGTGATACCATCTAGGTTTGCGTAAGTACACTGTCTGATGTTCGCACAATGACAAAATCACCTAAGGACACATTCTGATGTATCCCTGTTGTTAAGTGACACAGAACTTTATTTGCATGTATTTCAAATGTATACCCAAGGAAATTACATATTCCTGGAAGGTAGGAACTTTATTCCCTTTTGCATTTATATAATATCTAGGATGATGTTATATATATATTGTCCTAGATATACAATATCTAGAATGATGTTATACATATGATGCACTATAGTGCCTAAAAATTCTTATTGAATTAAATAAATAATAACTACTAAAACTATTGTAAGAGTGACTCTACTGGGGATTCCCATAAATAGAGCTGAAGATTCTTAGTCACTCCATTGTCTGAGATAATTAGAAATTCTAGACTGACAAACACACATACACACACATACACACACACACACACACATGCACACACACGCACATACAACAGACTATGAGGCTGGAAACATTTTCCTAAAGATCAAGCTATTTTTTGTTGTGACTGCTGTTCTCACTCCAATGGTAGTGGAATAGTTCTTAGATTATCCCTTAACTATAAATATAAAAGGGGTTTTCAGGAACTCCAACCAGGGCTTCAAAATAGGATAACAGCAACAATCATAGAGCAACACTTCTCTGCATATTCTAGGCCTTACTGAAATTCCTTCTAATGATTCATTCAAAGTGTCTCCTGTCACATGTGCACTGTTAACTAGACTACCGCTGACCATGAGACATCTGCCCTTTTCTGCCTCTCTTGCTCTAGCCTATTGTGGTGATGTCTTCTGTCACCACAGCTTGAGACAGTGCCACCAGGACCTACCAAAAGTGCTCTCAGTCCTCTTCATACTCACTGAAGGTGCCAAATCTGCCACTAATGAATGCCAAGGGCTGCTTCAGAGCTGCAGGTGCCCAATGTGTCAAAGGTACTGATGTCTGTGTCTCTGGCTATGATACCCAGTGTCTTCCCATCAAGGGCACCTTAGCCAATGCCAACTGAATGTTCTGCCAATGCCACTGAAGCCTGCCAAAGTGGCCATCATTGCCAACTGCTGGTGCCCAATGTTGAGGGCACCAATATCTGCAATATGGCACCATCTCTTCTTGCTGACAAAGTTGCTGGTGCTAATTCTGCCTACTCCTTTTGTTCTCAATGTCCAAAAATGTTTCATGATACAGCTATTTAATTGAAACCTCTTCATCTTAAGGGATGGTCCATGGGAGACTGGCCAGGGCACAGTCAGAGTGCCAGATTTTAAAATCATTCAGAATCACCCATTCTCTCTGATACTCATCTATTATTCCTTGAATCTCTGAGCAGAGTCTTTCCAGGCCCCTGGAATCCTCACTGAGCACAGACTGCTGCAAGCCTGTCCCTGCCAGTCACCCATATGTTCCCACACACGATGAACGAATACAGTCCTCTTCAAGCTGAGACCCATGACACACAGCTGCAACCACCAAACTGACAGATTCCTGATCCATGTTAGAGAACAAGGATGATTTTATTTTGTGTTTCAGGAAATTATGCTGGTCTACCGTCAAGATACCCAGAATCTAACTACTTCTTGCTGCCTTTACTTTAGTACCTTATCCAAGCCACTAGCCCCTTCCTTCTGAATTACTTCCACAGCCTCTGAAAAGACCTATTAGCTTTACTCAACACAGCAGTCAAAGTGATTCTGCTGAAATGTAAGCCAGATCATGTCACAACTCTGCTCAAATGCATACCCTGACTCCCCATTTCCCTCAGATTGAAAGGCAATCCTTGCCAGGTCTTATAAGCCCTCACTTATCTGGCCCCTGGTTCCCTCTCTTCTCTGTGCACACACACTGCTCCAACCCCATTGGTCTCCTTGTTATTTCTTGAACATATGCTGGACCCTCCTTCCTGAGGGCCTTTGCTCTAGTTGTTCTCTCTACTTGAAATCTTCACCCTCAACACAGCCAATCCACCGTCTTTATTTTTTACTTTTTTATTTTTTGAGACAGAGTTTTGCTTTGTCACCCAGGCTGGAGTGCAGTGGCACAATCTCAACACACTGCATCCTCTGCCTCCTGGGTTCAAGCAATTCTCGCGCCTCAACCTAACCTCCTGAGTAGCTGGGATTACAGGCACATACCACCATGCCTGGCTGGGTTTTTGTATTTTAGTAGCGATAGAGTTTCACCATGTTGTTCAGGCTAGTCTCGAACTCCTGAGCTCAGGCAATCTGCCCTCCTCGGCCTCCCAAAGTTCTGGGATTACAGACATGAGTCACTGTGCCCAGCCAATCCACTGTCTTTAAATCTTTGTCCAAATCTTCTCCTCTGAATGAAACTTCCCCTAACCACGCTATTTAATACTGCACCTGCCACACCATACACACACTCCAGTACTTCCGATCCCCCCACTGCACTTTCTCTTTTTTCACAGCACTTATCACCTTCTAACAGACTATATACTTTATTTATTATGCTTATTAATTATTATCTGTCTTCCCCACTTAGAAGGTAAACCCCACAAGGACTGGCACCTTCATATGTTTTGTTCACTGACACATCCAGAACAGTGCTTAGAATATAGCAAACATACTGTTAGTATTTGTTGAGTAAATAAGTGGGTGGACGGATGGATGGTTGGATGGATGGATGGATGGATGGATGGATGGATGGATGGATGGATGGGATGGATGGATGGATGGATGGATGGATGGATGGATGGATGGATGGATGAATGGAATGGATGGTAGGTCCTCATTTTTGTAACTCCCTAAGTGAACGTGAGTATACTCCTGTTTGACCACCATGTGAATGACATATTTTGTACTGCTCTACCCAGGTAGAACATAAGTCATTCATTTGTGTACTGCTAATTCTGGTTGTGTGGTACATTTATCTGCTTGAAGTACTTCTGTGGATTATGTTATTATGCATGTGCCTGGAGGCTCTGAGAAAGGACATGGTTTTTAAATATCAAATAAATAGAATTGACATTCAGGGCATTCATTATCTTCTGAAGACTCAAGTTTGGGGAAATTATTTTAGTTGAGACTAAAAGTATGCAAATGATATTCCTGATTAATAGTAGCATTTAAAGTTTCTGTTTGAAGAGCAAAGCAGTGTACTATATAACCACCAAATAGCTGCATGAATGACAGAAAACATGTACTGTCAGAGAAAAAAAGAGACCCCGTGTCTTTTTTCTAAATATAGTTCACATCACTAGTAGAGCTTGGAAATGTGAATGCTAGTGAACATTGTTCAGCGCCTTATTCTAGTTGCAGTAAATCCTCTGTTCATCTTTAATCTGAACTCTTGCTTCATAAAAAAAGCTTTGCAACAAGGAAACATATCAAAACAAATAACGATGTTTAACAAAAGGCTCTAGGGTCAACATTACCTCAACAAGAATTTTAGAAATGAAAAGATGGTAAAAACATTTCCTCTTATTAAATTTTTAAAAACACCTCTTTTACGCAAAGCTTCAGGGAGAGGTACAACAAAACCATTCAATAAAATAATTCAACCCCAAGGACCATGTTATATGTCTACTGTGTTAGGGCTCTACTGGTCTTTTCATCTGCATCCCACACAGATCCTACATGGCAGATAGCATTTCTCAAGTGCTGCTACAGATAGAGTTAATCTCCCTGGGCACAGATGAAGCTAAAAAGAGCAGTGCCTGACTAGTAGCTCTCACACACGGCTTGAAATAAGACAGATTGTTTTGTAGTTGTTGCTGTAGCGGTTGACCTTTTTTCCCAAGGATGCTTTATAGAACTTGGCTGCATTGGCAACTTAACTCCTTTAACTTGTAGTCTTCCCAGTGCCTTTGTCCAGAGGGCGTGCCCCTATCCCTGATGACTAGAGACAGGGCCAGTCTAGTGCTTCTAGGCTATTCTGTGCTGTTGGAAGCTGATCCCCTATGTGTCTTGAAAACATTTTTAAATCTAGTCCTTCATTGCTGTCCATTGCTTCACTTCTATTTTACTCCATGATCTAAGACTTTTCAAAATTAGGGATACCTCAGGCCCTCTCTGGAATAGACCTTAATTCATTTCTCTTTTTCACGAAATAGAAAACCTAGAACATTGAGAGACAGTGTCTAGTCCAAAGCACTTTCCTTTCCCTTTATTTCCCAAAAATGTAGTATCAAGTAATATCCAGATACTACTTCTTCACTGCTTCTGCCTTATGCCTACAGCTGGGAGTCTTCAATATCTGAACACTCAAGGAACCCCAAATCAGTAAGGCTCAGTCAGTGGTGGGAAAAATAATAGAGGGGTTACCACTTTCTGTAGCTGTGAGTTCGTAGTGACATCAGACACAGTTTTCTTACTTCTGAGGGTTTATGTTTCTCTTTATTCTTTTATAGAAATTGTATCCATAACAGAGTCTAATTGTAAACAAAGGAGCTGCAAGTAGCAGACGTATTTGTACATGTATACCTCCCTTGCTACAGATGCACAACACAGAGAGTTTATCACTCCTTGCTTTCCAACAACAGTCACAGTATATTAATCCTTTCCATTCCCACAGAAGGAATATAATTATATGGGATACTCAGGCTCTCAGACTCCTTAAAGGGTGTCTTCCTAAAGATCACCTAAAACACTTTACAACTGAGGTGACATGCGTGAAATCACTTGAGGCTCTTTAAAGTCCCACATCATTGTTAAGTGATGTTCTTATCATTAACAGTGCTCAGCATTTTGGAGACGTCCCTCCCAGCAAAGTTGCACTGCCGTAGATAGCACTCAGATGGTGATAGGTAGACTTTTTTCTGGGGCCTCGTGGTCAGAAGATCAGCCTTTCTCTTTTATGTTCAATCAGCCTTTTAAGAGCCACTGATGAAACAGCACAGTGATGTCTAAGCCCAGGTCTCACAGCCTGTAGATTTGATCCTCACACTACTTGATAGACCTGCATTTGGACTTGGCAGCACACTGTCTGCTAGCACTGCTTGTCCTCGTTTATTTTCAGGACTGCTGTTAGTCCAAGACTTGGGTAGCAGCAGGACAGAGCAGAAGAGTCTAGAACAAGGAGCCAGAATAGAGGGAAGTACCTGACGATATCAGCTATCTGTATTACAAAAGCCATATCAGGCAGGAAATCTGAGTGTACAAAGTACATCCAGGTGGGAAAAGAGAAGCCACGGTCCACGGCAGCTTCCTAGGCAAGTTTAAGTAGCTGAGCCTGGCACATCAGGGATATCGGCACTGGTGGGTCTATGTAAATGATAGGTTGCTGTGTTTGTATCTGAGGAGTGAAGACAACACAGGCGACAGCTCTTGCCCACGTGAGGACCTTCACCAGAAGGTCACAGGTACTTCACGTACAAGCATCCAGCTCTCACCAAGTCTAAACCATGTAGCTTCCAAACACTCGCACTGTTTTAACACAGAGTATTCACCCTGAAGTTAGCTCCAACCATCCTTGTCAGATCCGTAATTTCAAGAAAGGAGGGCAAAGTGTCAAAGCAAAAGGCAAGCCCTCCCCTGCAATCTCCACTGCACCCTGGAACTTAACTGTTTTATGACTCTGACCCTTCTCAACCCTGAGTCCTCATTTCTTTACCCCTTTCCATGTGTTTTCCTCTGTGCTTTCTAAAATCTCATCTCCCCCTTTTCTTCCCATACAAACTCCCCAACCTAGGGCAGCTCAGCTTCTGTGCTCTTCTCAATAAGGTGTCTGGTGACCTATTTCCGATGACCTATTTGTGATCCCACAAACCCTTCTCCTTCATCATTTTATTAGACGTCTCTGCAGCATCCCCTCACTGCTGACCACACTCTCCTTGACACTCTTATTTCCCCCATTTCTTTTCTTGTCCTGACCATTCCTTCTTTGGTCTCCTGAGTATTATTTTTATCTGTTCCTTATGCATTGAAAGTGTTGGTTCATTCTCAGGCCACTTCTCTTCTCACACTACAAAGTCACCTCTGCAGTCCTACCTGTGCATGATTTCAGCTGTCAGAAAAAAAATAACAAAGATTTATTGAGTGCTTCTGTGTGCCAAGTATTGTGCTAAATTCTCCTTGTGTAGTTTCATTGAATACATATGGCAACGCTCAGCGATAGATATTCTTTTAATCTTTCACATTACTAATCAGAAAATGGATGCTTAGGAAGTATGAGTGATTTGCTCGAGGTCAGATAGCTAATAAGTGGAGTTGCCAACACTCTTACCTGTACTTTGATGATGCCCAAGGCCGCGTGTCTCCCCAGACTTCTCCAAATTTAAAGTGCCATTCCACAGCATAGCATCTTAAATTTCTCATGTCTCAAAATTATTCATGTCATCCCAGTCTATTTTCTTTTCTCTTTTACCTGGTAACACCACCATTTGCCCAGATATCCAAGCTAGAAACTTGGGGTTTCCCTGCATTTTTCTCCTCTTATCCCTTGCATAGTTGTTACAAAGGGATGATGCTGTGATTGACAGAGAAATGCCAACAAACACAGTTAAAGGAAATGAAGCTTCTTTAACGATAACAGATGTGAAAACTTACGGCCCCACAAAACAAGAGATAATACAATGTAATGTCAAATGGAAGTACAGGCTTCATTTAAATGTTCTACATGAAACTGCCTTATTTTTAGTTATGTTTGTATTCAAGGAAAGGCTATGATACTGAAATAGAGACATTCATAATATAGTGGTTTAAAGAATCGAATATTAATTTCTCTCATATAATAGTCTTGAAATGAGCAGTGCAGGTTTACAAGGTGGCTTTGCTCTATGCAATTGTGGAAGGACCGAGGACCTTCTATTTGTTGTTCTGTCATCCTCCAAAGCACTACTACTCAAAGTGTGGTTCATGGGCTGACAGCATTAGCATCACCAGGAAGCTGGTTAGAAATGCAGAATCTCCAATCCTCCCTCCAAATAACGGAATTAGAATCGTCTGCTAATAAGATTCTCTGCATGATTCCTAAGCACGTTGAGGTCTGAGAAGCATTTCCCAGACTCCAGGGTATTGTTTTGCCTGTGTAGTCAAAGCTGAACTGCAGTCACTGATGTTCCAGCTTATAGGAAGATGAAGAAAAAAGAGGAATTCTAGGTCGAGGAACTTCTTTTAGCTAGAGGTGACCTGAAAGTTACATGCAACACTTTCATTAGCATTCCACAGGCTCAACCATATTTTCACAGCAGCAACCAGAAAAAAAGCTGATGTATCTTGTCTCTAGTCCGGCAGGCATGAACCCAATTTAACCCCATTATGTGGAAGAAGAGAGGACAAGTTTAAGGGAACAACAAGTAGTCTTTTTCTCAATTTTCTAACACTTTTGGACATAAAAATGCCTGTCTAATCCATTATTGGCTTTTCAGGGTTCCTTATCCTCTTGTTCTAAATACCATGCCAATATCATAATTCTAGGTTAATAAGTTGTCCCATCAAGAACTACTTTTCTCATTTAATCCCAAAGCTATTATAATGTATATCACCTTTCTCTCTCTTTTTATTTTTTTTACCTGTTTTTATTGCCTTCCTCCTGCTATACCTTCCATCCTGTGGCTCCGTCATCTCATAAGATATTATCCTTATCTGCACAGAAAATGCTGGCTTCAGGCAAAGAGAAAGAATGATGGAATGACAGGCTCTCTCTCTCTATATATATGTGTGTGTGTGTGTGTGTGTGTGTGTGTGTGTGTGTGTGTGTGTGTGATGTGTATATATGTATATGTGTGTATATATATATATAACCACATATATATAACAGATCCATAATATTTCAAATAAAGCTAAAAAGTTAAGAGAAAATAAAATCATAGTGGTCATGTAATCTTACAAAAGTCTTCTAGATTCGTGGTTTTCAAACATTTCTTTTTAAAGCCGAGAAAACCTTTCTTCCTCTTACTTGTATAAAACGCATAAAATAAGAGTTACTCTGGTTGAAGTCGATCAAGCAGTCTCAGAGCATGGGTTGTTCAGCTGCCCCGTAGCTGACCCCCTCAAACCCAGAACTCCACAGAGTACTGTCCTGTGGTTTCTCTGCCTGCTGTACCACCTGTGATGTTAACAGCATACTCTCTCTGAGGCCAAGTATGCTCTAAAAAACTCCTGGAGGAAAGTCATTTGGGTGGAACAAGAACAAGGAAGGCATTTGGCAAAAAAAAAATATGTTAATATATCTCAATTTTCCCAAGACTAAAGCTTCACTGCTATCTCGAATTTCTGTCTCAGCTTAGGTTTTTCCAGACTTTGGAATTCAACTAATTGAATCAAATTGCCTTGTTGCGAGCCTCTGTAATGAATGCCTGCTGCCTGCTCACCACTCTGCCTCTCAGATTATAGAGTGAGCCTGACTTCCGTTCATGCTTAGCAGCACTGCTGGCCTGGCAGGCCGATGGAGCTGTCACTTCCTAGCCCTGTCTTGCCAGATGTTCCCGCTGGAAAAAAAGTTTCATCATTGCTAATTTGAGAATGCAGTCACAGTGCTCCCTGTGGGTACTGCTGAAGATACATGAAAGAAATGTGAATGCCATCTGACCTTTAGTCTACACGTCCTATCATATATATATATATATATGAATTTTAGTTTTGTCTTTGGGCTTATTTTTTCTTTCCTGGGTAAACAAATAGGTTACTAATTTAAAATTAATTTACGAGTCATGGAATTGCAAAATTTAGGAATTACAAAGCAGCTTTGAGATCCTTGGTCCAATACCTTCATTTTATAGCTGACACCACTGAAGCTTAGAGAGATGAAGTGACTTGCCCATGGCTACATGGCTAATAGAATCAAGTCTTCTGTGCTATGGAAACAAAGTCCATTGCATTCTGTAACACAATATCCTATCTGGAACTGGTTCTTGATATATGGAGGTTTTAAATAGTTATGAATGTTATTGTTAGGCAGAAAAAGATAACCTTAGTTTTCATAACATGGAGTACAAAATACAAATCTCTCCCACAAATGGATACCAAGCCACTGAAATGAATTTGTCATTTTGTCTTCATGTATTCATTAAGTCACTTAATTTAACAAACATTTAGCATATGCTTGCCATATGTGAGATGCTCTGCTGGACGATTTAGGGACTTCAAAAATGATTAACACCTCATTTCTTCACCAAGGGGTAGGCAGTCCAATGAAGAAGACAGATACTCACTTCTCTATTATTGAAAGCAGACTTTAATAATACTATAATAGAACTCTATGGAAAATACTACAGAAATATAGCAGAAGATATGATTTTTCGGTGGAATAATGGTAACATTAGAGAAAGATTCACACAGGAGGTAACGTTTAAACAGGACCTTTTAAGGATAGATAGAATTGGCCGGGCGCGGTGGCTCACGCCTGTAATCCCAGCACTTTGGGAGGCCGAGGCGGGCGGATCACGAGGTCAGGAGATCGAGACCATCCTGGCTAACACGGTGAAACCCCGTCTCTACTAAAAATACAAAAAATTAGCCGGGCGTGGTAGCGGGCGCCTGTAGTCCCAGCTACTCGGGAGGCTGAGGCAGGAGAATGGCGTGAACCTGGGAGGCGGAGCTTGCAGTGAGCCGAGATCGCGCCACTGCACTCCAGCCTGGGCGACAGAGCGAGACTCCGTCTCAAAAAAAAAAAAAAAAAAAAAAAAAAAAAAAAAAAAGGATAGATAGAATTTCATTAGGAGAAAAAGTAGAAACTGTATTCCTAGCAGAGGGAATGGCATGAGCGAAGATGTGGAGGTATATTACATGTACAGTGGATTATGCCCCAAAAATCAAACTCATACAATAAAGAATTACTTAGTTTAGGGTTAATAAAGAGGCAGCATATAGGGCAGGGGCAGTGGCTTGTGCCTGTAATCCCAACACTTTGGGAGGTTGAGGCAGGCAGATCGCTTGAGCTCAGGAGTTTGAGACCAGCCTGGGCAACACGGTGAAACCCTGGTCTCAACTAAAAATACAAAAGAAAATTAGCCGGGTGTAGTGGTGCACACCTGTGGTCCCAGCTACTAGGGAAGCCGAGGTGGGAGGATTGCTTGAACCTAGGAGGCGGAGGCTGCAGTGAGCCAAGATTGCACCACTGCATTCCAGCCTGGGTGCCCGGGTGACAGAGTGAGACTCTGTCTTAAAAAAAAAAAAAAAAAAAAAAGATGTGGCATGCAGAGTTTCTGCATGACAGTGAGGTAGCTTGGGAAGGATACTGATGTTTGCTTATTCAGCATCCCTAATCTTTCTCAGTCTCATGAAGATGCATTTGCCAATAGATTCATAAACTAAAAGGTCTGATTTATATTCCACAGGCATAATGGATAAACACCAAGGGTTTTTAAACAAGGAGTGACTATTCAGTTTTTCCCTGTAATCAAAATTTCAGTAGTTCACAGCAACAACAACAAAAAATATTTTTTTCTTACTCACGGGTCTGCTGTGCTTCAGCTAACTTCATCTGGACTTTCCTGAGCCCCATCGAGCTAGGGTAGATTCCAAGCTTTGGGTTAAATTTAGGTTTGCTCCACGAGTCTTCATCTTTCTCCTAGAACCAGGAGTTATGCAACTTCTCAGCACTTGCTATTCTTATGAGAGAGCATATGAACACTGAAAGATTAGTAGAACACAGGAGCACAGAGACCTCGTCTCTAACCACCACACTGACACTTCACGCATTCTATTGGCCAGCATTGATGAGACTGGGAAGTAACTCCAGCCACACTGAGACATAATGTTGATCCCTTGGCAAAGGGCACAGGGGCATAATTCTAATACAGTAAGAGAACGAAGAATTGGAATAAACAGTTCAATCGACTTGAGTGACCTCGTTAGATATGTTTCTAAAAAATAACTGTCGGCTGAAGGGGAGAGGGGTAAAGATGTTAGCAGATGCAAACCATTTCTAAAACAAGATAAAGAAGGAAGGAAATAGAGGAAATAGGAAGGGATGAGAGAGGAGAGCTTTGATTGGAAGCTGAAAAGACTAGCAGCCAATGGCAGAATATTATGCAATTTCAAAATAAGCATGGGTCTAATTTAGGGCAATGGGGAGAAAAGAGAACTAAGAGTTATAATTGAATAGCTATTATATTCAAATCACTGTGCTAGGCAATTTTTATTCCCTATTTCATATAATCTTTACAACAACACTTGGAATAGGTATTATTATGCTTATTCTAAAAAAGAGGAAACAGGCTGAAAGAGTAACTTGCCAAAGATCACCCAACAAATACGTAGCACTGCTGGGAATGTCATATTCCAAAGTCCATTTTGGAAGAAGAGAAATGAATTGAGAGTCATCTTAGAAATCAAATTGATAGACCATGTTGGCCTAATTAGATATGATAGTAAACAGAAAGAGGAAAGTAAGATAACTCCCAAGCTTCTGCTTGGGCAGTGGAGTAATAGTTGCCCTTAACTGAAATGGAAAAAAAGAGGAAGAGAGCCTGTTTTTGAACTAAAGGAGTTAAATTTGTTTTTGACTTATGTTGGTGACACCTATAGGACATTTATGTGAGATGTCCTACAAATGGTTAGAAATTTGCATCTCAGAGCTCAAGAAGAGAAGCCAGTCCTGAAGAAATCACTCCAGAAGCAGGGGCAAAAGCATTCCAAGCATGGGAAGTTATATTAGCAAAGATATTGACTGTGTCATATACAGGTCATTTTCAGGGAATGCCTAGCGATTTAATGTACTGTTTAGACATACACGTGTCTAGTTACATTTATTGGGTACACAATAGCAGAGGAGTGGGAGATTAGGCTAATCTCAATCGGCCTTGAATGCTGGAATAGGACATTTGGACTTTTTTCGAGAAGGAGCCACTACAGGCTTTTATACAAAGGTACACTTAAGGGTCTGACTTTTAGGAAGACTAATGTAGTAGCAAGATACAAGCTGGATCAAAGGTGGGAGACCATGTAGAAGGCTATTGTGTTAGTTTTTGTAAGCACTAACAAGAACCTAAACAGGGTAATGGCAGTAGGGACAGAAATAAAGGAACAGATGGGATCATTGCTTTGGAAGAAATTATTGTGCAGCACAGTAACTATTCTGCATATCATTAAATATGTGTCAAGTTAATTTTGTAACTGCATTTGGCTCTAATGGTTTCCTCTCTTCAGGTATGCAGAACCTTCATAATTTATTGGTCATCTGTTTGCATATTTTAATTAAGAGTTATAATCTCCATGAGGGAGAGACTATGACTGTTTTGTTCTCTACCATTTCCACAACATTCATCAGAATAGGCATTGATTAAATATTTATTGAATGAGTGGGCGGATGATACTGCCCTGTACACCTCAGCATACCCATTTCCAAGGTCTCTTCAGTTGTGCTCTCTACCCTGCCCTTGTCTTTCATCCTCCCACCAAATATTTCCCTCCCTCTCACCTCTTTAAGATTGGTCTAGGAGAACTTGCCTTACAGGAGTAATCAGACCACTGAACAGCCTGCATTCCGTGCAATCCTGATATGATGGTTGCTGTTTTATTTTATTTTTTTATTTTCCAATCATTCAACCAAGCTCAACTGACCCTCCCTTTACTATTTATAAATATCATCTCAGACATTTCCAATAACTTTCCAACCATGTAAAATGTTGAAGGCTCAGTTCCAATTTATTTGAAACCTCCAGTTTTATTTTCCTCACCACCTCCCCCCCCCCCAAGTTTAGACTTCCCCTAAGGGACTGGCACTTCTCTCTTCTGATTCTAAATTTTCTGGCATTGGGACAAGAAAGGGGGATTGGAGGGACAAGCAAACATCTTTGTACTTACCTAGATTTTCTTTGCAGTCCTGTCATGGGTTCCCTGATTCTTTGGCCACCACCGACCATCAACACCCTCTGTGTGTCAGATGGCCACTAATTGCTTCCTCAAAAGAGTGTTGTGTAAGTGCTTGGGGGTAACCTGTGGTAACCCCATTGCACAGTTCACTGGTATGAGACAACTGACTTTGACCCAAATCCAGTCATCAAGACTCCCTAAGCTTTTCCCGAGTATCTGCTGCTGGAGTGGTCAGCTTTATGGATGGGCCAACGGCAAGACCTCCCTACTAAGCAGTTAACTTCAACCTTAGTGTTTCTCACTTTCTTCCCTTTCTTTCTTATTTCATGTCACTGGGGCAGTCAGGAAGATTCCTGGGGCCAGAGTGATTATTTAGGTTAACAGAGTTAGTTCAACCACCTTTTAACGAGGCCTGGAGAATGTACCCAGCCCCAATATTTTTGTAATTCTCTATAGAATATGAAGCTACCGAATATCTATGAGCCTCCCTTTTGGGTCCTAGCCTCTGATCTTATACATACATAACATCCAGGGATTTGTGAATGCCACTGACTTTCATTCTGCAAATGCTGAGTTGTCATTTACATTTGTAGCTACCACATAATAAACACAGAGTTAAGTGTTACATGAACAAATATTTAATGAGTAGCTAAAATGGGTCAGTCAATGTAAAAGTGAAGTACAAAAGTCTGACCAAGTTCAGACTCTAATGTAAATAATAAATTGTACTCTAACTTTAAAATAGAGAACATTTAGGCCAGGAGCAGTGGCTCATGCCTGTAATCCCAGCACTTTGGGAGGAAGCCAAGGCAGGTGAATCACTTGAGGTCAGGAGTTTGAGACCAGCCTGGCCAACATGGTGAAACTCTGTCTCTTAGTAGAGACACATACAAAAATTAGCCAGGCTTGGTGACACTCACCTGTAGTTCCAGCTACTCGGGAGGCTGAGGAATGAGAATTGCTTGAACCCAGGAGGTGGAGGTTGCAGTGAGCTGAGATCACACCACTGCACTCCAGCCTGGGCAATAGAGCAAGACTCCATTTCAAAAAAAATAAAATAAAACAGAGAACATTTAAACTTTGAAATGGAAACTAGAATGGGGAGCGGAACAACTGGAAAAGAGAAAAAGTAACTTTAAAATGAAGGAGTAGGGAGAATCTCAAAAATGAGAACCATGCATAGTGATAGAAAGCTTACCATGTTTAAGATTAAAATCTGAATCCCTGATTCCCAGACTAATCTTTTCTCTGCTCGCAAATCAGAATCATATAAATTTCCATTAATATTTATCTCTTTGAATCAAAGAAAGAGGAAAATCTATGTTGTGTTTTGCCCAGCCTTGCTGTTTCCATCGTGAATTTTACCGAAGGCCCCCATCAGGTTGATGAGGTGCCAGCTCTCCTGAAAAACTGAAGTATTAGATATACGGCGTGGCATGCAAAGCAGCCCAAGTTTTAGAAGTGAGTCACTTCGAAAACCAAGAACCACAGATTCAGCTACAATTTCAAATAAAAGCTAAAGGACCAGAATAATCCATACAAAATTTTAAACCCAGAAGTTCCTCTTGCTTAAATTACTTTCACACTCCAATTTAAACTCAGAAACATTATGTTGCTGTCACATTTCTTTGTTCTCCTATTTTTTAAAAATCTGTATATAGCTGACAAAAAATAGATGCCTGTCTGCCAGCAAGTTCTCTATTCATGTCTAACATACTGTAGAGTCGATGCAGAACACATGGTCTTAAAATACCCAAAGGCCTCTCCTTTACTGGTTCACCGCAGCAGTATGTTTCTCCAGCGTGTTTGCACTACCTCCAATACATGTCTTGCATAAGCACAAATTCCCTTTGAATGCTTAAGTCATGCAGTATTTTCACATGCTTTGGTGCTGTGCATATGAGAATTATCATCTACATGTTGAAAGTGCACTTCCTGGTGACTTTCGCATCGAATTTAATGCCATTCAACTGACATCATTTTTAATTCCACCCACCAGAATGCCAATAATGTCTATGACAGAAGTTTGACATGTTTAGCTCTTCCAAATATAGAGTTAATCTAGCAGCTAAATTGGAAATTTCTGTGTATATTTTGAAAACCTATTCAGCGTGAAAATTATTAATGTTTTAGAATTGTGAAAACACATCAGAAAGTGTTTTCTTTTTCCTTGTTTCCGTCTCCAGAAAGATCTGTTCTTCATGTCAAATAAATTTTCAAGGGGAAATCTGCATTCTGTTGTTGGGACACAAAGTATACAGTTTAATCCTAATGTAATTTTCTTTATTACAGATGAGACCCATTGGGCATGATGGCTACCATCCCACCTCTGTAGCTGAGTGGCTGGATTCCATTGAACTGGGCGACTACACCAAAGCCTTTCTAATTAATGGCTACACTTCGATGGACCTGTTGAAAAAAATCTGGGAGGTTGAACTTATTAATGTAAGTTGGTCTCTTAGTGACACCTTAACTATTCAACCCTTGATAAATGAAATTTAATTTTCTTTTTTTATAAGTGTTTGGACATCCAATGGGGATTTATAGATATGCCTTCTGTTTTAAATATCGATCTCTCTCAAGCTCCAGAGTCATTGTCTTTTGAAGTTTAAATGTGGGGGAACTAAGAGGTAAAGAGAGAACTCCCAGGGTATTTTGCATTATCCAAGAAAATCTTCCAAGCATTTTTGTGTTCTCCTTTTTAGGAAATTTTTTCAGTTATAGGATATAGATATGATAATAAATAGGTTCCTATTCTGATCTTTGCTCATATTCACTGTTAAAGATTTAAATTATCATTTTTTTAGTTTTCTATCTCTATCATGTTTCCTTGTCTCTATTTCTTTTTTTTTTTTTTTTTTTTTTTTGAGACGGAGTCTCGCTCTGTCGCCCAGGTCGGACTGCGGACTGCAGTGGCGCAATCTCGGCTCACTGCAAGCTCCGCTTCCCGGGTTCACGCCATTCTCCTGCCTCAGCCTCCCGAGTAGCTGGGACTACAGGCGCCCGCCACCGCGCCCGGCTAATTTTTTGTATTTTTTAGTAGAGACGGGGTTTCACCTTGTTAGCCAGGATGGTCTCGATCTCCTGACCTCATGATCCACCCGCCTCGGCCTCCCAAAGTGCTGGGATTACAGGCGTGAGCCACCGCGCCCGGCCCCTTGTCTCTATTTCTTAATCACATATACAAATCCCACACTCCAAGAGACTGCTTTTATTCTTACTAAATAGGCTGCTGTATTATCAAAATTTTATTTTCTGAAGCTAGTGTCTAATCTTACGTTGTCTCTGTTTTATTCATACACTTAGCATAGATTTCCTATAAAAACTGGCCAACATATGTTGCCAAATAGTCAAGCCCAAAGAGATCAACTGAATCTGCATACATGACTTTGATACTTTTCTCATTGCATTTTTACTTTTGTTATTTTCTAGCATAAATGAAGGAATAAGATGAAAATGTAACATAAAATGGTCATTCATTTGAATTGTATTTGGCATAGCACACATTTCTTTTTAACAGTAACAATGAGAAATCACTTAGGTTTTTAAAGAATAGTTTTAGTTTTATAGTAAATGATTGAGGAAAATGGCATTTATGAACTAAGAGATAAAGCAAATAAGTTTCTGCTGGTTCAAAAGTGCTCTGTTCTACTCTTTATGTCACTTTCTCGCCAAAAGTCCCGGTTCTACACATTACATGCCATTGCTTATTTTAAATGATGGTTATTATTAGTAACTAATTAATTCCTTGCTTTTAAAAGTCTTTCTGAAAAAATAATGTCTTTTCTAGAACATCGTATAGAAATTGTTCTTGAATCTAAAAGTCACATTAAATAGACAAATTAATGTGATTGTATGGCCATAAGTAACTCTTTCTTAACTTTCTGCTTCTTATGCCCTCACAAAAGCTATCATTATTTCAGAAGAGACTCATTGTCTAACATAAAGCCTTTGGTTAATTTCATTCAGTCTGTGTGGCAACGGAACTAACTGAAACAGTATTGCTTTTTGGTCGCAGCAGGCTAAGATTTCAATTCTCTGTCAAGAACTTGACACTCATCACATGGCTACTCATAGATATTTTTTAAAGGGGTACCTTCCATACATCAACCAAACAATCTTCCAACTTAAGTTGCATCCCAGTTAATTAGTTAATGGAATAGCTTGAAAAATATCCCTATGTAACATTTTCTGAATCACACTGCTACCTAATGAAGAATTAATACTTACAATAGGTAGCACATGAATCACTCACCTAGCTAGCATTAGCAGTAATCTCCCATTGTAAAGAATGGATTTCAATAGGACTCTATTATATGTTTTCACTGAAGTAAGGATCACTTACAATGTGAGGCTCTATGTCTCTCAAAATCCAAAGGCCTGAACTAGTGTTTAAGATGTAAGCTTGGGCACTCACTTTCCCCAGTGCCGGGGGTACCTGTGGCCTAGAGATCCTTGTTTAGTGACTGCAGCCAGACCTTGTAGACAGCTGCAGTGACTATGGGGATCACGGCCCCTGGCTTTACTGCCGGGGCTTAGGGACTGATCCACCACCACCCATGAGGCCAATCAGCCTTGACTTGAGACAGAAAATTAGTCTTTTCTAGTCAGGCGTGGTGGTTCACGCCGGTAATCCCAGCACTTTGGGAGGTCGAGGCGGGCGGATCACAACATCAGGAGATCAGACCATCCTGGCTAACATGGTGAAACCCTGCCTCTATGAAAAATACAAAAAAAAAAAAATTAGCCGGGCGTGGTGGCGGGCACCTGTAGTCCCAGCTACTCGGGAGGCTGAGGCAGGAGAATGGCATGAACCCAGGAGGCAGAGCTTGCAGTGAGCAGAGATCGCGCCACTGCACTCCAGCCTGGGTGACTGAGCAAGACTCTGTCTCAAAAAAAAAAAAAAAAAAAGAAAAAGAAAAAAAGAAAACTGGTCTTTTCCACCCATGTTGGCTCTTAACAGTTTTCTGGCTTCAATACAGGGAGAAGTGCCTGTCACAAGCATTGTGTCAAAATTTGAAAACATAGTCACTGTCTCTTAGACCTTAAGGCCAAAATCCTCTGAAGCATGCCATCTGTGTCTACCACTAACTCAGTATATTTTCCTTAAAGTAAGCTGATTGAATTCAATTTTCTGTGTGACAACTTTATGGGCAAGTTCACACTCTTGGTGGTGAGGATTTGTATGTCATTTAACTCAGCAGATTAATTATGTCCATGTTAATTACGGACAAATATTGACCTGAACCTTCAGACTTGGAAATCAGAAAACAAAATTTGTATGCCCAATAGAATTGGGTAGTTCATGTGATGGTTTTGGGTTACTGGGTTTTAAAATGAGAAAAAGGCAAAATGTGTGCATGCCTTTGGCTTACAAAGATTTTGAATTATCTCAAATTCAAGACTTGTTTATCCCAACTAATGAGAGAGGTACCCAAATATGAGGTAGTCTCATATAATATATGGGCTGAATAATCCTATACTAAGAATGCATAGTTTGTTGTTTTCTAGCCTAAAAGGGAATGTACAGTCACCTTGATTTAGAGCAAAGCCTTTTAGGGAAGTTCACATCCTGAACCATTGTAATGAGTCGCTAGTTTTAAGGGAACCAGATTGCTCCAGTAACTGTTGTTCTATGTTAAGTGAAAAGAGAAGTGCAAGGGTAGCCTGCCTTTGATACAAAAGTCAGCTGGTGGAGGGGAAGAGAATGGAGGATGAGGAGATAGGCTGCTGATATGATTACAAATAACTTCAGCGTCAGTGGTTGTTTTTTAAATACCTTTGGGTAGAACTAGATAAGATTGCTAAGGTAGCAATATCCACGTGTGTCCCATGTAAATTATTTCACATGCCCCATGAAAATAATCTGGCATTATTTTTGCAACAGTAAATTGATTAGAAAATCATTTGCTTCTTGCCTAATAGCTTTGGAAACTATATTTACATGACTGTTTAATTTAGGACTGTGAGGTTTTTTTTCTTTCAATGTTGTTGATTTAATTTCCAGCTTTCCCAGGAAAGCTAACCACTTGGAGATGTGCTAAGAGATTTTCAAAGGAAACTTTCTAATTTTGCATTAATTCTTGAGAAATGTAACTTTATTTGCTTTAAATGCAGTAGAGCTATCATCCTATGAGTATCAGATTTAGGCTTGCTTTGAAGTTTTTATTTCATGATCAGCATTATAAACTCACACTTCTGTCTACCCCGCTCTCATTGCTAAAGTTGCGATAACTTTATTTCCTAATTTTTTTTTTGCATTCTGTGAGAGTGTGTGGGTGTGTGTGTGTGTGTGCGTGTGTACATATTGAATAAAGGTAAATGGTAACTTATGCTCATAACCAAGAAGAATAATTACTAAATTCACAAATTGCAGGGGAGGAATGGGGAGGATGAATATTCTAATTCCATTTTCAAACCAATTATTTTAAGTAAAAGGTTATGCTTTCACCACGGGACATAATAAATGAGAAATATTCATATTTCCATACCAGGGAGGTTACATCAGTCAGCACTTCAAATATTAACAACTTTAATCAAAGCCGAAGGCTTCAACTAAATGACTGGATGTGAGTATTCAAGTGTAGAGTGAACTTTATAAATTATCTGTGGATTTAAGCATTGCATTTATACCTATATACAGTACAGCTGGCTCCCCACAAGCCTTCAGGACAGCTAGATACCACCTCTGAGCTTTAGACTTTTCCAGGCATATATCAGGTAAAGCTTCTGGACTCTACCAACTCCACCCCCTGCATCCAGATTTCAAGCTGTTCCAGGGATTCTCTTGAAGCTTCCCTCAGCCAGCCCAAGTTTTGGGAAAAGCACCCTGACATTTGTCCTCATTTAGGATGGACAGTCTCCCAAATAAATACACACTTAACATTGATTTCTAATCCTTTCATATATGTTCTGGAGGGTGGTGATGGGCTAGATCTGACATTATTATTTCTACTACCTTTCAGCATCTTTTGCATGTCCACACTTATTATACTACTCTCAACTT
Organism: Homo sapiens; assembly: GCF_000001405.40. Taxonomy (NCBI): domain Eukaryota; kingdom Metazoa; phylum Chordata; class Mammalia; order Primates; family Hominidae; genus Homo; species Homo sapiens. Next base: position 99,048,595 of record NC_000012.12, on the reverse strand, counting down.
CGGAGCTTTGACCTAAACTGGGATAGAATTATACTACAAATAAAATGCATTTAATCACTAAAATGTCATTGGAAGTAATATAGCTTTTCTTTTTCATGTAAAGTGAATTTACACTCTTGCAGTACCTCTGGGCCAATATTACAGAACAGGCATTATTAAAGCATTGATATCAGAAATAGTAAAACACACACACAATAAACAAGGCATTTTGGCCTGAAGAGACAGTTTTGAACACTCCGCAACAAATGAACTTCAGAAAAAACTGAAACTCTCTAATTATAGCCATTTATGATCTATCTCTGTGCAGAAAGGAAAATTGTGTTCTAATTACCCAGAAATTGCTACCTTAAAATTTTTATTTTAGTGGACATCTGTTCATTCACCCTTCTCGTGATTAAAATTAAAACATTCCAAATTTCCTCTGAAGAAGCCACCTCCATCTCTTCCCTATTCCATGCCTGAACATATGGCCTGGATCTTCAGAGCCAAGCTCGGCATTCCAGCCTCTGCCTCCACCTCTATGGACTACTAAGTATTCTTCATCAGGACCAGCTACCAGTGCAAAATGAAAATATAGGGCCCCTTGTTCAAAAATTATTAAAAATTTTTAGCCAGTAACATCAAAACATTAAAGCTAGCACAAGGCCCTTCTATCTGCAGGACCTTGTGTAACCATACAGGTCACACACCCTTGAAGCCAACCAAGCTCTTCATTCCTTTATGTAGACCCTTAGTTCCATCTGGTGTCATTTTCCTTCTACCTGAAGGACTGTCTTTGACATTATTCTATAGTGTGAGGCTGCTAGTGATAAATTTTCACAGCTTTTGTATGTCTGAAAAATACTTCATTTTGCCTTCATTCATGAAACATAGTTTTGCTGGGTATAGAATTCTAACGAACAGTACTTTAAAGATATTGCTCCACCAGCCTCTCTTCTGCTTTATTTCTAACAAGAAACCTGCCGCCATTTTGTTGTTCCTCTATACATAATGGGTCAGTTTTTTTCCCCCTGGCTGCACTGAAGGTGTTGTCTTTTTCACTGGTTTACAGCAATTTGATTATTACACACATTGGTATCATTTTTTGCATGTTTTCTATGTGCGAAGTTTTTTGAGCTTCTTAAATATGAGACTTATCATTGTCATCAACTTTGGAAATTTTTTAGTCATTATCTCTTAAATTTTTTTGTTTTTCTGAGACAGAGTCTTATTCTCTCATCCAGGCTGGAGTGCAGTGGCACAATCTCAGCTCACTGCAACCTCCGCCTCCCAGGTTCAAGCGATTCTCCTGCCTCAGCCTCTCAAGTAGCTGGGACTGCAGGCATGCGACACCACATCTGGCTAATTTTTGTATTTTTAGTGGAGATAGGGTTTCACCATGTTGGCCAGGCTGGTCTTGAACTCCTGACCTCAAGTGATCCACCTGCCTTGGCCTCCCAAAGTGCTGGGATTACAGTTGTAAGCCACCATATCTGGCCTCAGAATATTTTCTATTACTCACCTTATTTCTCCTCTCATTTGGAAACCCCAAATACATCAGTATTAGGTCATTTAAAGTTGTACTACAGTTCACCAATGTCCTATTCATTTTTTTTCAGTCTTTTTTCTCTCTGTGACACATTTGGATTGTTTCTATTGCTATGTCTTTAAGTTCACTCATCTTTTCTTCTTAGAATAGCTAATCTGTCACTGTTACTATGCAGTGTATTTTTTATCTCGGACATTATAGTTTTCATCTTCACAAGTTAGACTTGGGTCTTTCTTTTTCTTTTTTTTTTCTTTTTTTTTAAGACAGAGTCTCGCTCTGTTGCCCAGGCTGGAGTGCAGTGGCACAATCTCTGCAATCTCTGCTCACTGCAAGCTCCACCTCCTGGGTTCACACCATTCTTCTGCCTCAGCCTTCCAAGTAGCTGGGACTACAGGTGCCCACCACCTTACTCAGCTAATTTTTTGTATTTTTAGTAGAGACGGGGTTTCAGCGTGTTAGCCAGGATGGTCTCCATCTCCTGACCTTGTGATCCGCCTGCCTCGGCCTCCCAAAGTGCTGGGATTACAGGCATGAGCCACCGCACCCGGCCAGACTTGGGTCTTTCTTATATTTTCTGTCTCTATTAAACATGCTGTTTCCTCCAACTTGTGGAACATATGGAATACAGTTACAGTTACTGGTTTAATATCTTTGTCTTCTAATTGTAACACCTGTGTCAGTTTAGGTTTGGGTTTTATTGATTTTTCTCCTTGCTGTTTTTTTGCATGTCTGGTAATTTTTATTACACGCCAGACATTATGAATTTTACCTTGTTGGATGCTGGATTTTTTTTTTATTCCTACAGATATTTTTGGGTATTGCTCTGGGATACAGGAAAATTCTTTGAATAGTCTTTGATCTTTCAGGTCTTGCTTTTAAGGTTAGGCAAGGCAGAGTATTGTTTAGTCTATTGACAATACTTCCCCACCACGAGGGCAATACCCTTCTGAGTACTTGACCAATGCTCTTTGAATTTCAGGGCTTCCCAATTTGAATAGTTTTCAAATCTCAGTTTTACCAGTCCAGTTTGAACTTTAAAGACTATTCCTACTCATCTTTTCAGCTGGTTTTTCATTTGATTTTATACCATTTCCTCACATGCATGTACTGATCAGAACTCCCTGCTCTCTAATACTCTGCCTGGCAAACTCTAGCCACGCTAGTCTACCTGGATTCTCTGCTTCATCTTTTCTATTTAAGGAGTCTTGCAGACTCCTTCTGAATTCTTCCTTTCTGCTGCATGGCCTAGAAATTCTCTCAGGGGCAATTGCAGGCAAATGCAACTCATTTTGTTTGTTTTCCATCTCTCAGGGATCACTGTCCTTCAATGCCTCATGCCCGTTGCCTTGAAAACCATTGTTTAATATATTCATCTGGACTTTTAGTTGTGTCCATTGGAAAGATAAATCTAGCCCCCGTTATTCCATCTTGGCCAGAAGCAAGAGTTCATGCTACTTATGTTAATCCCTGTAGGTGAGGGCCCCATATCTAAAACAATTGAATTGAAATCTTTCGTGTTGGCACCTGGGTATCAGGAGGTCTTAAAAGCTCCTCAAGTGATTTTCATGTGCAGCCTGTTTTGCAAACTACTGCAACCAGTGGTTAGAGGGAGTCACTAAAGGATTTTAATAAGCGGAATGACCTGATCAGAAGCAGTAGATAGGGACCAGCAGCAGACACACTTAAGAAGGAAGAGCTGGCTGTGAGGGAAGAAGGAGCTGACTCAGCCAGTTCTGCTACACAGCTATTTCTAGCCATGAATGTATTAGGTGGGGCAGCAAAAAAAATTAATTTTTTAAAAAACACATGTGCCTCCATAGAACCTGAGGGTATCTACTGAATTAGAAGTTCATAAATATAGTAAATTTTTGTAATTATAACCCATGTATCAAGAAGAGAGTAGATTACAGTCAGTTTTCAAAGGAGGCAAGGGCAAATATAATACATTTCAGAAATGCTTTTCAACAGTGGCTAAAGCTGCTTCCGTTTGACCCTTAAAAGACTAAGCTTCCATTATTTGAAAATTTTACTTACTGTTTATAAAGCAAAGAGTAGGACATACAGTGTGTGTGTCAGGGTTTCAAATGTGCCCTCTCTTCTTTCATCTTTAGCTTGGAATCAGGTCACTTGACTTTGAATCTTATATCCGCCCCTCGGTATGTTGACCTTAAAAAAAGTCACTTACCCCCTCTGGGACTCAGTTTCTCATTTGTAAATAGAGGATAAAAAATACCTGCCCTGCTGGCTTCATGGGTTTCCTGTGAGACTCAAAATCAAATAAGAGCTTTCTATGATCCATCCCTTTCTCTTCTCCTCCTATTTTATTTGTCTTTTGCCTCTCTATGTTTTTTGTACTTCCCCAGATCCCTCCCCCAGAGTTACGCTGGGAGCTGGTCCCTTGGAGCCTATTTTCACAGCTTAGTTGCCATCTGCTTCTCCCAGCCAGAACTTACCTTGGGTGCATAGATAGCCCTGCTTGATATGCTAACTCTAGTTCCAGGATTTACTGCTCAGATGCTGTCCTCCCTCATTCCCATCTCCAACCCCATTCACCTGCCCTGGACTCTCAGCTTCCCAGTATGCCCAGGAGATAACATTTTCCCCTACCAGCCTTGTCCAAACCCTCATGGCTTACTCCTGCTGAAAGTCTTTCCGCTCCTGGACTTTGTAAATGTGAGAGGGAAAGACTCTCTCAGCTTTGTGTAACAACTGTCAGGGTGAATTAGCTTTTTTTCCCTGTATTTTGCCCACTTACCTTTTTTCCTGTATCTTGCTAATTTGGCATGAAGATTTTTGTTCTTTAAAGTATTTTCTTGAGATATTTAGGGCAGAGCCTGTTGCTAAAAAAAAAAAATTTTAATCCAGCTATATTTCTGTTAAAGTATGGTAAACTGCCTCTGTGCTTCCAAGAGCTTTGAGAGGGGAAATATTCTAGTAGATTATTATATAGTATAGAAAATACAAAAGCAAAAGTACTCCATATTCACAAATACATACACGAAATGCAAATAAACACTGTTCATGCCACTGTAGTGGAGAAATACTTTTGGTCTTAAGAGAAGATCTCAGATAATACTGAAAAGATAAACCTCTGCTCTCTTAAGACAGATGAAAGGAAAGCCAGATAGATTTTTTTTACCTGGAGAAAAACTATTGAGAATTTTGAAAACTAACATACACGGTGCCATGGCAGAGATTGATCATAAAGATTCAAAGTAAATTATAATGGTTAACACTATCACTGAGGTAGGTGTATAAGATTCGTATAAGCCATCATGGTGTATAAGCCATTACAGAAATAATTAGATGCTAGAGAAGAGAAGTAATAATGAGTTAGGTGATTTTATAGCTTGGGATTTATATCTGTTCTAAAGATGTCTTAGGGTGGCTTAGAGTTTTAGTTTACCTATTTTTGTAAAGAAATGTATTATGCTAAATTGGAAATCAGTGGTCTGAAAATCTTTTTGAACTTAAGGAAAGAGCTATTACCTTGAGCCTCAGAAAGCACACAAATTCTTTGCTTACAAGCCTTATGCCTGGCACCCTGCTGCCATCTGGTGGCAGCATACCTGAAGTCCAGGGCAAGTTACTGAACCCTAAAGCAATTTCTTAAATGCAGAAACTAACTGCAAAACAGAAATTATTCACTGCCAGTTTTGTATTAATCCCTGCTTCTGGAATTAATCTATAAATGAGTCAAGAGAGTTTTATTTTTGTAGATATTCAGGCAAACACTACATTCAAATAACATATAACTAAAACTATTTAACAAAATGGGGAAAACCCTCTACTGTGTATTCCACAAATTAGATTAATTTGAATAACAGTGTCCTTTTAAATATGCATATATTCTCTAGGAGAGTATTTTTTACCTTTTTATATGTTTTATGGAATAGCTACCTTAAAACATGACTATGATCTTTTTTAAAAAAATACTGCATAGAGTTGTGGGGATAAAAATATAAGTATTTTAGTCTTTACCCTCAAAAAATTTCCAGATTAATGCGGAAGACAACCATCTACATGAGTGGTATGGAGAGAAATATTAGGGGTAAACCCAGTATGAAAGTGGGTATCTATATCCCAAATGGGAACACAAGGTCTTCTCCTAATTAGGTGGTAGAAGTAGGCAGCAGAACAGGTAGAATGGAGAATCCAAAGAGTAAATGGCAGGCAGCCGTGGCTAAAAGCAGTCTTCCAAGATTTAGAAGACTGGTTGTAGAATCTCTGCTTTTCTAAAAGCACTTTGGTCAAGTCACTTAAACTTCTCTAAGCTTCAATTTCCTTGCCTCTGAAATTTGGATAATAGCATTATATCTGTCTGCTAGATATTGTTGTCAGGATTCAATAAGATAATCTAATAAAGCATTTTATACAATGCTTTGCAAATAGCATTCAATTTTTTGCTTAAAGGAGGGCAAATGGAGGGGCAGCTTCCAAGTTCCTAAGATTTATGGGAAGCATTATCAGTTATCCATTGCCTCAACAATGCTATGGAACAAGCTGTCTGAAAATGAAGTGGCTTAAAGCGATAGACATTTGTTTAGCTGAGCTTACAGTTTGTGGGTCAGCGATTTAGGCTGGGCTTGGCTGCAAATTTCTTCTGATCTCATCTGGCTCCCTCACATCTGGCAGTTGGCTCTAGTCTTCTGGCATATGAGAGTTGACTGACCTGGGGTGGTCTCAGCTGAAACAGCTGGGACTCCCTGTGCCCCACTCTCTAGTATGCTATCGCAGACATGTCTTCATAACAAAGAAAGAAACAAACAAACAAAAATGAGCAAGCGCTTTTTTACACCTCTACTTACATCACATCTGCCAACACTTGGCCAAAGGAAGCTATATGGAAAACTCAAAATCAGCTTGGGAGGGGAGGATATAGTTCACCTCTCAATAGGAGCAACTGCAAAATCACACGGTAAATAGCTTGAGAGTAGGGAAGGGTGAAGAAATGGGACCATTACTGCAATCAGTGCACCCCAGAGATTTTGGGGGGGTTGTTTTATTTTGGTGTTTTATGGGTTTTTTTGTTTTATTTTGTTTTGTTTTGTTTTGTTGTTGTTGTTTCGAGACAGGGTCTCACTTGTCACCCAGGCTAGAGTGCAGTGGTGCAATCAAGTTTCACTGCATCCTCAACCTTCCAGGCTCAGGCAGTGCTCCCTTCTCAGCCTCCCAAGTAGCTGGGACTAGGCGCACACCACCACACCTGACTAATTTATTTTTATTATTTGTAGAGACGGTGTTTCCTTATGTTACCTAGGCTTGTTGTGAACTCCTGGGCTCAAGTGATCCTCCTATGTAGGCATCCCAAAGTGCTGGGATTACAGGCATGAGTCAATGTGCCTGGCCCACAAAGGTTTTAATTAGAGAAAAGAAGAGAGATTTTAGAATTATGGATGATCTTATTATTGTTTGTAAGCCCCCACTCAAAATATGTGAAATCAAAACCATCTCAGAAAATCTAAGATGATCAATGGGGGCTCACCGGGGGGAAAAAAATGACCTGGATAGGGTACCATGCAAGGAGGCCTAAATGTATGGAAAACTGGGGGACAGGAACCCCAACCAATATTCAGTAATTGGAGAATGATAGATGATAAACACACTGTGTGATCATGGAATTGCTAGATATATAAAAAGCTGGAAAATTGTTTATTGAACTCATTGACCATCAAACTCAGCTATTTTAGAAAATTAAATTGCAAAGTATCTGTCTAATGAAAAATCATTTTCGTGCCTTGCTCAAATATTTGTTGCACATCCACTCTTCGCTCAGAGTGGGTGTGCAACCAATATTTTTTCATTGAATTTGATTCCTTAGGTTACTTGACTCCTCTAGATGAGCACAGGGAATAATAGTAGTAACAATAATGGGAATTTGTTTTAGTAACTCTTCCTTTATCTTCCCCTTCGTTAATTGTCAATCTTGCTCAAGAATTTTTTCTCAAACCTCCTTTCCCCAGTGTTATGTTCTTGGACAGGTTTCAGCTAGCAGACTCAAAGTAGATGGCTGCCAAGTACAGGTCTTTATCCCTGAGGTCCAGGCTCTCAACTCACAACGTCATCTCAAGTGTATTATTCGCATTCTCTTGCTCAGTGAACAAGAGGTGCTATGGAGTCATGGAGGAGACTGGGGACTCGGAGCTAGACTGCGGGGATTTGGATCCTGGCTATGCCTTTGCTATCATGATTATTAACCACAATCAGCCCCATCAGGGCATAGATTATTTTGTTGACTCCTGTATCCCCAGCTCCTAGAACAGTTTCTAGCACACCGGAGGTGGCAAATAAATACCTGTTGATTGACCTAAAGACACTTTTGTGTGAGAGTGTTCTAAGTCTGACATATATGTCATATATACATCATATATCCTGATATATTTCCCCTCACCTGAACCCTATGAGATGCACACTGTTGCCATTCCCATTTTACAGGTTAAGAAGTGTCTGAAGAGAACTGGTTGGATTTTGATGAGAAAAGCCACCAGTTCCTGTTATTTTATATTCACAGATGTATTGTGTCATGAAAGGCGGTACACTAGGCTGGTCTTGCAACAGAGATACGTTTAACAACAGAATGAACATCCGCAGTCTTTCCCTCATGTTCTCAGCCTTGCAGAGAAAGTTTCCAACAGTGTCTGTCAGGATGGCTGACTTAGGAAGTTCCATTTCTTCTTCGTGGCAGCCACTGGAGGGCACATGGTGCACAAGACGAACAGGGGTGCAACTTATGAGGCGTGCTGGTATAAATGACCCTGTAGTACCACTATACACACACACACACACACACACGCACACGCACATAGAGAGAGAGAAAGAGTGAGAGAGAACAGAGAGGGTGCCTGTTTCACCACCTCCCAAATGCCAAAAATGGAATATTGCCTTCCCTTTAGAAATTGTACTAAGGAAGGAGAAAGACCCATGGCCAGACCTACTTCATTATGGAAGCCCAAGAGGCAGGGTAAGGTAGAAAGACTTACAGTAAATAAGCAGACCCCAGGTGGCATCCTTTTTCCCGCAGTCCCCCCAAAAATAGAGAAACAGATACTCCCACACATGTATCTCCTTGTGACTGGCTGCAGCAGAGACAAACTACAATACAAACGCCACCTGAGAGAACTAAATCTATGAGTCATTCTCACTTACTGTGAACTAGTCTGATCTGATCATCAGCTGATGTATAACTTCACCTAGAAGGGCAGGATTTGGTGCTTTGAATATAGAGAAGGGGAAAAGGAGGATTTAGAACAAAGATTAAAACTGCAGAGGACGAGTTAGTGGGTGCAGCGCACCAGCATGGCACATGTATACATATGTAACTAACCTGCGCATTGTGCACATATACCCTAAAACTTAAAGTATAATAATAAATAAATAAACAAACAAACAAACAAACAAACTGCAGAGGAGCGCCAGAGGGAAGGCAGGCTTGGGTGGGCTGCAAGGCAGCAGAGTGGATGAGAGGCTGGACTCAGAGTCAGATGAGCCAATTTCAGTTTCTAGTTCCTTATTCCACTGGGGCAAGACACTTCACCTTTTACCAGCCCTTGTATTTGTGTGGGTTCATCGCGCCTCTCCACCAGACACCAAACTCCTTGAAGACCTGACTTCGGAGGGCTCAGCTGTATGTTCACACAATGCCCTTTACAAAGCAGGTGCTTAAAAATACCCACTGAATGAATTGCTGCCAGGGGAGGAATGGGAAAGAAAGACACAGAGGAAGACGTGGGAGGCAAAGTCATCAGAGACAGACTTCAGCGACCTACTTGACTGTGGAGGGCCACTTGGGTGATGCACACACCATCTCATTGCCATCCCTGGGTGCTGCCATCAGTTGGCATGTCCGGTAAAATGCTTCAGTTGAAAGGTAGTCCACACTCTATATATCTTTGTGAGGGCCCAGTATGCCTAGAAAGTGTCCAACTGGGAAGACGACATATGAAGAAGTATATGTAGTATTTATATTGAATGAAAATATTTACTGAACACCTACTATATGCCAAGCACTGTTCTAGTCTCTAGAAATGCATTGGAAACAAAACCAACAGAGCTCCTGCTCTTATGGAACTTACATTCTAGAGCTGGACAAAGACAATAAGCAGGTAACAGATAAGTCTGTAATATGATATCAGCTAGTGGCACATACTATAAGGAAACATAGAGCAGGGTAAGAGGATAGACAGTGACCAGATCTTCAGGAGGGTGATCAGGAAAGACTTCTTTAAGGAGGTTTCATTTAGGCAGAGATCTGAACCAAGTGTGGGAAGAAGCCATGCAGAGATCAGCACTCCAGGCTGAGGGAGCGGCAAGTGCAGATCCCCTGCGGCAGGACCGTGCCTGTTTGAGGACCAGCAAGGAAGCCAGTGTGGCTGTAGTAGCATGAGCCAGGGAAAAGGCTGATAGAAAAGATGTCACAGTGGTGGCCCAGGATCAGGTATTGTGAGCTGTGGAGAGGGGTTGCATAGTAATCTAAATGTGAGCATGAGCATCAGAGGGGTGTTAAACAGGAGAGAGATATGGTTTGGTTTATGCTTGAAAGGCTCACTTTGGCTGCTGTGGGAATGGGGATGGAGGTCATTGAAAACCTACTGAGGCATTCACCTAGTAGTCGGGGCAAGAGATGGTGGTGCCTTGTACTAAAGTGGTGTGGTGAAGAAGGTGAGAATATCTGAGTCAGGATTTACAAGGAAAATAGAGATGATGAATGTGATATTGATTGTAGATAAATCAAAGGAATTAAGGATCGGTGGAAATGTTTTTGGCCTGAGGTTTCTTGAGATTGGGAATATTTGTTAGGGAAAATTTGGAGGGAGAAATCAAGAGTTCCATTTGGACATGGTAAATTGAACTACCTAGCACACATTTCTAGAAATCTCCAGAAGCAATGATACATAGAAGCATTTCAGCTCTTCTCTGCATTTAAAACAAATGATTCTACTGATAATCATTATGATCCATGGCTGAGAAAAACCAATGTGTGGCCAAAAAACGTTTCTGCGCTCTGTACCCCATGTAAAGGCTATCCTTTCATGCAGAAGCTTTTTCACTTTACAACCTGCTATTACATCAAGCAGCCGGCCTGGAGTTTGGGGAATAGAGGTGTGCCCTTTCTCTACCACCACACACCAGGCAACGTGTCCTCAGCTATTGACCTGCTATTTGTCACGGCACTTGACTACATCCTTAAGACAGCATCCTTGTGTAGATATAGGAGAAAAATGATGGTACAGGCTTCACACATAATGATTGACAACTTGCCCACAGCAGGAATGTAAATTATTTCATTCATTTCCAACTGGCTCCCCTGGCAAACAGCTTTTTCACACTGACCTGATAGTACCTTAAAGGAAAAAAGCCTCAGGGTCTTTAGTCCTGATGTTCAAAATCAGACGCTAAAACACAGTGACTTCCTTAAACTGAATTTGAAATAATCGCCTAAGCAGTTAGCTTATTTTTCATTAAGGCCATGTATTCTACAATCATCTGCCTGTGTGCCATAGATGCTTTTGATAAAATTCAGTTCACCAACCAAGAGTATCAAGTTTCTGTAAGAATTTTTTTTTTTTTTGAGACAGAGCTCTGTCGCCCCAGCTGGTGTGCAGCAGCGCTATCTCGGCTCACTGCAACCTCTGCCTCCCAGGTTCAAGCCTCAGCCTCCCGAGTAGCTAGGATTACAGGGACCCGCCACCACACCCAGCTAGTTTTCTGTATTTTTAGTCAAGATGGGGTTTCACTATTTTGGCCAGGCTGGTCTCGAACTCCTGACCTCGTGATCTGCCCACCACGGCCTCCCAAAGTGCTGGGATTACAGACGTGAGCCACAGCGCCTGGCCATGTTGCCATAAGAATGTTTAGTTTGGTTTACCTTGGCTTGAGACACAATGCTGACTATAAGTTTTCAAGTGGACAGCTCTTTGGTAATATGTAAATAAACTGCAGAGACATTTTGAACGTGATGGGATAAGTGAGGTCTAGTATTTGCATAGCCCTAGTCTAACGACAAAAACATCTACTTTGTTCCACTCTATTTCATGGAACCTAGAAATACCATCTATTATAAGATGCATCATTATGTTATGCATTCCTACAAAAGAAAAACAAGTGCTGCCAATTAATCTGTGACACAGAGCCTTATGGTGATTCTGTCCAACACATAAACCCATCACAGCCTCACACAGATTGAACATTTCCTTCATATAGAGGGCTTTGTCAATTACTCCTGCCTTTGTTGAGTTCCTTGGCATGTAACATGTAATCTTTTTCATATATTGCAGTAACAAAGCATAATAAGGCCTCATGCATTTGTGGATATCTTCCTTCCTTCAGACCCACAATGCACATGGTTACTGCTTTTAAAGGAAATATGTCATTGCAGTCTCTTCTCCAGTGAAGTTATTTGCTTCACAAATATCAAATTATCCTCTCCCTACTGTATTTGTATCTTTCCAAGTACTGATGCCAAATTATAATGTAATCATTTTGAACACAGTTTAAATGCCAATTATACTCAACACATGAACAGCTATGACCAAGCATGTGGGTATGGGCTATGACAACCATGTGATGGCAATTGTGAGGCACTGTGGATTGTAAGATGCATTATCATTTCACAGATGGTAAATGAGGAAAAGTGTGTGTTCTAGAATCAGTGAAATAACTGTGTAAGGAAGGTATTGTGGGAGTCCACAAATGAATAAAACAGTTTGGGTCTTGAGTTAATATTTTCCTTTTGCTTAAGAAAAAAAAAAACCTCCCATTCTTTTTTATTTCCATATATATAAGATGATACTGTGTTCATATACCAAGAGTGGCCTCAGATTCTGTCAGGATATGGCAATATAAATGAAGTCACTTCAGGAATCTAACTTTTTCAGTCATGGTAGTTGTCAGGCATTGACACCACTGACTTCTTATGCTGCTGCAGTCGCTCATGTATCTCCTGCCTCAAAATCACTGTGCACACAGAGAAACTATCAAAATCACCCCCAGGGAATGCAGAGAGGTGCAGGCCCTGTGTGATTGGAATACTCAAAGCAAAGCCAACTCGGCAGTCATTGCAGCTGGGAGGATGGGAGAGCTGCTGTCAGAGCCAACAGGCTGTCTGCATCAGGATGTGCCCTGAGCAGCTCACCCAGTGGAACCTCAGTCGCTTTCAGACCAAACCACAAAGACCTGAAGCCTCACCCTTCCCGAAGCCCAGCCATGGCCACGTGCTTATCATTAACCCCTGCTGCCTTTTCCACTTTTTCCAGACATGCCCTTACTCTGATTCTAGCCTGGATATCATCTGATTCTTTGCAAACTCCAAGTATATTCCTGCCTCAGGGCCATTACAGTTGCTCTTCCCTCTGCCTGGACCGCTTTACATGCATCTCCGTCCTTCTCCTTTGTTGGGGCCAAGAAGAAAGTTGCCCTTGGCCCTCTAAAGGTTTGCTGAAAAATCAATTCACATTCAAGCAGATTACTAAGAGAAAAGGCATACAAATTTATTTAGCATGTAAACATGGGAGCCTTCAGGATGAAGACCCAAAAATACTGGGGAGATTGTCCATTTTTACACTTCGTTTCAACAAAGTATGGACAGCTGTGCCGAAATATTATTGGACCAAAAAAAGGGTCTGATCTAATGCTAATAGACTGAGTGAAGAAAGCCAGGAAGGCCTGTCTGTCTAGATTCTTCTTGGCCCCCCTGAGCATGCATTCCTTCCTTCTCTGTGTTGGGCAAGACCCTCTCTGGAATGGGGGTATTACGACCTACAGTCAAACAAGGTAAGTCAGATAATTTCTCTGTGGCCAGTTTTCACATAGAAAGGTGGAGGGAAAGTTAGAGTAATATTTTTAGATTTTATGGCTGGCTTTGGGGAAGAAGGGGTCTGGTTTCTATGACCCACCCTGGGGAAGAGGGATCCTAGTTTCTATAGCTAGCCTCAGGAGAGAATGGGACTGAGAAACAGGAGGGCAGGAGAAGGTCAGAGAAAAACTTTTGCTTCTGAGGCTGCTTCTGAGGCCTTCATTTTGGGGTGTTGTTTTCTAAGCCCCAACACCTTCCACATCATCTCAGCTCACATCATGTCACCTCCTTGGGTCAAGGCCTTCCTCATCGCCCAAACTGAGGTGGTATCTCCTGACCATCTATTTCTATCATGTTACTCTGAATATATGTGCATTTGTTATCTGTTTGTTTTTATAACCCTAAATCTCCTCCAGTGTCCTTCACCCTGGAGAACACGTGCTCACCTCTGCACTGTCAACACCTGAAACACATAGAAGATGTTCAAAAAGTATTTGATTAACATATGAATGAATGCACTCAGCTTGATTCCTAGCTCATCAGTAGTTTTTAAATACTTGGCTTAATATCATGTTCTCCTCCAGCTCCTCTCCATCTTCCTATCTTTCATCAACAAGACTTCACATGTATAAGACTCCATGACTCCTCGGATTAAATTGCTTGTCAGGTGCAGTGGCTCATGCCTGTAATCCCAGCACTTTGGGAGGCCAAGGCAGGTGGATTGCTTGAGTCCATGAGTTTGAGACCAGCCTGGGCAACATGGCGAAACCCCGTCTCTACAAAAAATGCAAAAACTAGCTGAGCATGGTTGCACACGCCTATGGTCCCAGCTACTCAGGAGGCTGAGGTGGAAGGATTGCTTAAGCCCAGGAGATCAGGCTGCAAATGAGCAGTGATTGTGCCATTGCACTCCAGCCTGGGTGACAGACCAAGACCATGTCAAAAAAAAAAATAAAATAATTAAGGTGCTCAGTTCTCTTTTCCTGAAAGCTTATTACAACTATAGCCTCCAAGCTCTACTCTGCTCTCTGCCCTGCCGCTCTCTTGCATGCAGGGCCTTCCTGACAAACATGGTTCTTCTCCACTCCTATTGCTGCTTTGTACGACTACAGAGCTCTGGGTGGCTTATTTGTGACAGGGGTGTCTATGAATGTCTGAATGAGCAGTCACACAGCAGTCTGGGGTGAGCTCTAACAAGCGCTGCTAATTGGCTGCCAGATCCTCTCCTCAGCCCCAGTGTCATTCCCTTTCGCACCTGCCAATGTTGGCTCAACACCCAAGGGTCTTCCCAAATAGCTGGAAGCTAGAGGAATTTCTAGTCCTCAGCACTTCTCCAGGGCACAGGCAACTTTACTGCTCAAGCTTTTTCTACTAATAGGGATCACTACCAGTCGTGAGTTTTTACAAGCATATATTGGTTTCTACTCTGCGGAAGGGGGATCTAAAATAATTAAAAGGCTCCTGACCTTGTAAAGGGTGTAATCTGAAGATAGTCAACCATAGGAGTCTTATTTTGCTCTGATTATTACCAGCAATGTGTGTGTGTGTTCACACACGCACCTGAGTGCAGAGGAGTTAAAGCAATAATGATACAAGTTACTTTTTTTTTTTTTGAGATGGAGTCTCACTCTGTCACCCAGGCTGGAGTGCAGTGGTGCGATCTTGGCTCACTGCAACCTCTGCCTCCTGGGTTCAAGTGATTCTCCTGCCTCAGCCTCCTGAGTAGCTGGGATTACAGGCATGCTTCACCATGCCTGGCTAATTTTTTGTGATACAAGTTACTTCTATAAATTGATTTGAATTTTTAAGAGTGACCAGCAGAGAAGGTCTCTATAAGCATTTGGCTCTACCACCCTGGAGTATAAATGGCACATTACACAAAATATTATACACCATGACTACTAAATTATAAACCTGCATTTCTTATATGTCCTTATATGTACTGCAACTACTTACACACTTAAAAGTGCATAATGATTACTTGATTGAATAAATAAATGGTGTTGAATAAGGCAACTGCTAATAAGAGTCAAGGTCAGTTTTTAATCCTCACTATACATAAGAATAACTTAGGAGACTTTTATGCACAAGCTCATCCCCACATATTTGCATTCATTGGTTGAAATGGGTCCTGGGCATGCATTTTTAAAGGTTCACCAGGTGACTATAATGTGTAACAGGGTTAAAAACCATTGACCTGGGTAGAAAGTAATTCATGCCTTAAAACTAATAATCCAGCCTATGTCAAAGATTATGGTGAATAATTTGCAAGAAATGTTTTGCCTGAGTTATACTAAGCCTAGTAAATACTCTTTAATATCACTACCATGATATACTTACTGATCTGAAGTCACCTATTTTTTACTTTAACATGAGAAATAAAGACTAAAATGTAATCAGAGAAATAATTCTTTACTTTAAAATGTGAAATAAAACACGTGTTTCCTGAAACAACCTTAAATTCTGATGCAACACAAAACTTAAATTGCCATAAATGTTTCCTCACACAGCTTAAAAAAATCAAAGTTCATGAGACCCAACAAAAATAAATAAGGAAAGTGGAATAAATTTTCTAGAGTTGTAGTAGATTGAATGGTGGCATTCCAAAAGATATGTCCACGTAGAACCTGTGAATGTGACCTTATTTGGAAAAGGAGTGTTTATAAATCTAATTCATTTAGGATCCAAGATCAGATCATCTTGGATTAACAGGATAGGCCCTAAGTCAAACAAGTGTTTTTATAAGAAAAGAAGACAGACAAAAGAGAAGAGGAAGCAGAGAAGGCCATGTAAAGACAAGACGAAGATTGGCGTGATGCTGCCACAAGCCAAGGAACACCTGGAGCCACCAGAAGCTCAAAGAAGCAAGGAAGGATTCTCCCCTTGAGCCTTCAGAGGGAGAATGCCCTGCTGACACACTGATTTCAGAATTCTGGCCCCCAGAACTATAAGAGAATAAATTTCTGTTTCAAGCCACCCAGTTTATGGTAATTTATACAACAACCTTAGGAAACTAGTACAATAATATTCTTGTAACAGAAGCTGTGATATCAGCTTTAAATGTTATAACCTAGTATTTGTTAAAGGAACCTCAAGTTGCAATAGACTATGTGATAAATGGAGGCCATCCTCAGTCAACTGTAAGTCATGACCCCCATGAGGGTTTGGGCACGATGGCTTCCCTCCACCTCTTTGCTATGTTGAGTTAGAAATTAAGGCTTTAGGAAATCAGATCCAGCCACAGAAGAAGGGCCTGCCTGACAGTAGGCATAAAGAGAACTATTTAGGATTGAATTTGTTAAAGATTAGCTACATTTCATTTTTTAATTGAGGCCAAAGTAACCAATTTCTGTTTCATCATTAGGGCAATGTTTTTATTTGGGGTTTGAATCAGTTAGGAATGCTTTTAGCTTCAAGTGACCAAAACCTGACCACCAGGGATTGAAATCATAAGGACATGAATTGTGTTGGTTGGCAAGAGGCATGGAAATGGGCACTTGTTAGCTGTGCCATTTAGGACCAGAGCCTTTCTGTCTTTTTGCTGTGCTCTCCTTAGCATGATGGCACTTTGTCCTCATGCTTTTGTGTTTTTTGCCTCATGACTGCAGAGTGGCTATGGCAGCTTCTGTCATCACATCTGCATTCCCAGATGGAGGAAGGGGAAAGGGAGCAATGATAGAGATGTGTGTTCCTTTTATCAGGATATCAAAAGTTCTTCCAGTATCTTTCCAGCAGACTCAGGTTTACACCTCATTGGCCAGACCATGTCACACAGCCACCGTCCAACTTGCAGGAGACTGGGAAAGTGTGTCTTAGCTTTTTCCAGGCTCTGCAGGAGAAAACAAGCAAGAGAGAGGAAATTGGAATGGATTTTACTGGCCAACTGGTAACATCTGTCACAGAGCTATAGAAACCACTCAGAACAGTGAGTCCTCAGGAAAGGTCTTTAATACTATTTATCAATAATATGCAATTAAATGACAAATCCACAAACCTGGAATTCCTGGCATATGATTTAGAACTAAGGAGAAAGAACTAATTTCTTTAATCAATTTGACTTGGAATATGTCTAGAAGGTGTAAGATGATTTCCAAACTTTCCTTATAACCCCATCAAGTGTATAATTATTCAAATCGTGTATCCATGTAGAGATTATTAGGCATTTTACGTTAGTAGCACCAGAAGAAAGTAAAATTTTGAAATTCCTTTTAAAGGGTCAAAACAGAAATGGAAAATAAAGAAGGAATAGTTCAAGTTGTGACCAATTTTGTTCCATCTTTGTTTGACTGAGTCTGTGCTCTTCTTGGCCCTTCTTGCAGAGACAGATGGGTGAGCTAGGGTAGACGGATTCAGAAAGAGAGAAGTCAGAAGTTAGAGACATGTTCATCTTGATTGCACTGTGGTCTCAAAATGACCCTTCTTTGCATATGTATAATTTTAAATCAATGGGAGTGGTAGGGTCTGATCAATTCAGTTCGATAATCATTTACATCTACTTACTGTATGCCAAGCACTATGCTAGATGATGGAGAGACAACTGGTGAGTAAGAATTTCCTTTGAAGAGTTCGCATTCTAATTGAAAGCAAGTTAACAGTTATAGTACAGTTCAATAAGAACCACATTCAGGGTATACATAGGGTCACATACAACAAGGACCTTAAAGTGAGCCTAGAGGAGGAGAAAGAGATCAGGAGTATCTTACTGGAGGAGGTATATGGTACAGGAGGAGGTACCGTACTGCATGTGCTTAGTTGGGAGAAAAAACTACAGCTGGATTTGATGCTAAGATAGGAATTTAACTTCTTTTTCATTAGACGGGGGTGGGGGTTGGGGGGAAGCTGGAAGAAGGCAATGGGGTAGATAGAGGATAAAGGGAAGGCAGTGGGCTGTTGACTCCCATGTGTAACTACAAAGATCCAGAAAAGGAGCTTAGAACCAGGGTATGTAGAAGCACCAGTCGCCCCCACCATCACCATGGTCATAACAGCATGTGGCACCTATTTCCCCCTACAATACAAGGCTGAAGCAGCCTCTGCCAGCCCCTGCACTTGCTGGGGAGCAAAGGAAGCTGCCTGCACAGGGACTGCAGCCATGCAGTTGATGTGGTGGTGCTCTTTGACGTGTGCCCAGGCAGACTGCCAGTCACTCAACCTTGAAAATCAGAAGAAAGCCAGTCATTGCAAGACCCAGTTTTTGAGCCAGAGGGAAGCCAGTGTCAGGACTGGGAACACATTATGGTTTCGTGACTGTTCCCAAGGCAGGTGACCAGGATAAATTCCCTCTACTTTCCTGAAGCATTTTAATAGTGCTTTAGAGTTGACAAAGCTTTCACACATCTCAGATCACTGTTTGCTTATAGTCTGGTAAGGCAGGTGTTACCATTCCCATTTTACAGCAGAGGAAGGGGAGGAGCAGGAACTCACACACATTCCCACATTGAGAACATGGTGGAGCCAGGGCTCAAGCCCAGGTCTATTCACATCCAAATCTCTTTCCATAGAGACCCCAGCATGCCTTCAGTCAATCTTCTTTACGTCACGTGTAAAGCTGCCTTCTTCCAGAACTTCTGTTAAACATTAAGTACATTTCATGCTGCTGAGTTTCCTGCCAAACATTGTTAAGAATATGCTTCTTATGCATTGTTAGTTTCCTGTGGAAGAGGCTTCCTCCAGTCTATGTTTTATTGATCAACCTGCTCTCACTTTCCTCACCGCTTACCCTGACAAGTACTTCACTGTAGATTGTGCTGTTGAAGGAGTACATGGGGAGAAAGATAACAGTGCTCTAAAGCGTGAGCAATTCACCCTTCATACAGGTAACCTCAGGTAAACCTCCATCCTGCAGCAGCCCAGACAACTTCTCCAGTACGAACAAAGTTGAGTCCTTTATTTAATATACAGCATGTGGCTCAGGGTGGGAAAAAAATGGAAAGAAGAGGTGGTTTCATTAGATATTTACCATGTCAAGGATGGATCTCTGTTTTGTAAAATCTGTACCTTGCTGGGGAAATGGGGATTTTCTTTTCCAATTCAGATAATCCCAACTCGAAAGAGAAGCAGCTGGAATCAGTATACAGCATCCTACTCTCATGTCATTTTTAGTATCATTACCTATCGTTGGTTAAGCCAGCAAAATCTTTTATTTCTTTTTTATTAAAAAATAATTATGCATCTTTGCAAGTAGGCTTGATTCACTTAGCACAGATAGTAACTACAGCTCTCAGTTTAGATTTTTCTCTGGTTTCTTTATATTGTTTTGTGTCTGCTGCATGAAAACTTTTTATTAATGAACTTGGTTGCAGTTAAGGGCAGCCATGGTCCCTTTTAAAGATAAAATACTATTTAGTATTCATTAAAGGAGTTATAAAAATCCCCTGGCTGTACCTGTTCTAATTATTCCTTCTTCTAAAAACCATTGAAGTTCATATTAAACAAGTATGTAACATATAAAAGCAGCTGTCCTGACCATGAAAAAGGAGCCAGTTCGTCATTTCTGAGCTGCCTTAGGTAATGAGCAATTAGAGAATGTAGGTAAAAATCGGTGCAATACTTAAATCTCATTATTCTTTTGTACAGCTATGGTTATTGTCTTCTTCATCCAAGGATTGATTGAAGTAAAATAACCTTCATAGGTGACCATATCCTGAAATTCAGGAAGGGAATAATTAAGCAGTAAAAGGCTTATAATTTCCAATCTTGTGACTAAATTTTCTCTCTAACCTGTGGTCTCATCACCTCTCTGCCATCTGGATCCATAAACAGATCAAAGCCCAGAAGATGTCTCAGGACTTTTATAACAGAAGCTAAGTGGGAATAAATGTATAATGTATACATACATTTAAAAACACACTGTCCTTTGACGCTATAGCTGTTGTTACAATGTCTCCCCATACTTTTACTCCCTAAAGCAACATCTTAGTCTTCCCATTGAGCAAAAACAATGCTTGAATTATCAGCTACCCATGATCTTTGTCATTTCAAACAATAGAAAATAAAATTCAGAGTTGAGAGAGTTTGGCTTGCACAATTGCAGGAGGAATAGAAAAGTATGAGGATATAATTAACAATAACCAATGTTCATATACATTTTGTTGTGTGCAAATCATTCTTCTGATTGCTTTCCATGTATTAATTTTTTAAAAAATATTTAATTCACTCATATAAGAATAATGATAACAAATGACATTGGACACAGCTCTGAATTGTAAATAACTTTTTGTATAAACATCTAGTCTAGATTTTTCTTGTTTATTGCTTCTGAGAAAAAGGTTAACAACTTGTTCCTTGATTATTCTGCAAAAATATTTGTGAAAGTTCATAGATCTTTTGATATATGCATTCTCTAGAGTAGCTATGGCAATAATCATAACAAATGACATTTTTAAAGTACCTTGGAGTTTATACAGTAAAGTATATCTCCCATATAATAATGTTCTTTTCTAACAATACATTTTCAGGATGGCAGGATGAGTATTAATTTTCTGCTTTGCATATGGGGAAACTGCAGTTCAGAGAAGTTAATAAATTGCCCAACGTCAATGCAAGACATGCAGGCACAAGCCTGTCTGATGGCATGTCTCTGTGCCCTTTGCACTGGGCCACAGACTCAGTCTGGCACCCTTCGGGGTGAGTCATGGTTCCTTAACATAAATTTCTCATCCATGGAGTTGACAACCTCTTTAATTTAGTGGACTCTTTCACTCTATTAAAGAAAGCAGTATAATATGCTGGAAGTTTCATGCAGTCCTCTGAGTAGCCATGAAACTGTTTATCAAGTCATTTGACATCACTAGTTTCTTCATCTGGAAAATGAAGAGTTTGGGTACCTGATATCTAAGGAACTCTGACTCTCTGATCAGCACATGGTAGGCCCTCAGATAACTGGTTAATAACTCAATAGCTAATGTCCAACACAGTGAATTAGCAATTATGTTTCTGGTCAAGATGTTTTTTACTGTGTGCTTAAATAGATCTATCAAAAGAAATCGGTCATTTTGTGGAAACATTTGTCTTCAACATATTTCCAGTAACAAGACCCATGGGAAATTATGTAGAAATGCACATATTAAACGTCTGAAGGACCTCATGATTCCATTCTTTAAATATGCAGATTGTTTTGATTATTTTATATTAACATAGAAAAATCATACTCAGGAGAGTTAAACCTGAACTCTCTGTATAAATAACTTATTCTGGATCTCTATTATTTGAGAAGCCAGATACACAAAGACTCAAACTTCTCAAACTTACAGACTTGTAAATTAGAGAGTACTCATTCACATTACAAAAAGGACTTTCTGCTTTACAAAAGGATTCATCCCCGCATTTCTTTAACTACAGGCCTGATAGATTTATACAATGCACATTTTCCTAGATGCTCTAAATTCACTGTTAGATCCTAGCTATTTTAACTAGTCCTATGGCGAGTCCTTTTGTTATGCAAATTCATCCCTCTAATTGATCTGTTTTGTATATTTGTAATTTTCTTTCCTGTAAATCTGAATTTGCTAAAGCACCCTATCCTTGTAAAAGAGGTCTCTGCATTTAAGTTCTTGGTTGCAAATGCAATGGACTCCCTGTTCAGGTAACATGGCAGAGTAGTTAGCCTGAAAATGTCAACTAAAAACATCTGAAAAATCTAGATTTTTTTTTTTTAATTTTTAATGCATTTCTGAACTAGAAGGAAAATAAATAGCTCTTCAGGGGACAGAGAATAATAGAGAACTGAAACTCACAGCAGTAAAGCCCAGATCTGACTCTTTGTCTACTCTGGGGAAGGGCTGTCTTAGGTAATCTAGAGGCTGATGTCTTAATATCCACTGTGAGGCAGGAGATAAGGTCGTCTGTCCCTACTCCTATAGGGAGTTGGAACAGAGACCACCAGAGTCTAGAACCTAGAGAAACTCCACTCTAAATAACAGCGTAAGTGTGAACTAATATGCCCATAGGTATAGGGAAATAACTGGGTAAGTTGTCTTCTCAGCCTCTGTTCAGAATGGCGAAATAGAGACTCTTCCTTGAGAACCCAGAACCACTGTCAAGTAACTCATTTTAAGTTTGGCTATTGGTCTAGAAAGCTCCAAAATGAAAAATTTACATTAAAATTAATCCAAAGCTGGAGATACTTCAAGGGTGGTAAAAGAAATAAACACAAAATATATCCGTAGATACATACCTTCAACTAAACTAGTGTAATATGGTTTTATACTATGTCAACCTAGCTAAACTGGAATTACATTCTCAGAATTTATTTCTTTGTGTGTTTCTCAATTTGGAGTAGGCCATAAAGCACATTGGTCTGGGAACTGAAGGGCACAAATGAAGAAGCCACCATTTTATACTCTGAAACTCAATATATGACACCAGGCATTGGCAATTTGCACATGTTGTCACTAATCTATTAACCCACCTTATTGACACTGAGAAGCACCTAGACCCACAGTTCTCCAGCTTCCAGTGGATTTCCTTCTTTGACTTCCTTCAGTCCTGGGCCAAGTGTATGTGCAACTTCAGGATGAAGGGTTCAAACTTCTCTGCAGGTCACTAACATTATTGAAGTTAGAGATCATGAGAGACAGAGTCAAATTCCAGTTTGTCCTGGTGGGCTCCATTTTGTCTTCTGGGGTTCCCGTCTGACCTTGTGGGTTCCAGTTTGTCCTTGCCCTTTCCTATTTCAAATCCAACTCTCATTCCTGATTGCCTTCCAGCTTATCTACAGTGACCCCAGGTCCAGTAAATACCACATGAAAAAGCAACAGCCTGACATGGACTTCTTAACCAGTTCCCCAATTGTACAAGGTCTAATTAAATCCACTATTCTATTTCATTCATGACGATCCGTTTTTCTGATCAACTCATGACTGGTACAAATGTGATTCTTTCAAATGAACTCAAAACAAATTATGAGTTTACATTCTAAAATTGTAAAACACATGAAGAATTTCTGCCATATCTTTTTTGAAGGGTCTTAGTATTCTCATTTGATTTACTTTTTCTGCTCAATCATTTTCTCAATCTATTATCCTCAAATAGAGCTTCTAATCATTTACATTTTAAAAATATCATATTAGAGGCAGATGAAGAGAAAATGTATGAATCGTATTCTGAGTTCTTTTAGGTGATGGTTAATCAGGTGCAGCACAGGGGACACAGGAAAGCCACAAGAAAACAAAGTTTATTATTACTTTCACAGGTTCTAGAGAGGGGGGTACCACATGCCATACAGAGTTACCGGGGAATCACCAGGTTTTGGTCAGGTGGCAGAAGACAGAAGTAAGAGGAAAACCAAAACTAGAATTTTATTGGAGCTTCCGTGGGACAGGAAGCGTGAGGGAGGGCAGGATAAACTTCTTAGAATTGGTTAGTTTGAATAATAACTGCAGGCTCTAAACTATAGAGATAGTCCCTAATTGCCTGGTACATGGCCCTGGGATGATTAAGACACAAGCATATTTTTCCCTGGGGGTGTACAGGCCACACAGAAGATACACAACTTGGTTAATTTGCAAATCTAAAGTACGCTCCTAACTGAGTCCTTTGCTATCTCTAAGAATTGGCTAGAGCCAGGAAGGGCGGTCTCTTTACAGCAAGAAAGGGTTTTTTAAGATGTCAAAACATCATAATATACAGAAAATTTAAAACATATAAAATACAAACTGGAAGATCAATTTAATGAAACTATCCCAAATTCAGCAAAAGATGCAAAATATAAGAGGATAAGGCTCAAATATGTCTATCCAATGACCAATCAATCTAATTCCTAGGAATACATCCCAGAGAAATTCTCAAAAGGGTCTATAAAACCCATGTAAAAGAATGTTTATTTGATCATTGTTTGCACAGCAGGAAGTTGGAAGTTCCCTGAGTTTCCAGCACTGAAGAGTGAATCAGGGAAATGCAATGACAGCACATTATATATTAAGATGCAGCAGTTAGAAGCAGTGAACTAGATAAATATACAGCAACATATATAGATCTTTAAAACAGAATGCTGAATATAGAAAGTGAGAAATAGGTACTTTAAAAATACATAATGTTCTTTAGTGGGTATATATTTTAATTTATACAACTGTGGTACTGTGCTGTTGCTTATTCTAACAAATACATTAGATTCCTATGGGAGAAGGAAAATATAAGTGGGAAATGAGAATAAAGAGGAATGATTAAACAAACAACCAAGGGAGAAATAGTACACCCACTGATAACAATAGTGTGCCATGAACTGAGCAACATGATTACCTCAATTCTCGGCACTGCAAGTAAAAACAAAACACAACAAATATATATATGTAATCTTTATATAATTAAATTAACTATAAATTAAAGTTATATATAATTTATATAGAAATTAAACTTACATATGATTAATTTTATATACACAGGCAATATGCATATAAATACACATGTATATATACTTTTATCTATAATATATACACAAAATATATGTAATATTCATATACAAATATATATATTATATATGTGTGTATGTGTGTGCATATTCACAGAGAGGTATATAGATATGTTAAAAAGAGACATAGAAGTAATGTTTAATCTATGTCTCATAAGAATTCCACATAGAGAATATTAAAAGAATGGGAGAAAAGTACACTTTAATTGATTTGATTAAAGTCAAGAATCCTAAATAGGGTAAATAAAAAGAAACTCACAACTAGAGCCATTACACAGTGCATCCTTGGTGAAACACAGAACATCAAAGACAAAGAGAATATCTAAAGAAGAAACAAAGACAAAGATATTACCTAAGAGAAGGAGGAAGAGCAGGAGGAGGAGGAAGAGCAGGAGGAGGAGGAAGAAGAAGAACCTTTCAATAACAACAATACAATTCAGAATAGAATTCAGTGTCTTCAAAGGATTTATACCCAGCTATCTAAAATTCAAGAATAAGAATGAAAAAGGGCATTGTCAGAAAAAGACTTTAAAACTTTGCTATTAGCTGAAGAACTGTGAAGACTGTAATTCAGAAATAAGAAAGCTGAACTCAAAGGAAAAAGTGAGAAGAAAGAGACAGTAGTGAGTAAAGAAACTGGTAAATATGTAAGTAAAACCAAATGAACATTGGCCATGTAAATCAAGAATGAAAAAAATAACCAATAACAGTGATATAAAAGCAGTATAGCAAACATTGGTATATTGGCCAACTATTATATAAAATATTAGACAACAATAATATGTAAAAACAGAAGGGGATTTATCCCAGGAATGTACGATAGTTTAACATTGGAAAAGTCTGTTATGTAATTCATTACATTAACAGATTAAAGGCCAAAAAATATGTATTACTATGTTAATACAAGCCTATGAACATCTGACAAAATTCAATACAGATTTACAGTAAAATTTTCTTAGTAAACTAGGAATTTAAGGAAAATTTCTTAGCCTAATTAAGTTTATGTATGAAAAACCTACTTAAGGAATGGTGGCTTATGCCTGTACTCCCAGTGACTCAGGAGGCTGAGGCAGGAAGATCCCTTGAGCCCAGGAGTTTGAGGCTGCAATGAACTATAACTACACCACTGCACTCCAGCCTGGACAACAGAGAGAGACCCCTGACTCTAAAAAAAAGAAAAGAAAACCCCACTTAAAAGAGAAACTTCAACATACCCTCGAAATTCAGTAACAAAACACAGATGGCCACTTTCAAAATTTTTTATTCAACATTGAACTAGAGTTCCTAGGTGACACGGCGGGGAAGTGAAAAGAAAGAAACAAAACATAATAAAATGTCAACTCCTGGGAAATAAACAGTATAGAGATTGTAAAGGAAGAAACAAAATAGTCATTATTCACAACGATACATAGTGTATATTAGTTAATGACAATATTAGCTGCTATGGCAGATAAACTTCAAATTTTCAGTGGCTTAACCCAATAGATTAATTTCCCATTCAAATTATAGTCCAATGTGGGAGTTCTCTGTTGTGCAGCCTTTCACATGATTACTCGTCTCACCTGTGACCCCCTTTAGATCCTGATCCTCTCCAACCAGCTGGTAAATGGTAAAACACAATGAAGGTTCAGTTGTGGGAAGTTTTATGGAATAGGTATAGCAATATTTCTGTCCACATTACATTTTCTAGAATTCAGTCCGTCACATGGCAAAACAACTGAGAGATGGGGAAACACGCTGTAACTGTGTGCCTGGGAAGAAGAGAATGGGTTTGGTAAGCATCTCCGTCTCTCCCATGTTGTCTAGGTAGAGTTCAAAAGAATCTATACACAAATTTCACATCTATTAGAAGACTTCAAAATTGGACATTGAAGGTTGGATATTTGCATAACATATGCACTGTCAGTTCACAGAAGAGAAAACTCAAATGATAAATAAACATATAAAAAGATGCTCCACATCACTAGTCATTAGAAAACTGTAAATTAAAACCACTGTATGAGATTATTTCGTACTATTTAGCTTATGAAAAATGTAAATGGTTGATAACACCAAGTTAGAATGTGCCAAAGCAGAAACTCTCATATATTACTTTTGATTGACACATATTTATTTTGATGTATCCACATGTGCAATCCAAGCTACAGCTATTTTGTGTCTTTAAAGAAACTTTATGCTCCACTAGTCCACACTGGTTGGTTATAAAATATCACCTTTATTGGGCAATTTTGTTTTCCTCATTTCAAAGTTCTTTCCCAAGGTGAAAGTCATAATGCTTTACTTTTATACCTTATTGTGGTGCCTATGATGTAACTGCACCTATACAGTATCATTCATTTGTCTTTCTTTTGAAAGACCCTTACTTTACCAGAAACTACTGATGCCTCTAAGCATGCCCCCAAATGAGAACCAATACTTAGATGTTTCTTACCACCCCCAAAAAACCATCCTCTGAAAGGTGAAAACTACCATTCAAATTCCTGTTATTCTGGAACTTCATTTTCTTATGTCTCATAAAGATTTTGAAGTCTATCCTCAAATAAATGTTACCAATTTCTAATGGCAGTAAGATTTGCTAAAATTATATTGATACTATATTTTTAAGAAAAAAAACTCTCCCAAGTCAATAAGTGTAAGGCATGCTACAATTTTGTGTCATGGGAACAACATGGGCTTTGGAAATGTAGACATGAATTGGAATTCTGGCTCTGACACTGACTAGTGTTGAGACTAGGCAAATTTCTTACCGTTTCTTACCTTCAGTTTTGACATCTGCAAAAATGGGGAAATTATATGACTCAGAGAGTTGTCATAAGGATTAAATTCAGCATATACAAAGTTTCTGGCATCATAGATATCATTAGATTTGAGCTCATGTCTCCTGCTCATATTCACTGAACATGCCACTGTTAAGTATGTTAAATTTTGTGTTTGTGTAGGTCTGACACTTAGCATTTGATGGTAATTTTTAGCTTACCATTCTCTCTTCTCCTGCACTTCTCTGCATTCTTTATATTTTGGAGATTGTTTTTCCAATCTCCAAAATTCAGATGAAAGAAACCATATTCTAATAAACCTGCTAATTAACAAGAACAAATCTTTCTACATGAGATGCCTTTATATCATTCATTCATTCTTTTAGCAAACCAAAGACAGTGTATATATGTTTTAATTCATGTGCCAAAAAAATGACCAATTAATTCTGCTTTAGATGGGAAAATAGTAAATTTAATATAAATTAATTTAAAATCACTAACAAATGCACATTTTAATCATTGGCTATAGGAAAAATATTACAACTGCAATTGAGACTGACACTACAGTTTCATCAGGTTTTTAATTTTAAACATCATGTCCCATATTTTAGTAAATCACTTATGTTTGGGCAGTATTTTGTCAATTGTAGTGTAATTAATCAGCCAAAGATTCTGTCAGTGTTTCCAGTTTCTGACTAGATAAAATTAATAACAGATAAAATACTTTTATGTTAGTAAAACAATAGAGAAATAGGCCAGTCACAAAAGGACAAATATTATATGATTCCATTTGTACAAGGTACCTAGAGTAGTCAATCTACAGAGACAGAAAGTAGAATGGTGACTGCTGAGGAAGGGAAAAATAGGAAGTTGGTGTTTAATGGGTACAGTTTCAACTGGGAATAGTGAAAAAGTGCCAGAGATGGATGATGGTGATGGTTGCATAACAGTGTAGATGTACTTAATGCCACAGAACTGTGCACTTAAAAGTAGTTAAAAAGGGAAAGTTTATGTTGTGTATATTTTACACCAAAAAAAAAAAGAAAGATGGAGAAATGTCCAAAGAGAAAATACAGTCTTTAAAACCACAACAAACATCAGGCATATTTGATTATATCAGCAAAATAGTTTCAATTTGATTATTCTGAATTCTTTTTCTGCTTTTTCACAACAGTATGACCCATAGTAACAAACTTTACTTTCTGAATATTGAAATTCTACAAGTTCTATTTTAAGGCCTTCTACAGTTCAACACTTTTAAATAATTTTGGGCAAAATCTCTCAAGTACAACTGAGCAGTGGTCATTTGAATGCTTTAGTTTTATTCCTGAATTCTCAAAATATTTGTAAAGATTGTTTTTATGTTAGAAAAATAGTCATTCATATAAAATTAATGCATATAAAGTCCGTAAAGAAACAGCTTGGTTTGGGAAAATATTTAGGAAAGCTTAGTTTGAGAAAATATTTAGAGTCACTATTGTCAAAATATGTAGTTGAGAATGACTTGATGTTGTAGCCAAACAACAAATCTGTTATTTTGCTTTATTACTGTGTATTTTTATTATATTTAAGTGTAGGATAATGTCAGTTTAAAGTATCTCTTTATCAGTTATTTCACATCATTTATTTCTTCAAAATACTTGCTTTGATCATTTGAATATCATCAGATTCTTCCAAACAATAGCTATAATGACTTGGCCACCAAATGTCAATCCCCTCAATGCCCTGTATCCTCTTTTCAAATTCTTACACAGTTTTAATTGACTTACTTAGAGTTATCTGTGACTCTAAATTACCAATTACCAATTTTATTAACTGCATGAGATGCATTTGAAATCAGAAAGCGTCCTTATATTTTAAATATATGTTATATAAATTTTGAATAGGTTTACAGCTGTTTTAAAAAATGATCAAATCTTTGGAGAAGCCAATGTTGAATAGAAAACTCACAACAATCTCAAAACTCTATGGAGCATTAAATAAGAGCATACAACCTCAAAGTGAAGATGCTAAGTGGTTTGTAAAGAGCACTTGTGACAAAACAGGCACAGGTGACATATGACACATAACGTTGGCTTCACTATGATTACATTCAGTCAAGTTTTGTCAACACTTTATTTCATAACTATATAGCAACATGTTGCCATATATAAAAATACTTTTTTTGTTTTGAGATGGAGTCTCACTCTGTTACCCAGGCTGGACTGCAGTGGCGCAATCTCAGTTCACTGCAACCTCTGCCTCCCGGGTTCAAATGATTCTCCTGCCTCAGCCTCCTGAGTAGCTGGGATTACAGGTGCCCTCTACTACATCCAGCTAATTTCTGTATTTTTAGTAGAGATGGGGTTTCACCATGTTGGCCAGGCTGGTTTGAACTCCTGACCTCAGGTGCTCTGCCTGTCTTGGCCTCCCAAAGTGCTGGGATTACAGGTGTGAGGCACTGTACCTAGCCTAAAGATACTCTTAGATTAACCATCAGTAAATGTGTTTCATGAGTAGAAGTGACACAGAATCTATACTGAGTTCATTCAATCTGATCCCAAGACCAAACCTAGTAATTCCAAAGGCAGTCCATAGAATATTACTTTGTATGGACCTAAGACGTCCTAATTGTAATTTGCTCTTCATGTTAAATATTCAATATTTCAAAACATAGACTTTAGGGAGTCAGCATCAAAATGTTATGGACTATTCTTCTCTTAGCCAGACCATATTTGATTGTCTCAATCATAATTAATAAGGTCAGGGCACCAACAGTAGTTTCCGTGTCTGGGGGAGGACCCTTCCTTGTAGATGGTGCCTACTATGTGTCCCCACATGACAGAAGGGGCAAACAAGCTCCCTTGGGCCTCTTTTAGAAGGATATTAATTCCATTCACAAGGGCTCCACCCTCATGACCTCATCACTTTGTAAATGCCCCACCTCTGAATGCCCACACATTTGAGATTAGATTTCAACATGTGAATTTTGGAGAGACACAAACATGCAGACCATAGCAGGCCCTTTATACTGTGACAATCAAAATGAGTGACTGAGTCATAAATCTCAGTCATCAAGGTTTATCGAGCCAGCTTGAGGGCATGTCCAGGAAAAACATAAGTCACAGATGCATCTATGGCTGTTTTTTCCAAAGAGGGTCTCAGGAAGTTTACTATTTGTACATTTTCCTTTAAAAAAGGTGGGGAGGGGACAGCAGTGAGACAAGTGATTACATACTAGTGAGACTAGTTCAACCTCCCATCCCGCCAAGGCCATGAACTCAGCTTCCCGAGTTTCTCTGGTAATCACCCAGCACTGTACACTGCACAGACCAGATCAATCCTCTGAGACCACAGTATTGCAGTGGAGAAAGAGTTCATTTGATATAAAGCTAACTCACGTGGGAGAACTGGAGTTATCATTCAAATCAGTCTCCCTGAAGGCTTGGAGCTTAGGGTTTTTGTGGACAATTTGGTGGGCAGGGGGCTAGGGAATGGGTGCCACTGATTGGTTAGGGATGGAATCATACTGGTATGGAAAACAGTCTTCGTATGCTGAGTCTACCTCTGGGTGAGGCCATAGGATCAATTGAGTCATGAATCACAAGTTCAGGTAGGATCAGTCTGGAAAACATCCCCCACAAAATACAATCTTGGGTTCTAACATAGCAATGTTAACTATAGGAGTAAATGGGAAGGTCACAAATCTTGTGACCTCTGGTCACATGATTCCTGATCTGTAAGGGCTGATAAAAACTATGCCTATCCTATCAGAATTCGGGCCTCTCTCATAATTTTAACCTTGTGCCTTTCCATTAGTTTTACAAAGGTGATTTAGTTTTGAGAAGGGCTATTATCATCTTTGTTTTAAGGTAAAACTATAAACTAAATTCCTCCCAAAGTGAGCTTGGCCTACACCCAGGAATGACCAAGGACAGCTTGGAAGTCAGAAGCAAGATGGAGTCAACTATGTTAGATTTCTCTTTGTGTAATAATTTTGCAAAGGCAGTTTCACCCTTGGCCAAGAGGGGAATCCATTCAGTTAGTTAGGAGCCTAGAATTTTTTTTTTATTTCTCAACCCCATCAAATACAATGTCCAAAGCATATTTAGATATTGCCCACAACCCCTTCAACTCTCTAACTAAAAGCAAGACTCTTTACTAAGTGATTCCTGGACATGGAACTTTAATTGCTCCCTTGGTGATTAAGATCAAAGGACAGGGAAAGTACCTGCAACCCTACAGCCAAGTCCCTGGGGCAGGCCCAGTTCCAGCAAGGGGAGAGGCAAGAACCCTTTTATTTTGTTCTCTGAAGCAATACTGTAGGCCAATGGTGAAACTGATCATAACCTCTTTCCATTTTGATTTTTCCCTTATTTGAGATAAAAATTATTTAAAAAGAGAGGCTTCGAGTATGGTTTTCTTGAGTTATGTAATCTCCTTCTTTTTTGTTTTTTTTGTTTGTTTGTTTGTTTGAGAGAGGGAAAGCCTCACTCTGTCACCCAGGCTGGAGTGCAGTGGCATGATCTCGGCTCACTGCAACCTCCACCTCCCGGCTTCAAGCAAGTCTCCTACCTCAGCCTCCCAAGTAGCTGAAATTACAGGCATGTGCCACCACGCCTGGTTAATTTTTGTATTTTTAGTAGAGGCAGGGTTTCGCCATGCTGGCTAGGCTGGTCTCGAACTTCTGATCTCAAGTGATCCACCCACCTCAGTCTCCCAAAGTGCTGGGATTACAGGCATGAGCCACTGCACCCAGACTGAATTATGTAGGCTCTTTCAGCAAATCTGAGTATACTTTACAAAAAGGTCTATCAATCATGGTATCCTACTTTGCTTACAAAACTCATCTGTTCATTTAAGAAGAAAAAAATAATGGCATAGCTATGTTAGGGGTGTCATGGGTTCTAACACAGAATTTTCTCAAAGATCCTTCATAGCAAATGTCTAACAAAGAAATTCATGTTAGCTGTAGTTTTCTGGTAAGTATAAGATTGTCCTTCCTGCAAATGAAGTTTTAATTGCTTTGAGGCCTTCATAAAACTCTACCTGAGATATCTATTAAAATAAACTGGTTTGTGAAGAACGAAGACTACCAATCATGTAAAGCCTGGTATAGTTCTATTAGGAAAATTTTTTCTCCTATTTAATTCTAGATGTTATTCAACAAGTGAGCTACTAAAGGAAGTGTTCAGTGTCATAGACTGAATGACCATAGATCTACAAACTTGAAGCTGTGTTTTTTTGTTTGTTTTTTGTTTTTTGGTTTGAGATGGAGTCTTGCTCTGTCACCCAGGCTAGAGTGCAGTGGCGTGATCTCAGCTCACTGCAAGCTCTACCTCCCAGGTTCACACCATTCTCCTGCCTCAGCCTCCCGAGTAGCTGGAACTACAGGTGCCTGCCACCACGCCAGGCTAATTTTTTGTATTTTTAATAGAGACGGTGTTTCATCGTGTTAGCCAGGATGGTCTAGATCGCCTGACCTCCTGATCCGCCCACCTCGGCCTCTCAAAGTGCTGGGATTACAGGCATGAGCCACTGCTCCCGGCCAAAGCCATTTTCTTAAGATCTTACTATTTTCCTTCAACATCTGGCACCCAGTTCTTTTTATTTTATTTTATTTTACACTCAGGGGTACAAGTGCGAGTTTGTTACATAGGTAAACCTCTGTCATGGGGGTTATCATACAGATTATTTCATCACCCAAGTATTAAGCCTAATACCCATTAAGTTATTTTTCATGATCTTCTCCCTCCTCCCATCCTCTGCCCTCCGAAAGGCCCCAGTGTGTGTTGTGTCCATGTGTTCTCATCGTTCAGTTCCCACTTATAAATGAGAACATGAGGTATTTGCTTTTCCGTTCCTGTGTTAGTTTTCTAATGATAATGGCCTCCAGCTCCATCCATGTCCCTGCAAAGGACATGATCTCATTCTTTTATATGGCTGCATAATATTCCATGGTGTATATGTACCACATTTTCTTTATCCAGTCTGTCATTCATGGGCATTTAGGTTGATTCCATGTCTTTGCTATTATGAATAGTGCTGCAATGAACATACACATGCAACGTGCACGTGTCTTTATAATAGAATGATTTATATTCCTTTGGGTATATAACCAGTAGTGGGATTGCTGGGTTGAGTGGTATTTCTGTCTTTAGGTCTTTGAGGAATGGCCACAGTGTCTTCCACAATGGCTGAACTAGTTTATACTCACACCAACGGTGTATAAGTGTTCCTTTTTCTCCACAACCTCACCAGCATCTGTTATTTTTTAACTTTATAGTAAGAGTCAGACTGGTGTAAGATGGTATCTTATTGTGGCTTTGATTTGAATTTCTTTAATGATCAGTGATGTTGAGCTTTTTTCATGTGATTGTTGGCCACATATATGTCTTCTTTTGAAAAGTATCTGTTCATGTCCTTTGCCCACTTTTTATGGAGTTGTTTGTATTTTTCTTGTAAATTTGTTTAAGTTCCTTATAGATGCTGGATATTAGACGTTTGTCAGATGCATACTTTGCACAATTTTCTACCATTATGTAAATTATCTGTTTACTCTGTTGATAGTTTCTTTTGCTGTGCATAAGCTCTTTAGCTTAAATTGTCCCCATTTGTCAATTTTTGCTTTTGTTGCAATTGCTTTTGACATCTTCATCATGAAATCTTTGCCCATGCCTATGTCCTGAATGGTATTGCCTAGGTTGTCTTCCAGGGTTTTTGTAGTTTTTGATTTCACATTTAAGTATTTAATTCATCTTGAGTTAGTTTTTGTATATCGTGTAAGGAAGGGATCCAGTTTCAATATTCTACATATGACTAGCCAGTTATCCCAGCACCATTTATTGAATAGGGAATCCTTTCCCCATTGTTTGTTTTTGTCAGGTTTGTCGAAGATCAGATAGTTGTAGGTGTGCAGTCTTATTTCTGGATTCTCTGTTCTGTTCCATTGGTCTCTGTGTCTGTTTTTGTGTCACTACCATGCTGTTTTGGTTACTGTAGCCCTGTAGTATAGTTTGAAATTGGGTAGCATGGTGCCTCCAGCTTTGTTCTTTTTGCCTAAGATTGTGTTGGCTATTCTGGATTTTTTTCTTTTTTTGGCTCCATATGAATTTTAAAATAGTTTTTTTCTAGTTCTGTGAGTGTCAATGGTAGTTTGATAGGAATAGTATTGAGTCTATAAATTGCTTTGGACAGTATGGCCACTTTAACAATATTGATTCTTCCTATCCATGAGCATGGATTGTTTTTCCCTTTGTTTGTATCATCTCTGATTTCTTTGGGCAGTGATTTGTAAGTCTGTAGTTCTCCTTATAGACATCTTTCACCACCCTACATAGCTGTATTCCTAGGTATTTTATTCTTTTTGTGGCAGTCGTGAATGAGAGTTCATGATTTGGCTCTCAGCTTGACTGTTGTTGGTGTATAGGAATGCTAGTGATTTTTGCACATTGATTTCGTATCCTGAGACTTTGCTGAAGTTGTTTATCAGCTTAAGAAGCTTTTGGACTGAGATTATGAGGTTTTCTAGATATACAGTCATGTCATCTGCAAACAAAGGTAGTTTGACTTCCTCTCTTCCTGTTTGGATGCGCTTTATTTCTTCCTCTTGCCTGATTGCCCTGTCCAGAACTTCCAATATTATGTTGAATAGGAGTGGTAAGAGAGGGCATCCTTGTCTTGTGGCACAGTTCTTAGGACATAGGAAATGCTTAATAAATGTGATAAACAGACTAATAAATTAAGGAATTATTGTTTATGTCTACTTCCCATATTATGTTGAATAGGAGTGGTAAGAGAGGGCATCCTTGTCTTGTGGCACAGTTCTTAAGACATAGGAAATGCTTAATAAGTGTGATAAACAGACTAATAAATTAAGGGATTATTGTTTATATCTACTCAGAATTAGAAAAGCAAAATTTTGTTGCCAAAATCCTCTAATGGAATGTGTCTGGGCACCCAGGATTAATGACTGTGTTATTGTTAGGCTTAGAGTTAGGCTAATTGCTACCTTACTTTCTGTAAGCCCCAGGATGGCTATTTTGGACTGTTGAAAATTATCATTTCCCCTCAGCTTTCCTGAGCCAATATGTGCTTTTAAGTTTGTTTGCACACTCATGCACTCCACAAGTATTTTAAAAAGAACTCTTACCTGCTTTAAGTCCGTCTAAACAAAGTTCTACCAGAAGAATTCATTAAGTTAAACTGCTTGGGAATGAGGGAGAAAAGACCTTTGTGGGGCTCTTTGTGGTAGACAGGATCTTCATAATCCTAGAATTGATACTTAACAGAGTCTCAACATTCTGAAGTGAGTTCTTAAATTATAAAATGAATTTGTGCAAGAGGTATCTTCTGAATTTTTTTAAACAAATTGATGAATATCATAGTAAAACTAATATAAGCAAAGTCAGTGGTTCAAAAAATACAACCCAAGTGCAGAAAAATGAAATTCAATTTATAGTGAATGAACTTGAGAAAAGAGTAGAGTAAAAAACTTGACATCAATTTTGAGCTGTATGATAAACATATGATGGGAAATACCTAGTAAAATCATGAAACTCTTGATACAGTTTTATTTGCATTTTCATTAGCAAAGATAGAATTTTGTCTTTTGGAGGAACTCTCCATGGCTGGGAGAATAGTACCTCTGGATCAGGATACTTCTTGGTAGTAAAATAAATGTCTAATTGAAAATATAAAGTCTTAGAAATTGCAGTAGTGAAACTATAGCATCACACAGATTTAAAATATGCTAGACTGAGACATTCCTGGAGTGGCCTAATGGGAAAAGCACAGAGGAGGAAGACCTCAGTTCAATCTGCCTTGACTGTTTACTAGCTCTATGTCTAAAGCTGTTTCCTCATGTCTATTTATTGCTTTTATCGTAAGATTCAAATGAAATAACATCTGGTCAGTTTTACTTTTTAACACTTGTTTTCAAGACACAAGATTTTATTAGAGAACATTTTGAGCATAACACGAATTTGGGGTTGCTTATGCACTGTTTAGTCTATGAAAAACACTAGGGAAACACAGAAAATTGCACACACCTGAACCCAGCCAGGTAAGATGTACAAAACAGACATGCACGTACCTGAAACATGTCAGCTACCTCAGTCCACCACCCTCAACATGGGCCATATCCATCCACATCAGTGATACAACTTTCCCTTGATTTCAAATCACCTTCCTTCCACAATTTCACAAAAACTCACAAGCTGCAATGCTCTGACTCCCACTTCCACAAGCAAATGTAAAGTCTTTGTCAAAGGAAAGTGTCTTATTTTTGTAGTATTTACATATTTCTTACCCATTTGACTTGTGTAAGACTGTGCTACCACAATTTGATTAGATTTTATCTTTTTGTTTTGTGTTACTGACAGTTTGTGACTATTGTGCCCCAACCCTATTTTTCTTATAAGTCCTTTGTTTTTCTATTGGTTGATTTTGCAAAACAAAATGAATTTTAGAAACATATATGTTGCATCATAGCAGAAATACCCATATGTGCGAGCACGTTGTAATTTCTAGCATGTTCTTGGCTATTGACAGTGCAATGAATAGTACAAATTATTTCAAGAGAAAGAAAAATAGCCTTTTCTTTATAGCCAGAGTTTCAGCTTTCCTATGTTATGGGAAATAAGTTTTGAAACCCTAGAATCAATTGTTATATCCATAATCTTAGCACTCCTTCAACTAGCAAGTGTTTGAGTATCAGAATTCCAAAATAGCTATTCTGCGGTTATTTTACTCACACTTGGTTTTTCATGTGAAAACCCCAAATCTTCCAACTCAAATACATTCTTTTACTTATGCAACCAATTTTTAATCATTCAGGATATGACTGTTTGGTCTTTTCGTTTTTATGGCTGTATAACAAATTACCACAAATTTAGCAGCTTCAAACAACATACATTTATTTCTCACAGTTTCTGTGGGCCAGTTTCCTCTATGAGCCTGCTCAGCCAAGGTATCTGGATTAAAAGTCCACTGACTGCAGGGATAATAGGCTGCAGTCAGGGTGGGAGGTGAAGGTGAGCATTGAGTCAGGAAGATAAGAGTTATGTATGCATTTTCTGTGAGGACAACTACTGTAAACATTTGATGCTGGAGCCTGTAATCCCAGCTCTTTGAGAGGCCGAGGTGGGTGGATCACTTGAGGCCAGGACTTCAAGACCAGCCTGGGCAATATGGTGAAACCCTGTTTCTATTAAAAAAAAAAAAAAAAAAAAACAAAAGCTCACACCTGTAGTCCTAGCTACTTGAAAGTGGGAGGGTCACCTGATCCCAGGGAGGCTAAGGCTACAGTGAGCCATGATCGCACTACTGCACTCCAATCTGGGCAACAGAGTGAGACCCTGTCTCAAAAAAAAATAATAATAATAATAATAATAATAATGCTGGAGTTGTTCTTAATCTGCCTGTACCATTTGTTTATATTTTTATTTCCAAAGAGAACTGTGTAAGTAACATTGTGGGATATCATAGATAACTTTACCACTTTTTAGCTGTATTACCTTGGGCCAGATTCTCACCCTCTGAGACACAGTTTTCTCACCTGCAAAATAGGGATATTGTAATACCTATTTCATCAATATGTGAGGTTTCAATGAGATATTTTATATACAGTATCTGGGGCATACATATGCAATATATGTTGGTCCTCACTCCTTCCCCAGTGGTTCCTAGGAGTAAGTAAGGGTTCTGACCTTTTAAGTCCCTTTGTGAAATTGAAAGCATACTAATAACAACTAGCATTTACTCTATGCCATGTGCTCTTCTAAGTATTTTATGTGTGTTAACTCCTTTAATCCTCACAACAACCCTTTGAGGCAGGGACCAATATTACTCCTGTTTTATAAATGAAGAAAAAAGCACAGAGCGGTTAAATTATTTGCTCAAAGTCCCCAAGGTAGGAAGGGGCAGAGCTAAGCTGTTACCCTTTATGAACCCAGAAGTCTAGCTTTAGAGTCCATGCTCTTAATCATCACACTCCTCTGCCTCTCCCAAGAATGACAGAGAACATCAAATGATGGGCCAGGGCCTCAGTCACAGTTGGCAATAGGCAAAGATCACTTTTGAGATCCTCCCACGTCTCTTGGGTTCCCTCCACGCTCCTGGCCCCTTCCTTAATGTCTATTACCTCCAACATCTTCTTTATCCTACACACATTCCCAGTGAGCTTTGCTCTAATTGAAGTGGGACACTGTTAAAGCTCCTGAGGTAATAACTAATAAGGATTCTGGTTTTAATTCACTCAGTTTTTGGGTTTTTTGTTTGTTTTTTTTTTTTTGCATAGATGACTCAACTCTTAACAAAGAAAAGTGATGTAATCCTTTAAGAACCAGGGAGCTAATTACCTAATGGTGGAATAACATGGGGGAGGAAATTTTGATGGGAGGTTTTCCAGCACCCTTCAATTCCCTTCACTTATTTCACATTCTGCCTAGCTTCCCCAACTTTCTGAATGCCTGGCCCACCCTGCCTTATGGAGAGATAGAGTTATGCATTACTAGGAAACAGGGAAAGGAATCCTTAGCCCCTGACCACAGGAGATCATGGGCTGGAGAGCTACATAAAGTAGAAAATATGCCTCTCCTCTCCAAAACAAGGAGTTCAATGAATAAAGGAGAGTCGCAGATGGATGCTGATTCTGCAGGGACCGTAACTGAAGAAGGAAGTCTGGGGGGCATAGAACCGAGAGCTCAGCATCAGTTCCCCACAATGGCCCTCTTCTTTGAACTACAAATCCTTTTCATCTGTCCAGTCCCTTCTCTCTGTTCGTGCTTACAAAGATTCAGGTATCAGAAATTGATTCTTCTGAGAGATTGTGTTCAAAACTTTGAAGACCCCAGTGAAAGAATGAGAATGTTTAGATTTGTTTAAATTTTCCTTTACTTCTGAGTGATCTAGAGGCCTAGATAAGTAAAGATGCAGCTGTAGTCTGAGGCTGCTGAACGAGTTGTCCCAACAGATTCTCTGCTTTGCTTTTCATGGCAGCCTGAAGTAGATTCCATAATTCCTCCATAAGGAATGACAGTTAGCATTGGTCTTGACTATGCCCTTCACCTATTCTCAATGCATCTTCCTTGCCAAGTGTAGACCATGATTGAACTAATGGTATTCCTAGCCCATGCAGGCTCCAGCATCCTGTGTAATCCTTTGGGGTCCAGATACTAGCAAACATTCTTCTCCACCATCTTCCCTGAAGCTAACTCTCACCTTCAACCCTGCCACCCTGAACTTGAAAGCACCAGTGAGTTTCTGCTAGGGGTCATTTCACAAGCTCTTTCCCTTCTTCAATGATGAACACACAGCAAGTGTATCCTCCACTCATTCCATCTTCTCCTCCGTGAGATCTTGCAGCATGTGAACAGTGCCCTTAGCTAGTTTTTAAAATTTTTTTCTTTTATATTTTTGGGATTTTCCATAACAATTTGTAACGAGGATGATGTGAGTTCAGCATATCTACCTAAATGACACTCTTGGACCAGTAATCAAGCCTTCAGAACTGGAAAACTCAGAGCAAAATAAGACAGGTTGAGCTCAGACTGCAAGAAAGTCCCGAGTGGCTGATTGCTATGAAGGCTGGGTTGTAGAAGTCTTTTCTGGGCATGAAAAAGTACAGTCTATGATTGGAGCAGGTGGTAATACAACCAAAATGCTCAGGAAACTAAAATTGTTCCCTATCTTATAATATTCCAAATTCCTTTGCTCTAAGTTCTCTCATTGATTTGCCAGGCTTTTTTATCATTCATAATTTAGATTACATGGTTGCTATTTGGAAGAAAGAAAGGAAGGAAAGAAGGGAGCAAAGGAAGGAGGGAGAGAGGGAGGGAGGAGAAAAGAGGAATAGAAGGAGAGAGAAACATCTCGATGCTTTCTTATCCCCAAAGTTTCAATCAAAGTTTATCATTATAATAGGGTATAAAAATTGACTTTTCCTTTTGTCTGAGAACTGATACCTAGGCCCAAAGCTCGAGGGGAAACAGGTGCTAAGTATCTTATTACAAACACAGCACCCACCAGATACCTTTTCAGGACTTAATAAGAAGTAGCAAAACTCTTCCTGCTATATCAGCACTCCTCCACATGCCAGTAAAGCAGCCCACCAGGAAAGAAAAATGCAAGCAGTGTAGTTAGAGCTGATAGAGGGTGGGGGGGCTTGGACAGCTGAAGGGGGCTGAACATGTTTGAGCCAGAGTCACGCCTCTCATGAGGGACTTCGAAGAACCCATCATGTCCCTAAGATAGATAACGTGTGGATCTCTGCCCCACAAGAGTCTCAGTGGTCGCTAGGGTATGCTAGAGAGACAGCAAAAGCAATAGAGAAAGCCAAGAGACATTAAGCCATCTCATCTTCTCTCCCAGTCCCCAAAACAGGAGGAATTGGGTCTTTGGGATGAAGTATACTAGAACAAGAACATTCCCACACCACTCTCCAAGGTGAAAGAGTTACCCCTAAGCACACCCACAGTAGATCCTTGAGTAATAAGTGTAGCCATCAATGGAGCAATGGAAAATCTTGAACTGGATATGCAGTTGCATATGCTATAAGGCTGGACTAGACTGTAAGTGACTATGGTTCCTGTCCAAGATGTCATTGAGAGATGTCTAGAAGAGTTGGGAGATTCGACATAGCAGAGTTGGAAGCAGTGACTAGAGATAAAAATATGTCTCTAGCTTGTTCCTCACCATGGTCAGATTCCTCAATAAACAGGTTATAGAAGAAGAAGTGGGGAAAAAAGCTTCTGCTATCTTCATAAAAAGTCCAACAGGCCTAGTATTTACTTGAATCTTCACATCTGTTTCCATAGAGACATCACTTCTGCCTACATATTTTCCAACTTACCAAGTCTATAGTTTCTCAAGTTCTGTGGTACCAGATTAAACAATCTGATTCTTTCATAACTAGTTCCTGATCATCTTCCTTTAAAAATAGCTGGTGGGTAGGCAGACAGCTCCAGCTCCCACATCACATCCTTAAGGTGACTGTGGATTTTAAAATGGGACTTATCTGGAGAACAACAATAACAGCAGAGCAAAAGCAAGAGAAAATTCCTAACTGATTTTTTATGCTTTATTATATCTATTTTGGGTTTTAATTGTAGGACCTGTCAGTTTGTATAGTTTTCAGCAGAGTGGTTGAGAAGTGGCATAGCTTATTTAATAGTTAAGAATTTATGTAGGCTCCGGGGTTAGCTTACCTGATAGATGAACAGTTAAAGGTGAGTCGTTTTAACTCAGTGCCTTGCTTTCCTCATATGGATAATGGGAAGGAGAATAATGGTATGCATACTAAATGACAGAAGAGTATATGAAATAAGTTATTTAAAGTACTTAGAACAGTGCCTGGTAATAATAGCACAGTATTAGCTTTATTGTATTAACTAATATCATCGTCATCATCACTATTGTTATCAGTCTACAGGCATATCTCAAAGCCAATTTGACATCCTTAGCCTTTGCTCATTTCTGAGATTTCAGAGACAGTTTGGGGCTGAGCCCACACATAGCAGGATTTGCAACAAGAGGGAAAGGGTCCTGAGTCTGATCCTGAGTCCCTGGCCTGTCGAATAGGACTGTTGCCATTTAACTTGCTTTATCCCTTGGCATTGCACCTAGCACAGTCCACATAAGATAG
This sequence comes from Homo sapiens, assembly GCF_000001405.40. Classification (NCBI taxonomy): domain Eukaryota; kingdom Metazoa; phylum Chordata; class Mammalia; order Primates; family Hominidae; genus Homo; species Homo sapiens. Next base: position 99,006,490 of record NC_000012.12, on the reverse strand, counting down.
GTCCCAGATAAATGTTTATAGGAATGAGGAGACAGAGGTAATAAGTCTCTTGTGCATATTATTCTAATATGGGATCAGATCTTAATTAATATACTCAGGGTGCTGTCTGCCTAGTCATGAATCCCTCAAAAGCAGGGACTGTGTCCCTATTGCTAGTGCTGGATACTTGATAAATAATTGAGAATGAATATGTTAATTTCTCAAAGTAATGGTGCTATGTGATGGAGTAAGTTACAGCTAGAGTAAACAAGTCTTCACTCGGCATAGCCTTAGGATAAGTTACAGAAATAAACTTTGGTCAAAGCTCCATGCTTTTTGGAGGTTTGTGCTCTCTCTTTCCCCACAGCCCCATGCAGCCTATCTGAAAGTGTTTCTTAGCTGGAATATAACCCAAGGTATAGAATCTGACCTAGGAAAATACATGAACTTCTAATTTGTAAGATCCTAGTCTATAAACCTCAACCAAGGTGCTTTGCTTGAAGGGGTTAGAAGAGATGGCAATTTCTCTCTACTTCTTCAGTCATTGGAAGAAGACTTTCATCGTCATGGTTTATTCCAGCTGTCTATTTTTTCCCAGGAAGAGTTGCTATGCCAACCCTTCAGCCCTACTGAGTGGGCTCACTGCTCAGAATGCCATCAGCAAATTGAGTTCATCAGCATATGTTTTTGACTCACATCTGCTTTAAGTGGTGCATGTGCGTGTGTGTGTGTGTGTTCCATCTGTGTTAAGGTTTTATTTTATGAGTCTTATAACTGAGAAAGCCCAAGGGCAACTACACATTCCTAAACAGGAATACAAGTCCATTCACTATTCAAATGGCGTCTTGCTTTCTATTTGCTTACCACATTTGAAAGCGCATGCAGGTTACAAGCTAAAGCAATCGAGAGGGAAAAGGAGACATGTAAAAAGAGGATAGAGGAAGAAAATAGCTAGATCTGAGGCATTTATGTCAGGTTTTGATGTAAATAATGTTCAGAAACGTGGCCATCTGAGTTGATCCTTTCATGGAGGCATCCACTTAAAAACCCCATGACTAAACCTTTTATACATGTCAACTTTCCATTGCTTTCTGTCCATGTTTTTAGGAAGGATTAGAATGCACTGAGCCTCCTCAGAGCAGGTTTGGGTGAGAGCAGCTGCACAGGAGCTATTTGTGCAGGGCGATTCTGACATGCCAGACCTGCTGTCACACCGGGCCACAGCAACAACAGCGACGCCCTTCCTAGCGCACTGCAGTCCCAGCACTGGGCTGTGGAATGGAGCCCATCACAGCTACGCTCCCGCATTTGTTCCCTGTTTAATGAACAGTTGGCCCCTGGTGGGAAACTTTGGAGAGATGTGCCTATTAAGAGGTGTCTGCCTCTCTTCTACAGGCTCTCCTTTTCATTTTCTCGTTTGTTACAGCAAGGGACTTTTTATGAGAACAGAATATTTTACTCCGTGGGAAATCTGTTCTTTCTGCCTCTGCTTCTGCTCCCACCGGATGTTCTCCTCTGCTCCTTGCGAGGGCACAGGCAATTATTGAGCAATGCATCTTCACCCACATAATTCCAGGCAAATATTATAATAGGTGTGCGAGTGACACTGGAGAAAAACCTTCTGCCCTCTCACTTCTATCTCTTCAGTTTTAAGGATGAGATGGCAATTTCTTTGTTAATGAACACCCTCACAATGCATTCATTTATTCAATGAGCCAAAAAAAAAAAATGTTTATTTAGTGTCTGTTGATACTGGCATGCCTGGACCACACATGGCCAATATGTTGGCCCCAACACATTGACCATTCACCATGGGAGATTTTCATAGGGCATTTTCCCCCCCACCCAGCACCCACCTGGCTCCACTTTAGCCCTGCCTCCTTCCCCGCACCCCACCTTCCTCTCATTTCTCCACCCTTTCTCATTTTTCTCAAACAGAAAAAAATGAGTTATCTTGGGTTGCCTTGGGTTGCCTTGGGTTGAAGCCATACCCTTTGGGTTTGACCTACTCCACTTATTCATCTAAGACTTATTAAGAGCCCATCATCAAAATAGTAATAAAAATAGTAATTTATCCCTATCTAGTGCTTACTCTGTGCTCTTTACGTATATTATCTCATTTAGTCTTTCAAACAACCCTATGAGGACGATATTGGTATAATCCCTGTTTTTAAATGGGAACATTAAAACAGAGTAAAGTAACTTGCTTGAAGTCACAAAACTGCTGTAATAGGAGCGTTTTGCTGAAAAAGAACAGAAAGCCCTATGTACAGTGGCTGAAACAAATGGACATTTATTTCTCTCATATAACAATCAGCTGGGAGGTCATTTGTTCCTAGTGTTCATTCCATGGCTCCACGGTGTTAGAGCTGCTCCCTCTGAGAATTGACTGACTCTTTCCCTCAGAAGCACAGAATGGCGGACCTATATCCAAGCATCACATCCACGTTTAAGTTAAGAAGAGAGAGGGTAGTGTCATCTGTCAACTGCATTTTTCCTTTTCAGCAGGAATTCAAAGCCTTTCCAGAATCCTTCGCCAGCTTTCTGCTAACCCCTCATTGGCCAAGTCTGTGTCCTTTGACCATCCCCCAGCAGCATGAGAGTGGGAAAGTAAAATGTAGGGTTTTTTTTCTTGTACAAGCCTCTATAATGGAAGGCAACAAGGCAAAATGGGGCTTGGAATGTTTGTTAGCCTAGCCAATTGGTGGTATATGTGCCATTGGTAGTCAGTGGTCGCAGCAGGATGGCAAACCGGGAGGTCTGCCCATGCGTGCAGCTCTAACCATCAGGCTCTACTGCACAACAGTGGTGCTAGTTGTTCTGTGGTGAGTAAAAGAGACATGGTCCTGCCTTCATAGAGCCATGAAACAAATAGGTACACACATAAATATACAATTTCAAATTCCTGTAAACGTTAAAAGATAGAATATCAAACTTTAAAATATTAAAATTAACTAACAGTGTCTCATTATTATCTTCATGGGCTCTGAGAAGCCCAGCAGCCAATCTTGAGAACTGATGCCCTATATATAGAAGCCCTTCATCCTGGTTCATGGATTGCAAGACTTATTATTGTGGAAGTATCCACACTACCGAAAGTAATCTATAGATTCAGTGCAATTCCTATTAAAATCTCGATGGCATTTTTTATAGAAATAGGCAAAACAATTCTAAAATTTATATGGAAATACAAAAGCCCCTGAGTAGCCGGAATAATTTTGAGAAAGAACAAAGCTAGAGGCATCACACTTCCTGATTTCAAAATGCATTACAGAGCAACCATAATTAAATCACTTTGGTATTGGCATAAAGACAGACTATAGACCAATAGAACAGAATCAGGAGCCCAGAAATAGACCCACGTATATATGATCAATTGATCTTTGACAAGGGTGCCAAGAATATACAATGGGCAAAAGATGGTTTCTTTAACAAATAGTGTTGAGAAAACTGGCTCTCCAACTGCAAAAGAATGAATTTGGATCCATATCTTACACTGTACACAAAAATCAATGCCAAGTAGATTAAAAACTTAAATGTAAGACTTGAAACTGTGAAACCACTGGGAGAAAGCATAAGGGAAAATCTTCATGACATTGATCTTGGCAAGGATTTCATAGATATGACACCAAGAGCACAGCGACAAAAGCATAAATACGCAAATGGGACTACATCAGACTAAAACGCTTCTGTGAGCAAAGGAAACAACAGAATGAAAAAAACTACCATAGAATGGGAGAAAACATTTGCAAACTATGTAATGGAGAAGGGGTTAATTTCTGAAATATACAAGGAACTCTTAAAACTCAAGAGCAAAAATACTAATAACCTAATTAAATCGGGGCTCAAGACCTGAAAAGACATTTTTCCAAAGAAGACATACAAATGGCCAACATGAATGTGAAAAGATGCTCAACATCACCTAATCAGGAAACTGTAAATCAAAACCACAATGAGATATCACCTCACATCTATTAGGATGGCTATCAAAAAGCCAATGTTCTCATCACAAAAAAAAAAAGAGAGATAAGTACATGAAGTGTCGGCTATGTTAATTAGCTTGATTGAATCATTTTACAATGTATGCATATATCAAAACACCATGTTGTACGCTGTAAATATATACAATCTTTGTCAACTATGCTTCAGGCTGGGGGAAGCTGGGGTTTAACAGACAAAAAGCTCCGAGGAAAAGAGAAAAGTGTTGGTGAAGTTGTGGAGACATTGGAACCCTTGCATACTGTTTGTGGGAATGCAAAATGGTGCTGTTGCTATGGAAAATAGTATGGCAGTTCTTCAAAAAGTGAAGAACAACACTGCTATATAATAAAATCAATCCCACTTCTGGGTCTATATCCAAAGGAAAGTAAATAAGTATCTTGAAGAAATATCTGTATCCCCATGGTCATTGCAGCATTATTCGTAATAGTCAAGGTATGGAAACAACCTAAGTGTCCATCACAGGTGAATGGATAAAGACAATATGTATGCATAAAAAGAAAATCTTATTCAGTCTTTAAAAAAAGAAGAAAATCCTGCCATTTGCAACAACATGGATGAATCTGAAGGACATCATGCTAAAAGAAATAAGCCAAATGAAGAAAGATAAATACTGTCTGATTCTACTTATATGTGAAATCTAAAAAAGTTGAACTCTTAGAAACAGAGAGTAGAAATTGGTTACCAGAGATCCAGAGGTAGGAGAAATAGATGTTGAGCAAAGGATGTAAACTTTCTGTTGTAAGATGAATTAAGTTCTAGGGATCCAATATTAGTACAGCATGATAATTACGGTTAATAATACCATACTGCATGCTTGAAATTTGCTCAGAAAGTAGATATTGTATGTTCTCACCACACACACACAAATGGTAATTATGTGAGATGACAGATGTGTCAATTAACTGGATTGTGGTAATCATTTCACAACTTAAATTATCACATAGTATACCTCAAATATATACAATTTTTGTCAATTATACCTCAAAAAAGCTGGGAAAAATTAAAAATATTGAAAACATAGAACTACCAGATGATCCAACAATCCCACTTTTCGGTATTTATCTAAAATAACTGAAACTGGGGCCTGGCATGGTGGCTCATGCCTATATTCCCAGCACTTTAGGAGGCTGAGACAGGAGGATCGCTTCAGTCTAAGAGTTTGAGATCATCCTGGGCAACATAGTGAGACCTCGTCTCTACAAAAAATAAACAAAAATTAGCTGAGCATGGTGGTCTATACTCCCAGCTACTCAGGAGACTGACGTGGGAAGATCACTTGAGCCCAGGAGATTGAGGCAGCAGTGAGCCGAGATGGCGCCACCACTCCAGCCCGGGCAACAGAGCGAGACCCTGTCTCAAAAAAAATAAACACAAAAAACTAAAATCAGGATCTCAGAAATATTAGTATCCCACTGTTCACTGCAGCACTATTCAAAAAAAACAAGATGTGGAAATAACCAAAATGTTCATCAATGGATGAATACGTAAATTGGAATATTATATACACACACACATGCACGCGCGCACACACACACACACACAGCGGAATATTACTCAGCCTCAGCCTTTAAAAAGAAGAAAATGTTGACATATATAATAGGAATGAAACTTGATGACATTATGCTAAGTGAAATAAGCCAGTCACAGAAGAACAAATACTGCAAGATTGCACTTTGAGGAGGTATCTAGAATAGTCCATTTCACATAATGCGAGAGTAGAATAAATGGTGGTTACCAAGGACTGGGGTGCAAGGATGGGAAATTGCTAATCAACAGGGGTGAAGTTTCAGTTATGCAAGATGAATAAATTCTAGGGATCTGCTGTACAACCTGTGCCTCTAGTTAACAGTATTGTATTATGCACACAATTTTTAAGAGGGTAGACCTCATGTTGTGTTCTTATCACAGCATAATAAAATTTTCTTTAAAAAAGAAGGCCCTGGCCGAGCACGGTGGCTCATGCCTGTAATCCCAGCACTTTGGGAGGCCAAGGCAGGAGGATCACTTGAGGCCAGGAGTTCTAGACCAGCCTGGCCAACATGGTGAAACCCCGTCTCTACTAAAAGTACAAAAATTAGCCAGGCATGGTGGTGGGCACCTGTAATCCCAGCTACTCAGGAGGCTGAGGCAAGAGAATTGCTTGAACCCGGAGGGAGAGGTTGCAGTGAGCTGAGATTATGCCACTGCACTCCAGCCTGGATGACAGAGCAAAACTCCATCTCAAAAAAAAAAAAAAAAAAAGGAAAAAGAAAAAGAAAAGAAAAGAAGGCCCTTCACCTGACTTCTCTGAAGCCCTTCACTACCCTCCCCTATCTCTATAGTCCATTCTGTTTGTCACTATTTTTGTTGTTGTTCATGTACATTATTTTTTTCTGCCTTTTCTATTTTTTCCTTACTCTCCTCTCTGTTTCTCTTCTTCCTTTCCTCTTCTTCTACCCACCCGTTTCTTAGCATTTTACTGGACATTCCAACATAAGAAGAGGGATTGGGCTTTATTCTTGTAAACTGAAATTTTTCCTATCTTGGCTTCTAAAGAGTTAGGAAGAGATCATCACTCTCGTAAAATTTGCAGTGTGAAATTTCAAGCCCCAGAGAATATCCACCTAGCCTCCTTCACACTGTGGGAGAAGAGAATGAAACGAGAATTGTTAGGAGAAGCAGTTGTAGCCACTGCGTGTTTCCCCTGGTTATAGTCAACCCAAGCCATGCAGACTTGGAGAGCCCAGCCCAACCACATGCCCTTCACACGCGGTGCCGGCTGGAAAGCACCAACCTTGTAGCCCGATGCATCCCATCTGCTGAACAGTTAGTTTACTAGGAGAAGACAACCAGCTCTTAGGTTAGAATAGCAGAAACTTTTCCATTCCCCTTAGATCCTGACTTTTTTCTTTTGATACCTAATAAATCATAGATATAAAGAGTTAACCTTTGGCCTAGAATCAGGGTTTACTAAAGTTTGGTATTTTATAACCTTTTGCAAAAACATAAAGTATCCTTTCCCAGAATATTTGCTATTTATCTGACCCAAATCCCAATGTAATATACGTAACATCTGTCATCACCACCAAGATGCGGAGACCCAGTTGGTTCAGCAATGGGAAACAGAATGACCAGGGCACGCTGTAACCACATAAGCTACTTTGCTCCAAAAACAAAATTGATTAGAAACGCCAGTTTGTGTGCCCACAGATTTATATTGAATACAAAGGTCAAGCTGCTAATGTAGCCCCTTGGCTGTGCTCTGCAGAGTTCCCTAGTCTTGCTCACCGAAAGTTGACTCTGCCATGAATGCAGATGAATTGCTGCAGTTTACCTTGCTCACTGACTTTCACAGGAAATTTAAAGCTCCAGTTGCACGGTGTATCTCAGCAGCCAAATGTTTAACTCTGCCTGTGCTTTTCTAGATGCAGCAGTGTGCTAGTTGGTAAGTATTTGGTGGGCAGGGACTTCCCTTCAAGGACTTAGGGACAGCTTTGTCTGCTGAAGATTAACAATTACTATTTCTATTATGACCCACAAAGAGATTATAACCACTGATTTTACTTTAAGGCCTATCTCAGCAATTAACAATTTAGCAATAGTAAAGTGTAGGGATCATGCAATAAATGAAAAATCCACTAGGTGGTTCTAGTGTTCTTCTAACCAGAAATGAGCAGTGTTAACGAGCTCGTTCCATCACTTCGTATCCCAAAGGCAAAGCAAAATATAAAAACGAACATGATTTTTGTTATTTAACATTCATTCTAGATTATATGTGAATATATTAGTATATGCAGTGATTGCTCAGAGACTAAGCTTCTCTAGAGTGCTGAGGATTTTTTTCTGCCTCTTTTTTACATAGACACATGAAGGCTACATTTCAACCTTTTAACCTTATTTTTATGGTTAATAAAACATTAATTTATGTACCTAAGCCCTTATGGCACATAGACCACCATTTTATCACCACTCATTTGTCAATGTCCCTCATATAAGGACACAAGCTTTCAAATGAAGAAATATGTTGTCTTACTTGCAGCTTTTCTCCAACTTAAAGCAATACAGTTCTCATTTATAAAATGCTCAGTCATTGGTTTCATTAATATTTTCAGTAACCTTATTTAAATTTGATCCAGGTTTACATGTTCCTCTTAGAAACCTTATTAGAAAATGTCTTATGGTTTAGAATATAATAATAATATATAAGTAAACCTAACTTTTTAAATGTGCTTAAGTCACCCTGGCTCCAAAAGTAATCTCAAAGTCTTAATCCCTTGTCATATTTCCCTTCAAATCCTCCAATTCCAGTGTCTTTCTGGTTAATTACAATTATCATGAAGTGTCAGATGTCTTCCCCCAAAGCAGTCTGGGTAAATTCCCACAGTGCCAGACACAGTGCTGAATTCTCAGAACAGATGACAGTTGTTCCCTTCCTGCCACATTGGAAAAGTGGCACAAGGACAGGTTATACATGGAACACCAGACAAATATCCATTCGCCCTTGAAAAGGTTCCAAACCAGAAGACAGGCCAAGGCAGTATTCATGAACATTATCAGGGGTAATTAAAATGACTGCTGGTTTTTATTCTAAGAGAAAAGAAACATGACAAAAAATGAAATAAATGCAAGCTCTAAAGAACCTTGAAATGAACCATTTTAACAAAGAAATTAGGAAAATCTTAACAATAATTATTTACATACATTGAAAACATTTAAGTGTCCGAAGATTGAACACAAATGTAGCTCTCTGAGGTGGCAGGAATCATAAACACTAGGCACTTTCTAAGTGCTTGTTGGTTACTTACTATTCCAGTTAAATGTTTAAAAATTTTGAAGCCTGGGCCAGGCGCGGTGGCTCATGCCTGTAATTCCAGCACTTTGAGAGGCCGAGGCAGGCAGATCACGAGGTCAAGAGATCGAGACCATCCTGGCCAACATGGTGAAACCCCATCTCTACTAAAAATACAAAAAATTAACTGGGCACACCTGTAGTCCCAGCTACTTGGGAAGCTGAGGCAGGAGAACCGCTTGAACCCAGGAGGCAGAGAGTGCAGTGAGCCAAGATCACGCCACTGCACTCCAGCCTGGTGACAGCAAGACTTGTCTCAAAAAAAAAAAAAAAAAAATTGCAAACACTGGGAAGATGGTAATTTTTAATATTTAGTTTTTTAATGACAAATTATAATTCTTGTTTTATTTAACTCAAGCAACTCATCAATATACGGAATACAAAGTGAAAGGATCTCCTTGCTATGTTCCTACTGCCTTCTACCTGCCCAATCCTGGTCCCCAGTGAAAGAGATAACCTTTTACCAATAGCTTGGTATATATCCTTTTAGTAATTTTATATGGCTGTTAGCATACATGGTACACTTTTGGTATACTGATGGGTATATTTGGGGTAAAATTTTATAGTGTTTTTTGCATATTTCTTTTAAATAAAAATCAGAATATATTGTCTATGTTGTTCTAGTCCTTGCATTTGCTCACTTAATTTTTAGTAAACATCTATCCAATCAGTAAATCTATAATCTGGTTAAAGCTATGACTAACATAGCCCATCTGAAAGTAGTGTGAGAGGTAAACAAATACTACCCAGCAACCAAACAGTAATTCCAACACTATCTCAAGGTCTTTACTTCAGTTATCAACAAACACTGGGAAGTGTTCATCATTCACATGGTAATTCTTTTTTTTTTTTTTTTTTTTTTTTTTTTTGAGATAGAGTCTCGCTCTGTCACCCAGGCTGGAGTGCAGTGGTGGGATCTTGGCTCACTGCAAGCTCCGCCTCCCGGGTTCATGCCATTCTCCTGCCTCAGCCTCCCAAGTAGCTGGGACTACAGGCGCCCACCACCATGCCCAGCTAATTTTTGTATTTCTAGTAGAGATGGGGTTTCACCATGTTAACCAGGATGGTCTGGATCTCCTGACCTCGTGATCCACCTGCCTCGACCTCCCAAAGTGCTGGGATTACAGGTGTGAGCCACCACACCCAGCTGGTAATTCTTAATACCTTCTTTCTGAACCAATCTGGCCAGCAGAACCCTCTCTGAAGAGCTGTGGAGGGGAAGAATCTGGGTGGATAGACTCTTTTCAGTGGGGTGAAGAGGAGAAGTGCTGGGAACACTCAGACACTAATGTATTTTGTCCTCATATATATGACATTGGAAATTTAAATTCCTTGCATGAAAAGCAAATCTTTTCATCTTCCCATGCTCAGAGACACTGAAGGTTCTTGTGTAGCTACTGATTCACATCCAGAGTCCCTTCACGATGATGACAGTAATTCGTGAATGTTTATTCCCTTTCCTCTTCAACTTGGAAACAGTTTGACCCTTTCAGGTCTTTCTTTTAAGCTTGGTAAGGTGGAACTAGCATAATTTAGTGTAGGGCTAATTTTTCCCCACCGAGTCAAAATTCTTCTGAATATTCTACCCAATGTCCCATGAGTTATGATTTGGGGACAGGAACTATTCCAGCCCCAGATGAGTTCCAGCAATTGTTCCCTCTAGTCCTTCGGTAGTTCTTTCCCCAGCCATGGCTAGTTTCTGCACATGTATATACTAATCTGTTTTCCTCTGATGATTCAAGGGAACCCTCTGACTGTCTGTGAAGCTCTTTCTCGCTCCCTGTGCAGAGTACTCTTGTCCTCTTCCCTGTACTCTGATTGCATTGGTCTCCCTGGACTCTCAGTGCTGTGTTCCAACTGCAGGCTGCAGGGGTCAGGTATCACCTTCCTGAGCATCAAGCCTGGGAACTCTTTCTCTCGATTATAAAGTGGGGCAACTATATGGTTCCTCGCAGGGATCACTGCCTTTCATTCCATGAAGTCCAATGTCTTACAATCCATTGTTTTACATATTTAGATACATTTTTTAGTTGTTCTACATTGGATGGTAAATCTTTTCCTCTTACTCCATCTTAGCCAGAAACTAGAGTCCACCCATTGAGAACCACTGGCCTGCTAATCAAAAGTTCCAGAGCCTGAGAACCTGGGTTTCATTCCAATTCTGCTACTTAATTGCCGTAGAACCTTTGACAAGTCATTTAGCGTTCTTACACAGAGTTTACTCTCTTTTTTTTAATTTTTTAAATTTTTTTTAGTAGAGATGGGGTTTCACCATGTTGGCTAGGCTGGTCTTGAACTCCTGACCTCAGGTGATCCATCTGCCTTGGCCTCCCAAAGTGCTGGGATTACAGGCGTGAACCACCATGCCTGGCCAGCTTCCATATTTTTAAAATTAGGGCAATAATAGTATTCCATAGGTTGCTTGTAATAATTAAATATGTTAATACAGGGCATATGTTTAAAACAGTCTGGTACATGGTAAGACTCAATATATGTCGGGTAGTACTACCATTATCAAAATAGTAAAGGTTATAGCATTATTAAAAATATTAGATAAATCAGACATTTTACTCAAGAAATATTTTTGAAACACAAACCACATGTGCTGAGACATAATTTTCTTGGCTAAAATAGCACTTACTATTTCATATAGCCTCTTTAACTCATTCACTCAGAAAATTTAAAACAAGCTATACATTAATTACTGTTTTCTTCACAATTTACACAAGCGTTATGGTTGAATTTTATCCTCCAACAATACATAAATTGAAGTCCTAATCTCCAGTACCTCAGAATGTGACTGTATTTGGAGATGGGATCTTCAAAGAGGTGATTAAGCAAAAGCGAGGTCATTAGGGTAGGCCCTAATCCAACACGACTGGTGTCCTTATAAGAAAGAGGAAATTGGGACATAAACATGCTCAGAGGGAAGTCCGTGTGAAAACACAGGGAGAAGGCAGCCGTCTGCAAACCAAGGAGAGAGGCTTTAGAAGCAGTCAGCCCTGCCGACACCTTGACCTTAGACTTCTAACCCCCAAAACTGTGAGAAAAGAAACTTCTATCACTTAAGCCACTCAATCTTTTACCCAGGATGGAGTGCAGTGGTACGATCTTGGCTCACTGCAACCTCCGCCTCCTGGGTTCAAGCGATTCTCTCCTGCCTCAGCCTTCCGAGTAGCTGAGATTACAGGCACGCACCACCATGCCCAACTAATTTTTGTATTTTTAGTAGAGACGGGGTTTCACCATGTTGGGCCAGGCTGGTATTGAGCTCTTGACCTCAGGTGATCCACCTGCCTCAGCCTCCCAAAGTGCTGGAATTACAGGCATGAGCCACCGCACCTGGCCTAACCACTAAATCTTGATGCTTTGTTATGGCAGCCCTAGCAAACTAAAACAAGAAGTATCCCTAGTAATTAGAACTTAATAAGGTCACAAATTATGAACTTCATGATCCACTATCCTTATGTTACAGGGGAAGTTTTTAAACCTCATGGAAACTCCATTATACATAAGTATGGGGATAAATAATAATTAATGGTTCTGCTTGTATCATACGACGCTGTGGGAATCCACATATATGTACATATAGATATGTATATCACACACACACAAAAGTACTTTAAAAACAGGAACATTGTGTAAAAGTAAGAGTGTTTTAATTAATTACAATGTGATAGTTAATAAATTAGTTTTATATAAAAATTACTTCATTACTTTCAACATAACTATAACTTTGCCATTTCAACTCATATTCCTACGAATAGGACTGAAACGAATACACTAGACCTCCATTAGGAAGATTAAATATCATTTTGTATACAGTTAGTAAATTTCACAGGGAAAATTAATGTAACAATTAATGTTAATTAGATTTTAAACAGAGTTGAAAGTATTCTATAATTCACAGCTTTATCCTACACAATAATCATCATTTTTCTTTCAGCATTTAGCCAAAGAATTGACTCCTTAATTACCAAAATATATCACACATGAAGAATAAAATCTTGCCTACAGCTCACTGTTTTTTGGAGTATTTTCGAAAGCCGCTTGTGTTCATTTGTTGGTAAAGAAACAAAAACATCATTCAATTAAGTTCCAAGCAATAAGAAAAGCCTTTGATGGCTGATAAATATACGAAATGGAGAGGGTAAAGCAAATGCTATCAGCTTGGCCCATAAAGGAGAGGAACATTTCAAAAGAACCAACTACAGGCTGGGCACAGTGGCTCAGGCCTGTAATCCCAGCACTTTGGGAGGCCAAGGCGGGCGGATCACTTGAGGCCAGGAATTGGAGACCAGCCTGGCCAACATAGCGAAACCCCATCACTACTAAAAATACAAAAAATTAGCCAGGCATGGTGGCGTGCAGCTGTAATACCAGCTACTCAGGAGGCTGAGGTGTATGAATCGCTGGAACCTGGGAGGTGGAGGTTTCAGTGAGCTGAGATCATGCCACTGCACTTCAGCCTGGGCAATGGAATGAGACTCTCTCTCAAAATAAATAAATAAGAAATTAAATTTTTAAAAAAAGAATCAACTATGAAGAAAACAGCCTTTTCTATTACCCAAATGTGATTGGGTTCATTGATATTCAGAGCATTTCATGCTTTAAATATATAAAGAAGAGAACCATTTAAAAATATTCTCTTATATACAAATAAGTAGGCCCAAGGCTTCAAAACAAGTCAAAGAGGGACATTCCCTCATAGCCTTTAAAGCCCAGAAAGATTGTGTAGATGAGGTAGAAACTTCAGAAACTACTTGAGGGAAAAAATAAAAAAGATGAGAACAAGACAGGCATCATAGATCCTTGCTCGTGGAGCTTTCATTCTAGTGAAGAGAAACAGACCATAAGCAGGTTAGCAAGTAGATAATTTCAGGTAAGGAAAGTGTCATGAATGAAATCAAACAGGCTAGTGGACTGGGGTAGGAGTGAAGCAGTATTTCAGTTTGGGTCACCAAGGAAGTTCTCATTAAGGAGGGTGTAGTAGTCCATTCTCACACTGCTAAAAGATACTACCTGAGACTGGGTAATTTATAAAGGAAAGACGTTTAATTGACTCACAGTTCTGCATGGCTGGGGAAACCTCAGGAAACTTACAATCATAGCAGAAGGCGAAGGGGAAGCAGGCACCTTCCTCACAAGGCAGCAGCACAGAGAAGAGTGAAGAAAGAACTTCCAAACACTTATAAAACCATCAGATCTCAGGAGAACTCACTATCACAAGAACAGCATGAGGGAAATCACCCCCAGGATCCAATCACCTCCCTCCCTTGACACATGGGGATTACAGGTCCCTCCCTGGACATGTGGGATTAAAATTTGAGATGAGATTTGCATGGGAACAGAGAGCCAAACCATATCAGAGGGCACAATGATCTGACTTCTGAATAATAAAGGAGGCAGCCTTGCCAAGATTTAAAGAAAGAGTCTTCCAGGCAGAAGACACAACAATTGTAAAAGCCGTGGGACAGAAAAGAGTGTGGCATTTTGAGGAACACAAAGAAGGTCCGTGTGGCTAGAATTTGGTGAATGTCAGGAAGATAAGTTTAGAGAGGTGGGCAGGAACCAGATGGTACAGGTAGGTCCTATCCATCAGTTTAAGACCATCTGTCCTGTAACCTACCCCTGCCCCATTCTCTACAACCTCTGCAGAGTGATTTGTCTGTGCCATCCATCTGTCACTTCCTACACACTGTCTTCTATTATTATCTTTTTCATATAAATATTCTATTTTCCCAGCCACATTTCCTAACAGCAAGACTGGATGTTCTTATCTATAGATCTCACAGTACTTTGTTTATAAGTGTTTTGTTAAATTTTGTGTGTGTGTATGTGAATATACAACATGTAGCCAGTAAAGATGAGTGTTTGAGTTTAAGCGCTGGAATCAGACTGCCTAGAATCTAATATTGGTTTCTACTATTTACTAGCTATGCGACTTCAGCAAGTTAACTTCCCAGTGATTTGGTTTCCTCATCAGTAAATGGGAGAACTAATTGTACCTGCTTCGTAGGGTAGTTGTGAACATTAAATAGGTTACCAGATTGTGTAGCACTTAGAATAGTGCCTGAGCATGAAAAACTGTTAGTTACTATTATTATTAGATTGTTAATTGATGTTCAGGTCGTTTGCAAGACAGTCAAAATTAAACATTACATGGTTGTATTTATCTTCAGAGATTCAATGAAAGTACTTGATTTATACTAACACATATTGCATACTAATAATTTAACATTTAAATATTTTACTATTAAGCAACACATAGAACATCCCAAATTCACTGGGAACAAAAAGAGCCATTATATATCTGAAATAAAACCTAACAAGATAAAAGTCCCCTTCTGTGTACCCTATATGCAAACAGCACATCCAAAGGACATATTCTAGCATTTTAAATGTATACCAAATATGGCTTTAGTTATCTTCATGGTACCCCCATTTACTTTTCAACTAATACTATATTAGAGTTTTCTTTGAGTTTTGCCTTTCAGTGTAATGCCTCCCATAATTTTGATCACAGTTTAGCAATTGTTAAACTCAAAGTCACACATGTCAGTGTTCATCCAGAGTCCAAGCTAGCATCCTTGGCATCAGTATTTACTCCTCTCTCTTCCTGAGGTCCCTCATCCATCACACAACCAGTCTCACTGACTTACTTTCAGAAAAGCCTTTTGAATTGCTCCTCTATCACTTATTCAAATACCTCGGTTCAGGTGCAGATCTGGATACCTCACCTGCTGCCACTAGGACAAGCCAACTAAAGACACCATAATCTCAATTGGGTCATGCCATGCATATAGCGCAAGCAGGTGCACACCATAGTCCCAAACCGGTTATGTCACATTTGCAGCAGCTCAGCTCAGCCACCCTAGTGCTTACCTAACAGAAAGGCAAGATATCACCAGACAGTCTGCAACTCAGGTCTTCACTGCCCTAATTTGGAGTAAACAGTTCATGTCTTTGACTTAAAAAGAGCTATCCTATATTTTTCTTTCTCATGCCTCTTTCCTCCAGAGCCCAGACTTTGTGCTGGATCAGATTCCCTTATTGGAAGTAATATTTTCCCACTCAGTACTTTATCTTTGGTTACTTAGTGTTTTTTTTTTTTTCTCTCTCTCTCTCTCTTTATCATCCTGACTCTTGCTGCTGTGCTGATCTCCAGCATCTCTTTTCTCCAGGCCATACTACACCCTAATGCCAGGTTATTTATTTTTCTGTTTCTCTCTTAGAAAAAAAACATTGACTCTTGAATTTTCCATCAGCCTCATTTTTTTGAAAGGAGATAAAACCCAGTGTAAATTTGTCTAAGTTAAAAATCATTTGTTGGGAAAAAAAAAATCAGTAGCGTTTCCGTACCCAAAAAGCAAGCTATCTGAAGAGGAAATTAGGAAAATAATCCTAATTACAATAGCTACAAAAAATATTTAGAAATAAATTTAACCAAGGAGGTAAAAGATCTCTGCACCAAAAACCATAAAACACTGATGAAAGAAATTGAAGAAGACACAAATAGAAAGAGATCTCATGCACATGGATTGGAAGAATTAATATTGTTAAAATGTCCACATTATCCAAAGCAATCTATACATTCAATGCAATCTCTACCAAAATACCAATGACTTTCTTTCTTTTTCTTTCTGTTTTTCTTTCTTTTTCTTTCTTTCTTTCTTCCTTTCTCTGTCTCCTTCCTCCCTCCCTCCTTTCTTTTTTTTATTTTCTTTCCTTCTTTTCCTTCTTTCTCTTTCTTTCTCTTTCTTTCTTTCTTTCCTTCTTCCTTTCTTAAGAGATGGGGTCTTGTTTTGTCACCTAGGCTGCAATGCAGTGGCACAATCATAGCTCACTGCTGTCTTGAACTCCTGGGCTCAAAGGATCCTCCTGCCTCAGCCTCCCGAGCAGCCTGAATGACAGCTACATGCCATTGCACCCAGCTAATTTTTCAAAATCCTGGGTTCAAATGATCCTCCCACCTTGGCCTCCCAAAGTGCTGGGACTACAGGAGCAAGCCACCGTGCCTGGCTCATTCTTCACAGAAACAGAAAAAACAATCCTAAAATTGATATGAAATCAAAAAAGGTCCCAAATAGACAAAGCAATCATGAGCAAAACAAACAAGCAAACAAATTTGGAGCCATCATACTACCTGATTTCAAAATATACTACAAAATAACAGTAACCAAAACAGCCTGGTACTGGCATAAAAATAGACACGTAAACCAATGGAACAAAATAAAGTACACAGAAATAAATTAACACATTTACAGTCAGCTGATTTTTCACAAAGGTACCAAGAAGGCACACTGAGGAAAGGACAGTCTCTTCAATAAATGGTGTTGGGAAAACTGGATATCCAAATGCAGAAGAATGAAATTGGATCCTTATCTCCTACCATATATAAAAATCAACTCAAAATGGATGAAAGCCATAAATGTTAGACCCAAAACTATGAAACTTCTAGAAGAAAACATAGGAGAAAGCTCCATGACATTGGTCTAGGCAATTATTTTTTTTAACATGAACCAAAAGCCCAGGCAACAAAGGCAAGATAGATAACTGGGATTATATCAAACTACAAAGCAGCTGCAAATCAAAGGAAAAAATCAACAGAGTGAAAAGACAACCTACAGAGTGTGAGAAAATATTTGCAAACTATACATCTGATAAGGAGTTAATATTCCAAAACATATAAGGAATTCAGTTAACTCAATAGCAAAACAAAAACACAGCAAAGCCCCAATTTAAAAATAGGCAAAGGATCTGAATTGACATTTCTCCAAAGAACATATACAAAATGGCCAAGAAGTATATGAAAAGGTGCTCAACATCACTAATCATCAGGGAAATTCAAATCAAAACCATAAGGAGATATCACTTCATACCTGTTAGAATGGCTATTATCAAAAAGACAAAAGATAGCAAGTGTTAGTGAGGATTTGGAGAAAAGAGAACCCTGTACACTGTTGGAGAGAATGTAAATTAATACAGCCATGGAAAACAGTATGGAGGTTTCTCAAAAAATTAAAAATATAAGTACCATGTGATCTAATAATCCCACCACTGAGATAATATCCAAAGGAAATAAAATCAGCATCTAAAACAGATATCTGCACTTTGGTGTTCATTGCAGCAGTATTCACAATCACCAAGATATGGAATCAACCTAAGTGTTCATCATGGATGAATGGATAAGAAAAATGTTACATATACACAATGGAGTACTATTTGTCCATAAAAAAATAAGGGAAATCCTGTCATTTGCAACAGCATGGATAAACCTCAAGGACATTATGTTAAGTGAATTAAGAAAGGCACAGAAAGATAAATACTGCATGATCTCACCATATGGAATCTAAAAAAGTTGATCTCATAGAAGTAGAGAGTAGAATGGTGATTACTAGGGGATAAGGTGATTGCAAGGAGGGAATTGGGGAGATGTTGATCAAAAGATAACAAATTTTCAGTTAGATAGGAGGAATAAGTTTAAGAGATCCCTTGTACAACGTGGTGACTATAGTTAATATATTGTATTCTTATAAAATGCTGAAAGTATAAGTAAAGTGTTCTCACCACAAAAATAACTGTGAGATAATGCACATGTTAATTATACTTAGTCATTTCACAATGTATACATGCTTCAAAACATCATGTTGCATGCAATAAATACATACAATTTTATCTGTTGATTTAAACATAGATAAATAATTAAATTACATTTAAAAATAGGAAAAAATCATTTGCTGGTTCTTATAACTGAAAAAGATCTTTAGGCATAGCTCAATCCAAAGACTTAAATAATATTATCAGAAACTTATTGCTGTCCATCACTCCATTTTTCTGTGTTTTGGCTGTTTTAATTCAGGCTCACCCTTTGGGGTGACATAATGGCACCAAGTCAATCTAGTCTTATCTTTTTACAACTTTAGTTCTAACTGCAAAGGGTCCCAAAACAGCTCTTGTTAGAGCTAATAGTCTTTGTTTGAGTTCTGTGACCGGTCCCAAATCAATCATTATAATCCAGGGATATGATGCTGTGATTGTCCAGACCTAGACCATTATAACTCCCTGCTATCTCTGGAGTACCCTCTCCCACATTTCCCACTGAATACATTTTCTGTACCACTTATCACTTTACATGTGAGAGTGGGTATAAAATGTTACTCCTGGTCACTTTGTAAATAAGCTACTTTACCATTATGATTTTTTATGTTGTTGTTGTTATTATTTTGCTACTATTGCAAGAAAAGGTCAAAATCTGTTTTACTTGCCATGTACATACCATTGTAACTGTTACTCTAAAATATTCAGTATAATGGGATACTTTAGAAATATATGTTCCTGAATTACATATTTTATTTTTAATTTTTAAGGAAGTTAAAATTTTAATTTTTAATGAAGTTAAAATTTTAATGAAGTTCATCAGCACAATTTTGACCTATTTATTGCTCAAACTTCTTATCTTGTATGCTATATATCACATTTCTGAGAATAAATTAATCAATTTTTCTTTAAGATTCTGAATGTTTACTTGACACAAAAACATGTGTATCCATTTTTAATGAAAATACTATTTAAATCGCATTCTACTATACTTTTATACCAATTCTGGAATTCAATAAAAAATATGATACAGCCCAAAAAGCAAGAACAAAATTACTCATTTCAAAGGATAAAAACATCAAAAAAATTATACTTAAGAATGGCCCAGGTAAAAATATTAGACATGGGCTTCAAAATAACTATGACTCTAGTCTTAAAAGGTCAGCCAGCCATGGTGGCTCATGCCTATAATCTAAGCACTTTCGGAGGCCAAGGCAGGAGGATCACTTGAGCCCAGGAGATCAAGAACAGTCTGTGCAACATAACAAGGCCCTGTCTCTACAAAAATAAAATAAAATAAAAATCCAGGTGTGGTGATACACACCTGTAGTCCCAGCTATTCAAGAGGCTGAAGTGGAAGGATAGCTTGAGCCTGGTAGGTCAAGGCTGCAGTGACCCATGATTATATCACTGCACTCCAGGCTGGGTGACAGAGCAAGACCCTGTCTCCAAAAACAAAACAAAACAAAAGATCCAGTAGAAGAGATACACAACAAACATTAAAAGTTGGGAAATTTCAGTAGAGAGAAAGTCATTAAAAGTCCAATGGGAATGCTATGAAGGAAGAATATATCAGAGATGAAGAATTCCTTTGATGGGCTCATTATCAGCTTGAACACAGAAGAAGAATATGTCAGAGGACTTGAAGATAAGACAATAAAAATTATCTAAACTAAAATACAAAGAGACAAAAAATGAGAAAAACAAGAGCAGAGCATCCACAAGCTGTGGTAAAATATCACCTGGTTTAACATGTAGAAAAAGGAAAGAGAGAGAAATGCACAGAAGAAATGCCTGAACAGGTAATGACTGAGAATTTCTAAAATTAATAAAGATAACAGACCACAGAGAACACCAAGCAGAATTAATATTTTAAAAACACTGTTTGACATATCATAGACAAATTGCTTAAAACCAAAGATAAAGAGAAAATCTTTCATACAGCCAAAAAAATAGAAATATTATACACAGAACAACAAAAGAATTATTACAAACTTCTTGTTAAAAATAAGTAAGCCAAAAAACAATGGAATAGCATTTTAAAGTGCTAAAAGAAAAAAGAACTGTCAACTCTGAATTCTATAACCAGCAAAAAATATCTCAGAGCTGAAGGAAAAAAGGCTTTTTCAGACAAACAAAAGCAGAGAACATGAATTGATGGCAGATCTGTGCTAAATGAAACATTAGAGGGAATTCTTCAGGCAGTACAAATGACACTACATAGAAATTGGGATTTACACAAAGAAATGAGGAGCACTGGAAATGTTAAAAGTGTAGATAAATATGAGACATGTTTTCTTACTTATTTTTAAAGATTTTAAAAGATAATTGAATGTCTAAAGAAAATATGTAAACAATTTGTTGAGAGGTTTACAACATCTTAGAAGTAAAATGAAAGACAATAGTATCATTCAAAGGATAAAAGAGGAAAATGGAAGTTATGAGTTTTATACTATATGTGAAATAATATATATTATTATATTATTTGAAGTAGGGTGTTATTTGTTAAGATGAATAATGTAAACCCTAGAGCAACCACTAAAAATAATAAAACAAAAATGTGTAACTAATAATCCAATCCTGAAAAATAAAATGTAATCATAAAAATACTTATCAAAAAACGCAGGAATAAGGAAAAGAAGAGAAAATAAATTGGATAAAAAGACATAGAAAGTTGGGAAACTAAACTAAAAATATTGATAATTACATTAAATGTAAATGATCTAAATATCATCTTAAAAAGCAAGGCTTCAGTATGGTCAATATAGCAAGATCTCTTCTCTGCAAAAAAAAATTTTTTAATTAGCCAGGAGCAGTGGTACATAACTGTAGTTCCAGCTATTTAGGAAGCTGAGGTGGGAAGACCACTTGAGCCCAAGAGGTTGAGGCTGCAGTGAGCCACGATGTCACCACTGCATTCCAACCTGGGCAACAGAGTGAGACTGTCTCAAAATAAAATAATAAATAAAATAAAATTTAGGGCTTGTCATATTGGATAAATAAAAGCCAAACCACATATATTTGTCTACAAGAACTTCCATTCATTTTTTGTTTATCTATTCATTGATTGATTGAGACAGTCTCACTTTGTCACCCAGGTTGAAGTACAGTGGCACAATCATAGTTCACTGCAGCCTTGACCTCCCAAGCTCAAGCAATCCTTCTACCTCAGCCTCCCAGGTAGCTGAGACTATAGGCACACACCACCATGCCCAGCTAATTTTTTTAATTTTTTGCAGTGTTGGGGTCTCACTATGTTGCCCAGGCTGGTCTTAAACTCCTGGGTTCAAGCAGTCCTCCTGACTCAGCCTCCTAAAGTGCTGGTATTACAGGCATGAGCCACCATGAGCCACAGAAAACCCATTAAAATATAAGGAAATAGGTTAAAAAAATCTGGGCTTTGAGAATGCTGTCAGTGCGGACTAAGAAAGAAGTGAGAAACATATTATTAGAAATGCAGGAAGGGAGAGTCTTGTTATGTAGTGGCCAAATAGCTAGCAAAGTTGCATCTTGCAGTTATGTGGAAAGCAGAATTTGTAAACAATGAACTTTAATATATAGCTAAGGAGATTTCCAAGAAAGGTGTTAAAGCTACAGCCTGATTTCTCCTTGTTGCTTATAGTAAATTGTGAAAGGAGAGAGATAAATTGAGGGAAGAACTTTTAAACAGAAACCAGAGTAGATAATTTAGAAAATTCACAGCCTCTCCAGATGGCAAAAGGATGCTAAAAGTCATAAATGGCTGCTAAAACAGTGGCATAAAGAAAAGTCTGAGTGTATACTATACAGTTCTTTGTTGAAAACTCAGAAATATCAAAAGGCCAGAGTATTTTACCACACAAACTACCCTTCCAGGAGATTAAGGGTGTTTCTCACAGATCTTCTCAGTTAAACCAGAGGACCTCTGGGCTTAAGGGTTCTGTCCCTCAACCATTTCAGTAGAAGCCAAAAATAGAGAAGGGATTATCTCAAAAGACTTGTCAGCATGTGTTCTGTATGATGCAGTGAATCACTGTGATATCCACAGGAGATCCAGAAAGTTCTTGAGAAAATTGTATCAGCAGAAATACTACCAGCTGGACCAAAAGGGACAGAGAGAGTATAAAATGAAAAGAGACTCTTACATCTGCTCAAATTCTACTGCGAGAAGCAGGGAGATAAAACTATTCATCTACTCTTTATGAAAAAAGAAAGTTGACTCAGAGGGTGAAACCAAAAGTGGAGAGGGAGGAGCTGAGAGCTAAAGAGAATTATTCCCAGGCCTTGAAACTCAGTGGAGTTTTCCCAACCAGTTTTGCTCCACTGGATTTCAACACTGCTTTGGATTGCTGACTCCTTTTTATATTCCATCTGGTTTAGATTATTCAGATGATTTATTGAGATTTTAGACTTTGAACTGATGCTGTAATGGAATCAAAGCACTAGGAACCTTGGGAAGTGGTGAATATATTTTACCTATGAAACAGTAGTGAATCATGGGGCCAGTCTGGCTATCAGTAAACTAGAGTAGGCAGAATTCTATAGATGACCCTCATAACTTTAATCGCTGGAATTATTCTTGTGACTATGGTGCATTATATGACAAAAGGGAGATTGCCTGGATATGCTTAATCTAATCACATTAGCTCTTTATATATTGACTTTTATCCAACTCAGAGAGATTTTAAGCATGAGAGGAATTTGATGCAAAGGAGGGTCTCCATTGATAAGTGGAGGGGGCTATGGGACAAGGATCTGAGAGTGGCCTCCAGGAGCTGAGAGTGGTCCTTAGCAGCTAACAGACAGCAGGAAAAGGGGCTTCAGTCTGTAACTGCCAATAACTGAATGTTTCCAACAGCCTGAAAAAGCCTGGAAGCAGATTTTTCCACAGCGCCTCTAGATAAGAGTCAGCCCAGCTGAAACTTTGATTTTAGACTGGTGAGACCCCAAGTAGAGAACCCATCCAGGCCCACCTGGATTTCTGACCTATAGAGCTATGATCTAATATGTGGATATTGTTTTAAGCCAGTAAATTTGTGACAATTTGCTGTGCAGCAATATAAAACTAATACAGATGAGGAACAACCAGAACATTTGTACACACAGTTGGTGGCAGAACAAGTCAATATAACCACTCTAGAAAACAATTTGGCATAATCTACTAAAGTTTAAAATGTGTATACCTTATGAGCCAGCAATTCATCACCTATGTATATAATCTGACTAAGTGTTGCATGTGTGCACCAGGAACTTATGCAAGAATTTTCATGGCAGTATAAAACCTAAATTTCAAAATTCAACAACGGTAAAATGAATTATGTATATTCATACAATAGAATTCCATACAGTGATGAAAATAAATTAAGTTTATACAAACTATGATTACAATGATATGAATTAACCTCAGGAACATAATGTGGTATGAAAAATTGAAGAAGGATATATGCAAATGATTCCATTTATATTAGGTTCATGCATTCAAAAATATGCAAACCCTAACAATATATATTGAAGTGACAAGCAAATGTGTTAAAACTTTTAAGAAAAGCAAAAGGATGATAAAAACAAAATTCAAGAGAGTAGTCATTTCTAAGAGGGAGGGAAGTAGTCATTTCTAAGAGGGAGGGAAGGGATCAGGAGGGGGTACCCAGAAGACATTAGAGATAAAAATAAAGTTATTTTTCTTACACCAGTGGTGGGCACACAGATGATCATTGTAGTTTCACTTCTCTTACTCTTGCTACTCCAAAGATAGTCTGCAGAGCAGAAACATTGTCCTCACCTGGATTTTTTTTTTTTAGAACTACAGAGGTAGGCCCCACCCCAGACTCCTGAATCAGAATCTGCATCTTAACAAGATCTCAGGTGATTTGTTTGCACATTAAAGTTTCAGAAGCACTACTTTTAAGTTTACATATATTTTTATAGCATTCTTCTGTATCTAATAAGCATTTAATAAAAATTATTTTAAAGTATTGATTCACATTTGATATCACATTCCACTTATATCAGTGACTAGATCTTTGAAATACCCAATTTCTTTTTCTTATAATTACCCCTGTAGACTTTTCTATGAAATGACTGCAACAACATACTCCATCTAGCGCTCAGTTTAATGTCCTTTATAAAGTAGCCATTTAATTAATGGTTGGTGACTGATGATTAACTGGTATTTCATATCAGATACTCCTTCCCTTAGGAAAATCCGTTCAGTATCTCAGCAGACTAAAGTAGCCTCTTTTAACAAGACACGAATATTATCAATCAACTTACTTACATCATATTACATTTGACATTAACTGCTCAGGAGTTTTCTTTGATAATTATGATTAATCATTTAAGGTCTCATGGTTTCTGTAAGAATTATTTCATCTAAGGGTATCTAAAACAGATTTGGGAAATAGGCTTTGGGCTGTTAATGGAGTATCAAAATTTGTCCCTAACCTCCCATTAAAAACTGAACAATATGCTGGGCACAGTGGCTCACGCCTGTAATCCCAGCACTTTGGGAGGCCAAGGCGGGTGGGTCACCTGAGGTCAGGAGTTTGAGACCAGCCTGGCCAACATGGTGAAACCCCGTCTCCACTAAAAATACAAAAATGAGCCAGGCGTGGTGGTATGCGCCTGTAGTTGCAGCTACTCGGGAGGCTGAGGCAGCAGAATCCCTTGAACCCAGGAGGCGGATGTTGCAGTGAGCTGACATCGTGCCATTGCACTCCAGCCTGGGCGACAGAGTGAGACTCTGCCTCAAAAAAGCAAAAGCAAACAACAAAAAACAAAAGAAAAAAAAACTGAACAATAGCCGGGCATAGTGGTGTTTGCCTGTAATCCCAGCACTTTAGGAGGCTGAGGTGGGAGGATCGCTTGAGGCCAGGAATTCGAGGCTGCGGTGAGATGGCTCCTGAGTAGCTGGGACCACAGGCATGTGCCACCATGCCCAGCTAATTTTTTTTATTTTTAGTAGAGACAGAGTCTCACTATGTTGCCTAGGCTGGTCTCAAACTCCTGAGCTCAAGCAGTCCTCCCTCCTCAGCCTCCCAAAGTGCTGGGATTACAGATATGAGCCACCATGCCTGGCCTAAAAAAAAAAAATTTAACTGAACAAAATATATGGTGCAGCTGTTTTCAAACATCAGATTGTAGGCAGCTTAGGGCTGTGATCTCTGAGAGGAAGAAGACAAAAAAAGTGATTTCTACAATTGCCCCAGGTTTCTTCCAGGAGGCAATTTATGGTCCATAAGCAGAGGGAAGGGTAACCCAAAACAGCTTGGATTTACTTCCTGGCTGACTCAGAAGACAGAGACTGGAGTTTGGAGAGGCTCAGGCTAGAAGCTGAGGGGCAAATATCTAGAAACTTGGACTTTAGATCTGGATTTTTGTTTGGCTTCCTGCCAAAACCAAAATTAATATTTTTTAAGGAAGTCAAAATCCAGATGACCTGGCATTTATAATCTTCAGCATTCTATCAAAAATTACTAGACAAGATACAAGAAAATGTGACATATTATGAGGAGGAAAAAAGCATTAAATAGAAATAGATTCAGAAATGACAGAGATAATGGAACTAGCATACAAGAATGTTAAAATACCTATGTGCGGCCGGGCGCGGTGGCTCACACCTGTAATCCCAGCACTTCGGGAGGCCGAGGCGGGCAGATCACGAGGTCAGGAGATCTAGACCATCCTGGCTAACACGGTGAAACCCCGTCTCTACTAAAAATACGAAAATGAAAAATTAGCTGGGCGTGGTGGCGGGTGCCTGTAGTCCCAGCTACTCGGGAGGCTGAGGTAGGAGAATGGCGGGTACCTGGGAGGCGGAGCTTGCAGTGAGCCGAGATTGCGCCACTGCACTCCAGCCTGGGGGACAGAGCGAGACTCCGTCTCAAAACAAACAAACAAACAAAAAAACCTATTTGCAAGTATTTAAAGGAAAACATGAAATGAGGAGAGAAATTGAGGATATTTTTTAAAGCCCAAATGTGATTTCTACAGACAAAAATAAAACAGAATATCTGACATGAAAACGTGACTATTTGGATTAAGAATATCTGACATGAAAATGTGACCATTTGGATTAAAAGAAAAAGCCCATGAACTTGAAGACATAGTAAGAGAATCATCCAAAATGAAGTATGTAGAAAAAAAGAGTAGTGAAAAAATTAGCAGAGCCTAAGTGACCTGTGGAATAATATCAAGCAGTCTAACATGTATATTTGGGGGAAAAAAGGACACATTAAAAAATGGATGGGGGATAATATCTCAAGAAATAATGGCTACCAAATTATGTAAATTTGGTGTGACTACAAACCCACAGATCCAAGAAATTCAACAAACCTCAAGCAAGATAAGCGCACGCACACACATACACACATATGCAGCTTACACATAATTACACATATTAACCACAGCATAATTAAATTGCTAAAAAAAAAAAATCTAAAAGCATCCAGAGAAAAAAGACACTTCACAAAGTAACAAAGGTAAGAAATTCTGCAGGTTTCTTGCCATAAACTATGAAAACCAGAGAAAGATAGCTGGGCGCAGTGGCTCACGCCTGTAATCCCAGCACTTTGGGAGGCCGAGGCGGGTGGATCACGAGTTCAGGAGATCGAGACCATCCTGGCTAACATGGTGAAACCCCGTCTCTACTAAAAATACAAAAAAAAAATTAGCTGGGCATGGTGGCATGCACCTGTAGTCCCAGCTTCTTGGGAGGCTGAGGCAGGAGAATTGCTTGAACCCGGGAGGCGGGGGTTGCAGTGAGCCAAGATTGCGCCACTGCACTCCAGCCTGGGCGACAGAGCGAGACTCCATCTCAAAAAAAAATTAATTAATTAAAAAATAGAAAATGATACCACATAAAAACTCAGGTCTACACAAAGAAATGAAGTGATGTAAGTGGTAAATTTATGGATAAATATAAAATACTTTTTCTCATTTAAAAAAAAATTTCTTTTTTTTGAGACAGAGTCTCGCTCTGTTGCCCAGGCTAGAGTGCAGTGGCGCAATCTCAGCTCACTGCAAGCTCCGCCTCCCGGGTTCACGCCATTCTCCTGCCTCAGCCTCCCGAGTAGCTGGGACTACAGGCGCCCGCCACCACGCCTGGCTAATTTTTTGCATTTTTAGTAGAGATGGGTTTCACCGTGTTAGCCAGGATGTTCTCAATCTCCTGACCTCATGATCTGCCTGTCTCGGCCTCCCAAAATGCTGGGATTACAGGTGTGAGCCACCGCGCCCGGCCCTCGTTTTAAAAATTTATTTAAAAGACTTAGCTATTTAAAGCAAAAATATGTTATTATTATATACACTGTTATGTATATCATGGGGTTTTTTGTCATATATAGAAGTAAAATGTATTATCACAATAGCAGGAAAAATGGGGAAATAGAAGTATAACTATTGTAAGGATCACGTTATACATTAATTGGTATATTATTTAAAGACAAAAAATGGAATATCTGACATAAAAACATGACTATATGAATTAAGAGTGCATAGACAGTATACCAGAAAAAAGAATATAGAAATTTATTTTAAGTTTTATGTGAGTACTCTAAGCCCACAGATCCAAGAAATTCAACAAACCTCAAGCAAGATAAACACACACACGCACACACACACAGTTTGCACATAATCACATATTGACCAGAGCGTAATCAAATCGCTAAAAAATAAATAGCATGGTAAGACTGGAATCTGTGGGGCAAAGATCCTCCAAAAATAAACTACAGATTTATACTTTAAGCCTTGTGGCACCAACTAAAATTAGGTAAATAAATTTAAAAGGAGGTATAACTAATAAACCACTAATGGAAATAAAATGGAATACTAAAACAAATAATCCAAAAGAAGGCAGACATTGAGGGAAAAAAACAAGAATAAATGGGATAAATAGAAAACAAGTAGCAAGGTAATAGACATAAATTCAACCATATCAACAACTACGTTAAATATAATTTAAAAGACAAAGATTAGATTTAAAAATTTAAAAAGCAATACCCAACTATATGCTGTCTCTGAAAAAAAAATCTACTTTAAATGTAGACATAGATTAAAACAAACTATACATTTCCTAGTATGGGAATTTAAACTCTTTATAGATACTTGCTATCTCTCCCATATTATATAATGTAAATATTATGTAAATATCCCAAATTCCATAGTTTGATGAGCTCATCAATTACAACTGTATATTGAATACTACTGAATCTATATCACTCTTTAAATCATCACTTACCAAGTTCTTTCTTAAGCTACCAATGTCTATTGACTGTATGAGTATGAAGTATAAACTGCTATTTCAGATATTTAAATTTTATTTTAGAAAACTAGAAGTTTTACAGTGACATAAACACTTTATTTCTATACTTTGATTCCCTATTTTCTACTGACCCAGAATATTCATCCAGAATGATATCTCATTTTTCTCAAAGCAAAAATTTTTTGTTCTGTGACAACCATGTGTTGATATTAGATCTGACTTGACTAATTTTCTAATTATAGGCCAGTCTCTTTTTTATTTGATTTCTAAGCGTGAAATCAGAGTTTGATGATCACATCTTCTAGAATTCCCATTATAATATGTGGCATTTAAACATACTGAGAAAGTGAAGCTTGCATTTTCATGCTTATATATGAATGGATAAATGCCTTCAGTTTTTCACAACTAAATTTAAACGTTCTGGAATCTTTGCCTTTAGAATGTGCTAATCATATACCACAAAATGGCACTGACTTCTATAGAAAATAACTCAGCCAAGGATGCTATGTTCCATCTTTGCAATGAAATGCAAATTTCTTAAAAGATTGAACAAGGTTTTTTCATAAAATGATTTAAGTTTTACATTTGGGGCACTGAAAGCATACAAAAATATGTCTAAGCTGCTGGAATTTTCAAGTGTTTAGAACTAATAATTTTTATTCACTTTCAACCTCAGCCTTTAGAATTTTATTGTACAACCGTGAATACATACTATGAATAGCCAATGATGCTGTCTCTTTTGCTAACATTATTTATTTCTGATGTATTATTGCCAGCTAAAGATGCTCATACATGCTGATGCATTTTCATTGATTGAGAAGTGTCGATATTTCCCTTCAATTTCATTGTTTGCTTCCTTCCAATCTAACCTTGTTTTGACTTTGGAGCCACTGTGTACCTGACATGAAAAGAAAATAGTTAGTCTAATAGCTAATTACTTCAAGGCAAAACAAAATAAATACATGTTTAGAAAGCTTTTAAATATCAAACTACAAATGAGCAACTGTTTTTCAATTAAGAACTTTTATCAATTCACGTTCTGCTATTTATTGAAATGAATAAGACTTAGCATATGCCCTTTCCTGCTTCCATTTTGATAATAAATGTTTCCCTGAGCCATGTGTGTTTTTTATTAGTGAAATTTTATGGCACTTACATAGACTATGTTTTACATTGTTTATCTGGAAATGCATCTGCTGGGCTCTTCTTTATATAATTTTTGTCACAGTAGCCTCTCCTCTCCCAGCACCTGCAGTTGAGTGGGTATAAACCGTCGGGATCTTGGTAATTACAAAAGAAAAAGAGCAGCTAGGCAGGCTCTTCTTTCGGTCTATTTTGTACGTTCTCCTCCTTTGACTCAGAAACCTCTGTGTAGACAAGCACCTTATTATAAAAGTGAATATCTTTCACTAGAAGGATTAGTCAAGACACTTTCTTCTTGTTGCTTCTTCTGAAATTGGAAAAAAATCAAGGAGATTCTAGTAACTGCCTTCCCAAGGCCCTCTAGCATGGCTAGGCTTGACTCAGCATTCCCAATTTCAGTAAATATTTCTGGGGTAAATACCATCTGAATTCCTCCATGCCCTGTCTCAGTGTCCACCCTATCTCCCCATCCCCCAGGCTGCAGCTTTAGGAATTAGTTCCTCAGCTGAAACTAAACACCGGCCAATAGTGTAATATGTTCAACATTTTATTAACACGAGATGAATCTCAGGTACATGGAGCATGTCAAATGTCTTTCCTTCTTTTGTCTTATAGACATGATTGTTTTCACTTTAAGCACATAAAAGTTGGCTCATCTATATGCTTTTTAAATTTTTTTATCCTTCATCTATTACTATGAAGAAGCAGTTGTCAAGTTCATGCTTTGGAATTGGGGTAGATTACTCAGCACGTGGTTTGGTGGATGAATGAAGCCGCCCTATCATTCAGTCCATGCCTCAGTTTACAAATACTGGGTGATCTGGCCCCTGCCTACATTCCCTGCTCCCTCTGCCCAACCACACTGGCCTTCCTACAGGTCTGCAAATCACACCCAACTCTCTCTCTCTCTCACTGCAGGTGTGTGTTCACTCTTATCTCAGTCTGAATATTTGTTCTCCAGGCATGTGGCTTCACTTCATTCAGGTGTCTGCTCCAAGGGCTCCTCAGAGAGGCACCTGTGACCATTCTATATAAAACAACAAAAAAAAACCAAACAAAAATGCTCCCTGTGACTTTCCCTTCGTAGCATTTTTCACCACATAATAGTATATTACCTATTTGTGTCTTTGTTTATAATCTGTCTCCCCCACTAGGAAGTAAGCTCCTGAGGGTAGAGACTTTATTTCGTGCACCCTTATACCGGGTCTTGGCACATCATAGTCACTCAAAAAACATTCGGTGACTGCAAGGCAGGAAGGCAAGAAAGAAGGAAGGGGGAGGGAAGAAAGGAAGTCAGGCAGGAAGGCAGGAAGGTAGGAAGGGTGGAAGGCAGGAAGGGAGGGAGGGAAGGAAGGAGAAAGGAAAGGAAAGAAGGAGGAAAAGGAAGAAGGAAGGAGGGAGGGAGGTAGAGAAAAAAGG